>NC_000020.11:27518801-27871441 GCF_000001405.40 Homo sapiens | reverse complement strand
CTTCTGTCTAGTTTTTACGGGAAGATATTTCCTTTTTCACCATACGCCTGAAAGCGCTCCTTGCAGGTCGACTCTAGAGGATCCCACTGAGACCAGCCTGGGCAACAGAGCAAGACTCTGTCTCAAAAAAAAAAAAAAGCTGTCTCCTTTTTATATGTAATCCCGTTTCCAACGAAATCCTCAAAGCTAGCCAAATATCCACTTGCAGATTCCACGAAAACAGTGTTTCAAAACTGCTCCTTCAAAACGATGGTTCAATTCTGTTAGTTGAGCAAACACATCACAAGTAAGTTTCTGAGAATGCTTCCGTCTAGTTTTTATGGGAAGATATTTCCTTTTTCAACATAGGCCTGAAAGCGCTCCAAATGTCCACTTCCAGATACTACAAAAAGAGTGTTTCAAATCTGCTCTATGAATGGGAATGTTCTACTCTGTGACTTGAATGCAACATCCCAAAGAAGTTTCTGAGAATGCTTCTGTCTAGAGTTTATCTGAAGACATACCCGTTTCCAACGAAATCCTCCAAGCTATCCAAATATCCTCTTGCAGATTCTACAAAAAGAGTGTTTCAAAGCTGCTCTTTGCAAAGAAAGGTTCAACTCTGTCAGTAGAGGGCACACATCACGAAGAAGTTTCTGAGAATGCTTCTGTCTAGTTTTTATGGGAAGATATTTCCTTTTTCACGTTACGCCTGAAAGCACGCCAAATGTTCACTTATAGACACTACAAAAAGAGTGTTTCAAACCTGCTCTGTGAAAGGGAATGTTCAACACTGTGACTTCAATTGAAACATCCCAAAGAAGTTTCTGAGAATGCTTCTGTCTAGAGTTTATCTGAAGACATTCCCGTTTCCCAAGAAATCCTCAAAGCTATCCAAATATCCTCTTGCAGATTCTACAAAAAGAGTGTTTCAAAACTGCTCTTTGCAAAGAAAGTTTCAACTCTGTCAGTAGAGGGCACACATCACAAACAAGTTTGCTGAGAATGCTTCTGTCTAGTTTTTATGGGAAGATATTTCCTTTTTCACCTTAGGCCTGAAGCAATCCAAATGTTCACTTACAGACACTACAAAAAGAGTGTTTCAAACCTGCTCTGTGAAAGGGAGTGTTCAATTCTGTGACTTGAATGCAAACATCACAAAGTAGTTTCTGACAATGCTGCTGTCTGCTTTTTATACGTATTCCCGTTTCCAACGAAATCCTCCAAGCTGGCCTAATACCCACTTGCATATTCCACAAAAAGAGTGTTTCAAAACTGCTCTCTCAAAAGAAAGGTTCAACTCTGTTTGCTGAGTAGATACATCATGAAAAAAGTTCTGACATTGCTTCTATCTAGTTTTTATTGGAAGATATCTCCTTTTTCACCGTAGACCTGAAAGCGCTCCAAATGTCCACTTCCAGATAGTACAAAAAGAGTGTTTCAAACCTGCTCTATGAATGGGAATGTTCAACACTGGGACTTCAATTGAAACATCCCAAAGCAGTTTCTGAGAATGCTTCTGTGTAGAGTTTACATGAAGACATTCCCGTTTCCAACGAAATCCTCAAAGCTATCCAAATATCCTCTTGCAGATTTTACAAAAAGTGTGTTTCAGAACTGCTCTATCAAAACAAAGGTTCAACACTGTCAGTTGAGGGCACACATCACAAATAAGTTTCTGAGAATGCTTCTGTCTAGTTTTCATGGGAAGATATTTCCTTTTTCACCATAGGCCTGAAAGCGATCCAAATGTCCACATCCAGATACTACAAAAAGAGTGTTTCAAACCTGCTCTATGAAAGGGAATGTTCAACTCTGTGACTTGAATGCAAACATCACAAAGAAGTTTCTGAGAATGCTGCTGTCTGCTTTTTGTATGTAATCCCGTTTCCAACGAAATCCTCCCAGCTAGCCAAATATCCACTTGCAGATTCCGCAAAAAGAGTGTTTCAAAACTGCTCCTTCAAAACGGTGGTTTAGTTCTGTTAGTTGAGTACATACATCACAGATAAGTTTCTGAGAATGCTTCTGTCTAGTTTTTATGGGAGGATATTTCCTTTTTCAACACAAGCCTGAATGCGCTCCGAATGGACACTTCCAGATATGACAAAAGGCGTGTTTCAAACCTGCTCTCTCAAAGGGAATGTTCAACTCTGTGACTTCAATGCAAACATCACAAAGAAGTTTCTGAGAATGCTGCTGTCTGCTTTTTACATGTATTCCCGTTTCCAACGAAATCCTCAAAGCTGCCCTAATATCCACTTGCATATTCCACAAAAAGAGTGTTGCAAAACTGCTCTCTCAAAAGAAAGGTTCAACTCTGTTAGCTGAGTAGATCCATCACAGAAAAGTTTCTGACTGTTGCTTCTATCTAGATTTTCTTGGAAGATATTTCCATTTTCACCGTCGTCCTGAAAGCGCTCCAAATGTCCACTTCCAGGGAATGCAGAAAGAGTGTTTCCAACCTGCTCTATAAAAGGGAATGTTCAACACTGGGACTTCAATCGAAACATCCCAACGAAGTTTCTGAGAATGCTTCTGTCTAGAGTTTATATGAAGCCATTCCCGTTTGCAACGAAATCCTCAAAGCTATCCAAATATCCTCTAGCAGATTTTACAAAAAGAGTGTTTCAAAACTGCTCTATCAAAAGAAAGGTTCAACTCTGTTAGTTGAGGGCACACATCACAAATAAACTTCTGAGAATGCTTCTGTCTAGTTTTTACGGGAAGATATTTCCTTTTTCACCATACGCCTGAAAGCACTCCAAATGTCCTCATCCAGATACTACACAAAGAGTGTTTCCAACCTGCTCTATGAAAGGGAATGCTCAACTCTGTGACTTGAATGCAGACATCATAAAGAAGTTTACTGAGAATGCTGCTGTCTCCTTTGTATATGTAATCCCGTTTCCAACGAAATCCTCAAAGCTAGCCAAATATCCACTTGCAGATTCCACGAAAACAGTGTTTCAAAACTGCTCCTTCAAAACGATGGTTCAATCCTGTTAGTTGAGCAAACACATCACAATTAAGTTTCTGAGAATGCTTCCGTCTAGTTTTTATGGGAAGATATTTCCTTTTTCAACATAGGCCTGAAAGCGCTCCAAATGTCCACTTCCAGATACTACAAAAAGAGTGTTTCAAATCTGCTCTATGAATGGGAATGTTCTACTCTGTGACTTGAATGCAACATCCCAAAGAAGTTTCTGAGAATGCTTCTGTCTAGAGTTTATCTGAAGACATACCCGTTTCCAACGAAATCCTCCAAGCTATCCAAATATCCTCTTGCAGATTCTACAAAAAGAGTGTTTCAAAGCTGCTCTTTGCAAAGAAAGGTTCAACTCTGTCAGTAGAGGGGACACATCAAGAACAAGTTTCTGAGAATGCTTCTGTCTAGTTTTTATGGGAAGATATTTCCTTTTTCACGTTACGCCTGAAAGCACGCCAAATGTTCACTTATAGACACTACAAAAAGAGTGTTTCAAACCTGCTCTGTGAAAGGGAATGTTCAACACTGTGACTTGAATTGAAACATCCCAAAGAAGTTTCTGAGAATGCTTCTGTCTAGAGTTTATCTGAAGACATTCCCGTTTCCCAAGAAATCCTCAAAGCTATCCAAATATCCTCTTGCAGATTCTACAAAAAGAGTGTTTCAAAACTGCTCTTTGCAAAGAAAGGTTCAACTCTGTCAGTAGAGGGCACACATCAAGAACAAGTTTCTGAGAATGCTTCTGTCTAGTTTTTATGGGAAGATATTTCCTTTTTCACCTTAGGCCTGAAAGCACGCCAAATGTTCACTTATAGACACTACAAAAAGAGTGTTTCAAACCTGCTCTGTGAAAGGGAGTGTTCAATTCTGTGACTTGAATGCAAACATCACAAAGTAGTTTCTGACAATGCTGCTGTCTGCTTTTTATACGTATTCCCGTTTCCAACGAAATCCTCCAAGCTGGCCTAATACCCACTTGCATATTCCACAAAAAGAGTGTTTCAAAACTGCTCTCTCAAAAGAAAGGTTCAACTCTGTTAGCTGAGTAGATACATCATGAAAAAAGTTCTGACATTGCTTCTATCTAGTTTTTATTGGAAGATATCTCCTTTTTCACCGTAGACCTGAAAGCGCTCCAAATGTCCACTTCCAGATAGTACAAAAAGAGTGTTTCAAACCTGCTCTATGAATGGGAATGTTCAACACTGGGACTTCAATTGAAACATCCCAAAGCAGTTTCTGAGAATGCTTCTGTGTAGAGTTTACATGAAGACATTCCCGTTTCCAACGAAATCCTCAAAGCTATCCAAATATCCTCTTGCAGATTTTACAAAAAGTGTGTTTCAGAACTGCTCTATCAAAACAAAGGTTCAACACTGTCAGTTGAGGGCACACATCACAAATAAGTTTCTGAGAATGCTTCTGTCTAGTTTTCATGGGAAGATATTTCCTTTTTCACCATAGGCCTGAAAGCGATCCAAATGTCCACATCCAGATACTACAAAAAGAGTGTTTCAAACCTGCTCTATGAAAGGGAATGTTCAACTCTGTGACTTGAATGCAAACATCACAAAGAAGTTTCTGAGAATGCTGCTGTCTGCTTTTTGTATGTAATCCCGTTTCCAACGAAATCCTCCCAGCTAGCCAAATATCCACTTGCAGATTCCGCAAAAAGAGTGTTTCAAAACTGCTCCTTCAAAACGATGGTTTAGTTCTGTTAGTTGAGGTACATACATCACAGATAAGTTTCTGAGAATGCTTCTGTCTAGTTTTTATGGGAGGATATTTCCTTTTTCAACACAAGCCTGAATGCGCTCCGAATGGACACTTCCAGATATGACAAAAGGCGTGTTTCAAACCTGCTCTCTCAAAGGGAATGTTCAACTCTGTGACTTCAATGCAAACATCACAAAGAAGTTTCTGAGAATGCTGCTGTCTCCTTTTTACATGTATTCCCGTTTCCAACGAAATCCTCAAAGCTGCCCTAATATCCACTTGCATATTCCACAAAAAGAGTGTTGCAAAACTGCTCTCTCAAAAGAAAGGTTCAACTGCTGTTAGCTGAGTAGATCCATCACATAAAAGTTTCTGACGTTGCTTCTATCTAGATTTTCTTGGAAGATATTTCCATTTTCACCGTCGTCCTGAAAGCGCTCCAAATGTCCACTTCCAGGGAATGCAAAAAGAGTGTTTCCAATCTGCTCTATAAAAGGGAATGTTCAACACTGGGACTTCAATCGAAACATCCCAACGAAGTTTCTGAGAATGCTTCTGTCTAGAGTTTATATGAAGCCATTCCCGTTTGCAACGAAATCCTCAAAGCTATCCAAATATCCTCTTGCAGATTTTACAAAAAGAGTGTTTCAAAACTGCTCTATCAAAAGAAAGGTTCAACTCTGTTAGTTGAGGGCACACATCACAAATAAATTTCTGAGAATGCTTCTGTCTAGTTTTTACGGGAAGATATTTCCTTTTTCACCATATGCCTGAAAGCGCTCCAAATGTCCTCATCCAGATACTACAAAAAGAGTGTTTCCAACGTGCTCTATGAAAGGGAATGCTCAACTCTGTGAATTGAATGCAGACATCACAAAGAAGTTTCTGAGAATGCTGCTGTCTCCTTTTTATATGTAATCCCGTTTCCAACGAAATCCTCAAAGCTAGCCAAATATCCACTTGCAGATTCCACGAAAACAGTGTTTCAAAACTGCTCCTTCAAAACGATGGTTCAATCCTGTTAGTTGAGCAAACACATCACAAATAAGTTTCTGAGAATGCTTCCGTCTAGTTTTTATGGGAAGATATTTCCTTTTTCAACATAGGCCTGAAAGCGCTCCAAATGTCCACTTCCAGATACTACAAAAAGAGTGTTTCAAATCTGCTCTATGAATGGGAATGTTCTACTCTGTGACTTGAATGCAACATCCCAAAGAAGTTTCTGAGAATGCTTCTGTCTAGAGTTTATCTGAAGACATACCCGTTTCCAACGAAATCCTCCAAGCTATCCAAATATCCTCTTGCAGATTCTACAAAAAGAGTGTTTCAAAGCTGCTCTTTGCAAAGAAAGGTTCAACTCTGTCAGTAGAGGGGACACATCAAGAACAAGTTTCTGAGAATGCTTCTGTCTAGTTTTTATGGGAAGATATTTCCTTTTTCACGTTTGGCCTGAAATCACGCCAAATGTTCACTTATAGACACTACAAAAAGAGTGTTTCAAACCTGCTCTGTGAAAGGGAATGTTCAACCCTGTGACTTCAATTGAAACATCCCAAAGAAGTTTCTGAGAATGCTTCTGTCCAGAGTTTACATGAAGACATTCCCGTTTCCCAAGAAATCCTCAAAGCTATCCAAATATCCTCTTGCAGATTCTACAAAAAGAGTGTTTCAAAACTGCTCTTTGCAAAGAAAGGTTCAACTCTGTCAGTAGAGGGCACACATCACAAACAAGTTTCTGAGAATGCTTCTGTCTAGTTTTTATGGGAAGATATTTCCTTTTTCACCTTAGGCCTGAAAGCAATCCAAATGTTCACTTACAGACACTACAAAAAGAGTGTTTCAAACCTGGTCTGTGAAAGGGAGTGTTCAATTCTGTCACTTGAATGCAAACATCACAAAGTAGTTTCTGACAATGCTGCTGTCTGCTTTTTATACGTATTCCCGTTTCCAACGAAATCCTCCAAGCTGGCCTAATACCCACTTGCATATTCCACAAAAAGAGTGTTTCAAAACTGCTCTCTCAAAAGAAAGGTTCAACTCTGTTTGCTGAGTAGATACATCATGAAAAAAGTTCTGACATTGCTTCTATCTAGTTTTTATTGGAAGATATCTCCTTTTTCACCGTAGACCTGAAAGCGCTCCAAATGTCCACTTCCAGATAGTACAAAAAGAGTGTTTCAAACCTGCTCTATGAAAGGGAATGTTCAACACTGGGACTTCAATTGAAACATCCCAAAGCAGTTTCTGAGAATGCTTCTGTCTAGAGTTTACATGAAGACATTCCCGTTTCCAACGAAATCCTCAAAGCTATCCAAATATCCTCTTGCAGATTTTACAAAAAGTGTGTTTCAGAACTGCTCTATCAAAACAAAGGTTCAACACTGTCAGTTGAGGGCACACATCATAAATAAGTTTCTGAGAATGCTTCTGTCTAGTTTTCATGGGAAGATATTTCCTTTTTCACCATAGGCCTGAAAGCGATCCAAATGTCCACATCCAGATACTACAAAAAGAGTGTTTCAAACCTGCTCTATGAAAGGGAATGTTCAACTCTGTGACTTGAATGCAAACATCACAAAGAAGTTTCTGAGAATGCTGCTGTCTCCTTTTTATATGTTATCCCGTTTCCAACGAAATCCTCAAAGCTAGCCAAATATCCACTTGCAGATTCCACGAAAACAGTGTTTCAAAACTGCTCCTTCAAAACGATGGTTCAATCCTGTTAGTTGAGCAAACACATCACAAATAAGTTTCTGAGAATGCTTCCGTCTAGTTTTTATGGGAAGATATTTCCTTTTTCAACATAGGCCTGAAAGCGCTCCAAATGTCCACTTCCAGATACTACAAAAAGAGTGTTTCAAATCTGCTCTATGAATGGGAATGTTCTACTCTGTGACTTGAATGCAACATCCCAAAGAAGTTTCTGAGAATGCTTCTGTCTAGAGTTTATCTGAAGACATACCCGTTTCCAACGAAATCCTCAAAGCTATCCAAATATCCTCTTGCAGATTCTACAAAAAGAGTGTTTCAAAGCTGCTCTTTGCAAAAAAAGGTTCAACTCTGTCAGTAGAGGGCACACATCACGAACAAGTTTCTGAGAATGCTTCTGTCTAGTTTTTATGGGAAGATATTTCCTTTTTCACGTTAGGCCTGAAAGCACGCCAAATGTTCACTTATAGACACTACAAAAAGAGTGTTTCAAACCTGCTCTGTGAAAGGGAATGTTCAACACTGTGACTTCAATTGAAACATCCCAAAGAAGTTTCTGAGAATGCTTCTGTCTAGAGTTTATCTGAAGACATTCCCGTTTCCCAAGAAATCCTCAAAGCTATCCAAATATCCTCTTGCAGATTCTACAAAAAGAGTGTTTCAAAACTGCTCTTTGCAAAGAAAGGTTCAACTCTGTCAGTAGAGGGCACACATCACAAACAAGTTTCTGAGAATGCTTCTGTCTAGTTTTTATGGGAAGATATTTCCTTTTTCACCTTAGGCCTGAAAGCAATCCAAATGTTCACTTACAGACACTACAAAAAGAGTGTTTCAAACCTGCTCTGTGAAAGGGAGTGTTCAATTCTGTGACTTGAATGCAAACATCACAAAGTAGTTTCTGACAATGCTGCTGTCTGCTTTTTATACGTATTCCCGTTTCCAACGAAATCCTCCAAGCTGGCCTAATACCCACTTGCATATTCCACAAAAAGAGTGTTTCAAAACTGCTCTCTCAAAAGAAAAGTTCAACTCTGTTTGCTGAGTAGATACATCATGAAAAAAGTTCTGACATTGCTTCTATCTAGTTTTTATTGGAAGATATCTCCTTTTTCACCGTAGACCTGAAAGCGCTCCAAATGTCCACTTCCAGATAGTACAAAAAGAGTGTTTCAAACCTGCTCTATGAAAGGGAATGTTCAACACTGGGACTTCAATTGAAACATCCCAAAGCAGTTTCTGAGAATGCTTCTGTCCAGAGTTTACATGAAGAAATTCCCGATTCCAACGAAATCCTCAAAGCTATCCAAATATCCTCTTGCAGATTTTACAAAAAGTGTGTTTCAGAACTGCTCTATCAAAACAAAGGTTCAACACTGTCAGTTGAGGGCACACATCACAAATAAGTTTCTGAGAATGCTTCTGTCTAGTTTTCATGGGAAGATATTTCCTTTTTCACCATAGGCCTGAAAGCGATCCAAATGTCCACATCCAGATACTACAAAAAGAGTGTTTCAAACCTGCTCTATGAAAGGGAATGTTCAACTCTGTGACTTGAATGCAAACATCACAAAGAAGTTTCTGAGAATGCTTGCTGTCTCCTTTTTATATGTAATCCCGTTTCCAACGAAATCCTCAAAGCTAGCCAAATATCCACTTGCAGATTCCACGAAAACAGTGTTTCAAAACTGCTCCTTCAAAACGATGGTTCAATTCTGTTAGTTGAGCAAACACATCACAAGTAAGTTTCTGAGAATGCTTCCGTCTAGTTTTTATGGGAAGATATTTCCTTTTTCAACATAGGCCTGAAAGCGCTCCAAATGTCCACTTCCAGATACTACAAAAAGAGTGTTTCAAATCTGCTCTATGAATGGGAATGTTCTACTCTGTGACTTGAATGCAACATCCCAAAGAAGTTTCTGAGAATGCTTCTGTCTAGAGTTTATCTGAAGACATACCCGTTTCCAACGAAATCCTCCAAGCTATCCAAATATCCTCTTGCAGATTCTACAAAAAGAGTGTTTCAAAGCTGCTCTTTGCAAAGAAAGGTTCAACTCTGTCAGTAGAGGGGACACATCAAGAACAAGTTTCTGAGAATGCTTCTGTCTAGTTTTTATGGGAAGATATTTCCTTTTTCACGTTAGGCCTGAAAGCACGCCAAATGTTCAATTATAGACACTACAAAAAGAGTGTTTCAAACCTGCTCTGTGAAAGGGAATGTTCAACACTGTGACTTCTATTGAAACATCCCAAAGAAGTTTCTGAGAATGCTTCTGTCTAGAGTTTATCTGAAGACATTCCCGTTTCCCAAGAAATCCTCAAATCTATCCAAATATCCTCTTGCAGATTCTACAAAAAGAGTGTTTCAAAACTGCTCTTTGCAAAGAAAGGTTCAACTCTGTCAGTAGAGGGCACACATCACAAACAAGTTTCTGAGAATGCTTCTGTCTAGTTTTTATGGGAAGATATTTCCTTTTTCACCTTAGGCCTGAAAGCAATCCAAATGTTCACTTACAGACACTACAAAAAGAGTGTTTCAAACCTGCTCTGTGAAAGGGAGTGTTCAGTTCTGTGACTTGAATGCAAACATCACAAAGTAGTTTCTGACAATGCTGCTGTCTGCTTTTTATACGTATTCCCGTTTCCAACGAAATCCTCCAAGCTGGCCTAATACCCACTTTCATATTCCACAAAAAGAGTGTTTCAAAACTGCTCTCTCAAAAGAAAGGTTCAACTCTGTTTGCTGAGTAGATACATCATGAAAAAAGTTCTGACATTGCTTCTATCTAGTTTTTATTGGAAGATATCTCCTTTTTCACCGTAGACCTGAAAGCGCTCCAAATGTCCACTTCCAGATAGTACAAAAAGAGTGTTTCAAACCTGCTCTATGAAAGGGAATGTTCAACACTGGGACTTCAATTGAAACATCCCAAAGCAGTTTCTGAGAATGCTTCTGTGTAGAGTTTACATGAAGACATTCCCGTTTCCAACGAAATCCTCAAAGCTATCCAAATATCCTCTTGCAGATTTTACAAAAAGTGTGTTTCAGAACTGCTCTATCAAAACAAAGGTTCAACACTGTCAGTTGAGGGCACACATCACAAATAAGTTTCTGAGAATGCTTCTGTCTAGTTTTCATGGGAAGATATTTCCTTTTTCACCATAGGCCTGAAAGCGATCCAAATGTCCACATCCAGATACTACAAAAAGAGTGTTTCAAACCTGCTCTATGAAAGGGAATGCTCAACTCTGTGAATTGAATGCAAACATCACAAAGAAGTTTCTGAGAATGCTGCTGTCTCCTTTTTATATGTAATCCCGTTTCCAACGAAATCCTCAAAGCTAGCCAAATATCCACTTGCAGATTCCACGAAAACAGAGTTTCAAAACTGCTCCTTCAAAACGATGGTTCAATCCTGTTAGTTGAGCAAACACATCACAAATAAGTTTCTGAGAATGCTTCCGTCTAGTTTTTATGGGAAGATATTTCCTTTTTCAACATAGGCCTGAAAGCGCTCCAAATGTCCACTTCCAGATACTACAAAAAGAGTGTTTCAAATCTGCTCTATGAATGGGAATGTTCTACTCTGTGACTTGAATGCAACATCCCAAAGAAGTTTCTGAGAATGCTTCTGTCTAGAGTTTATCTGAAGACATACCCGTTTCCAACGAAATCCTCCAAGCTATCCAAATATCCTCTTGCAGATTCTACAAAAAGTGTGTTTCAAAGCTGCTCTTTGCAAAGAAAGGTTCAACTCTGTCAGTAGAGGGGACACATCACGAACAAGTTTCTGAGAATGCTTCTGTCTAGTTTTTATGGGAAGATATTTCCTTTTTCACGTTAGGCCTGAAAGCACGCCAAATGTTCACTTATAGACACTACAAAAAGAGTGTTTCAAACCTGCTCTGTGAAAGGGAATGTTCAACACTGTGACTTCAATTGAAACATCCCAAAGAAGTTTCTGAGAATGCTTCTGTCTAGAGTTTATCTGAAGACATTCCCGTTTCCCAAGAAATCCTCAAAGCTATCCAAATATCCTCTTGCAGATTCTACAAAAAGAGTGTTTCAAAACTGCTCTTTGCAAAGAAAGGTTCAACTCTGTCAGTAGAGGGCACACATCACAAACAAGTTTCTGAGAATGCTTCTGTCTAGTTTTTATGGGAAGATATTTCCTTTTTCACCTTAGGCCTGAAAGCAATCCAAATGTTCACTTACAGACACTACAAAAAGAGTGTTTCAAACCTGCTCTGTGAAAGGCAGTGTTCCATTCTGTGACTTGCATGCAAACATCACAAAGTAGTTTCTGACAATGCTGCTGTCTGCTTTTTATACGTATTCCCGTTTCCAACGAAATCCTCCAAGCTGGCCTAATACCCACTTGCATATTCCACAAAAAGAGTGTTTCAAAACTGCTCTCTCAAAAGAAAGGTTCAACTCTGTTTGCTGAGTAGATACATCATGAAAAAAGTTCTGACATTGCTTCTATCTAGTTTTTATTGGAAGATATCTCCTTTTTCACCGTAGACCTGAAAGCGCTCCAAATGTCCACTTCCAGATAGTACAAAAAGAGTGTTTCAAACCTGCTCTATGAATGGGAATGTTCAACACTAGGACTTCAATTGAAACATCCCAAAGCAGTTTCTGAGAATGCTTCTGTGTAGAGTTTACATGAAGACATTCCCGTTTCCAACGAAATCCTCAAAGCTATCCAAATATCCTCTTGCAGATTTTACAAAAAGTGTGTTTCAGAACTGCTCTATCAAAACAAAGGTTCAACACTGTCAGTTGAGGGCACACATCACAAATAAGTTTCTGAGAATGCTTCTGTCTAGTTTTCATGGGAAGATATTTCCTTTTTCACCATAGGCCTGAAAGCGATCCAAATGTCCACATCCAGATACTACAAAAAGAGTGTTTCAAACCTGCTCTATGAAAGGGAATGTTCAACTCTGTGACTTGAATGCAAACATCACAAAGAAGTTTCTGAGAATGCTGCTGTCTGCTTTTTGTATGTAATCCCGTTTCCAACGAAATCCTCCCAGCTAGCCAAATATCCACTTGCAGATTCCGCAAAAAGAGTGTTTCAAAACTGCTCCTTCAAAACGATGGTTTAGTTCTGTTAGTTGAGTACATACATCACAGATAAGTTTCTGAGAATGCTTCTGTCTAGTTTTTCTGGGAGGATATTTCCTTTTTCAACACAAGCCTGAATGCGCTCCGAATGGACACTTCCAGATATGACAAAAGGCGTGTTTCAAACCTGCTCTCTCAAAGGGAATGTTCAACTCTGTGACTTCAATGCAAACATCACAAAGAAGTTTCTGAGAATGCTGCTGTCTGCTTTTTACATGTATTCCCGTTTCCAACGAAATCCTCAAAGCTGCCTTAATATCCACTTGCATATTCCACAAAAAGAGTGTTGCAAAACTGCTCTCTCAAAAGAAAGGTTCAACTCTGTTAGCTGAGTAGTTCCATCACAGAAAAGTTTCTGACGTTGCTTCTATCTAGATTTTCTTGGAAGATATTTCCATTTTCACCGTTGTCCTGAAAGCGCTCCAAATGTCCACTTCCAGGGAATGCAGAAAGAGTGTTTCCAACCTGCTCTATAAAAGGGAATGTTCAACACTGGGACTTCAATCGAAACATCCCAACGAAGTTTCTGAGAATGCTTCTGTCTAGAGTTTATATGAAGCCATTCCCGTTTGCAACGAAATCCTCAAAGCTATCCAAATATCCTCTTGCAGATTTTACAAAAAGAGTGTTTCAAAACTGCTCTATCAAAAGAAAGGTTCAACTCTGTTAGTTGAGGGCACACATCACAAATAAACTTCTGAGAATGCTTATGTCTAGTTTTTACGGGAAGATATTTCCTTTTTCACCATACGCCTGAAAGCGCTCCAAATGTCCTCATCCAGATACTACAAAAAGAGTGTTTCCAACCTGCTCTATGAAAGGGAATGCTCAACTCTGTGAATTGAATGCAGACATCACAAAGAAGTTTCTGAGAATGCTGCTGTCTCCTTTTTATATGTAATCCCGTTTCCAACGAAATCCTCAAAGCTAGCCAAATATCCACTTGCAGATTCCACGAAAACAGTGTTTCAAAACTGCTCCTTCAAAACGATGGTTCAATCCTGTTAGTTGAGCAAACACATCACAAATAAGTTTCTGAGAATGCTTCCCGTCTAGTTTTTATGGGAAGATATTTCCTTTTTCAACATAGGCCTGAAAGCGCTCCAAATGTCCACTTCCAGATACTACAAAAAGAGTGTTTCAAATCTGCTCTATGCATGGGAATGTTCTACTCTGTGACTTGAATGCAACATCCCAAAGAAGTTTCTGAGAATGTTTCTGTCTAGAGTTTATCTGAAGACATAACCGTTTCCAACGAAATCCTCAAAGCTATCCAAATAGCCTCTTGCAGATTCTACAAAAAGAGTGTTTCAAAGCTGCTCTTTGCAAGGAAAGGTTCAACTCTGTCAGTAGAGGGCACACATCACAAACAAGTTTCTGAGAATGCTTCTGTCTAGTTTTTATGGGAAGATATTTCCTTTTTCACGTTAGGCCTGAAAGCACGCCAAATGTTCACTTATAGACACTACAAAAAGAGTGTTTCAAACCTGCTCTGTGAAAGGGAATGTTCAACACTGTGACTTCAATTGAAACATCCCAAAGAAGTTTCTGAGAATGCTTCTGTCTAGAGTTTATCTGAAGACATTCCCGTTTCCCAAGAAATCCTCAAAGCTATCCAAATATCCTCTTGCAGATTCTACAAAAAGAGTGTTTCAAAACTGCTCTTTGCAAAGAAAGGTTCAACTCTGTCAGTAGAGGGCACACATCACAAACAAGTTTCTGAGAATGCTTCTGTCTAGTTTTTATGGGAAGATATTTCCTTTTTCACCTTAGGCCTGAAAGCAATCCAAATGTTCACTTACAGACACTACAAAAAGAGAGTTTCAAACCTGCTCTGTGAAAGGGAGTGTTCAATTCTGTGACTTGAATGCAAACATCACAAAGTAGTTTCTGACAATGCTGCTGTCTGCTTTTTATACGTAATCCCGTTTCCAACGAAATCCTTCAAGCTGGCCTAATACCCACTTGCATATTCCACAAAAAGAGTGTTTCAAAACTGCTCTCTCAAAAGAAAGGTTCAACTCTGTTTGCTGAGTAGATACATCATGAAAAAAGTTCTGACATTGCTTCTATCTAGTTTTTATTGGAAGATATCTCCTTTTTCACCGTAGACCTGAAAGCGCTCCAAATGTCCACTTCCAGATAGTACAAAAAGAGTGTTTCAAACCTGCTCTATGAAAGGGAATGTTCAACACTGGGACTTCAATTGAAACATCCCAAAGCAGTTTCTGAGAATGCTTCTGTGTAGAGTTTACATGAAGACATTCCCGTTTCCAACGAAATCCTCAAAGCTATCCAAATATCCTCTTGCAGATTTTACAAAAAGTGTGTTTCAGAACTGCTCTATCAAAACAAAGGTTCAACACTGTCAGTTGAGGGCACACATCACAAATAAGTTTCTGAGAATGCTTCTGTCTAGTTTTCATGGGAAGATATTTCCTTTTTCACCATAGGCCTGAAAGCGATCCAAATGTCCACATCCAGATACTACAAAAAGAGTGTTTCAAACCTGCTCTATGAAAGGGAATGTTCAACTCTGTGACTTGAATGCAAACATCACAAAGAAGTTTCTGAGAATGCTGCTGTCTGCTTTTTGTATGTAATCCCGTTTCCAACGAAATCCTCCCAGCTAGCCAAATATCCACTTGCAGATTCCGCAAAAAGAGTGTTTCAAAACTGCTCCTTCAAAACGATGGTTTAGTTCTGTTAGTTGAGTACATACATCACAGATAAGTTTCTGAGAATGCTTCTGTCTAGTTTTTATGGGAGGATATTTCCTTTTTCAACACAAGCCTGAATGCGCTCCGAATGGACACTTCCAGATATGACAAAAGGCGTGTTTCAAACCTGCTCTCTCAAAGGGAATGTTCAACTCTGTGACTTCAATGCAAACATCACAAAGAAGTTTCTGAGAACGCTGCTGTCTGCTTTTTACATGTATTCCCGTTTCCAACGAAATCCTCAAAGCTGCCCTAATATCCACTTGCATATTCCACAAAAAGAGTGTTGCAAAACTGCTCTCTCAAAAGAAAGGTTCAACTCTGTTAGCTGAGTAGATCCATCACAGAAAAGTTTCTGACGTTGCTTCTATCTAGATTTTCTTGGAAGATATTTCCATTTTCACCGTCGTCCTGAAAGCGCTCCAAATGTCCACTTCCAGGGAATGCAGAAAGAGTGTTTCCAACCTGCTCTATAAAAGGGAATGTTCAACACTGGGACTTCAATCGAAACATCCCAACGAAGTTTCTGAGAATGCTTCTGTCTAGAGTTTATATGAAGCCATTCCCGTTTGCAACGAAATCCTCAAAGCTATCCAAATATCCTCTTGCAGATTTTACAAAAAGAGTGTTTCAAAACTGCTCTATCAAAAGAAAGGTTCAACTCTGTTAGTTGAGGGCACACATCACAAATAAACTTCTGAGAATGCTTCTGTCTAGTTTTTACGGGAAGATATTTCCTTTTTCACCATACGCCTGAAAGCGCTCCAAATGTCCTCATCCAGATACTACAAAAAGAGTGTTTCCAACCTGCTCTATGAAAGGGAATGCTCAACTCTGTGAATTGAATGCAGACATCACAAAGAAGTTTCTGAGAATGCTGCTGTCTCCTTTGTATATGTAATCCCGTTTCCAACGAAATCCTCAAAGCTAGCCAAATATCCACTTGCAGATTCCACGAAAACAGTGTTTCAAAACTGCTCCTTCAAAACGATGGTTCAATCCTGTTAGTTGAGCAAACACATCACAAATAAGTTTCTGAGAATGCTTCCGTCTAGTTTTTATGGGAAGATATTTCCTTTTTCAACATAGGCCTGAAAGCGCTCCAAATGTCCACTTCCAGATACTACAAAAAGAGTGTTTCAAATCTGCTCTATGAATGGGAATGTTCTACTCTGTGACTTGAATGCAACATCCCAAAGAAGTTTCTGAGAATGCTTCTGTCTAGAGTTTATCTGAAGACATACCCGTTTCCAACGAAATCCTCCAAGCTATCCAAATATCCTCTTGCAGATTCTACAAAAAGAGTGTTTCAAAGCTGCTCTTTGCAAAGAAAGGTTCAACTCTGTCAGTAGAGGGCACACATCATGAACAAGTTTCTGAGAATGCTTCTGTCTAGTTTTTATGGGAAGATATTTCCTTTTTCACGTTAGGCCTGAAAGCACGCGAAATATTCACTTATACACACTACAAAAAGAGTGTTTCAAACCTGCTCTGTGAAAGGGAATGTTCAACACTGTGACTTCAATTGAAACATCCCAAAGAAGTTTCTGAGAATGCTTCTGTCTAGAGTTTATCTGAAGACATTCCCGTTTCCCAAGAAATCTTCAAAGCTATCCAAATATCCTCTTGCAGATTCTACAAAAAGAGTGTTTCAAAACTGCTCTTTGCAAAGAAAGGTTCAAATCTGTCAGTAGAGGGCACACATCACAAACAAGTTTCTGAGAATGCTTCTGTCTAGTTTTTATGGGAAGATATTTCCTTTTTCACCTTAGGCCTGAAAGCAATCCATATGTTCACTTACAGACACTACAAAAAGAGTGTTTCAAACCTGCTCTGTGAAAGGGAGTGTTCAATTCTGTGACTTGAATGCAAACATCACAAAGTAGTTTCTGACAATGCTGCTGTCTGCTTTTTATACGTATTCCCGTTTCCAACGAAATCCTCCAAGCTGGCCTAATACCCACTTGCATATTCCACAAAAAGAGTGTTTCAAAACTGCTCTCTCAAAAGAAAGGTTCAACTCTGTTTGCTGAGTAGATACATCATGAAAAAAGTTCTGACATTGCTTCTATCTAGTTTTTATTGGAAGATATCTCCTTTTTCACCGTAGACCTGAAAGCGCTCCAAATGTCCACTTCCAGATAGTACAAAAAGAGTGTTTCAAACCTGCTCTATGAAAGGGAATGTTCAACACTGGGACTTCAATTGAAACATCCCAAAGCAGTTTCTGAGAATGCTTCTGTCTAGAGTTTACATGAAGACATTCCCGTTTCCAACGAAATCCTCAAAGCTATCCAAATATCCTCTTGCAGATTTTACAAAAAGTGTGTTTCAGAACTGCTCTATCAAAACAAAGGTTCAACACTGTCAGTTGAGGGCACACATCACAAATAAGTTTCTGAGAATGCTTCTGTCTAGTTTTCATGGGAAGATATTTCCTTTTTCACCATAGGCCTGAAAGCGATCCAAATGTCCACATCCAGATACTACAAAAAGAGTGTTTCAAACCTGCTCTATGAAAGGGAATGTTCAACTCTGTGACTTGAATGCAAACATCACAAAGAAGTTTCTGAGAATGCTGCTCTCTGCTTTTTGTATGTAATCCCGTTTCCAACGAAATCCTCCCAGCTAGCCAAATATCCACTTGCAGATTCCGCAAAAAGAGTGTTTCAAAACTGCTCCGTCAAAACGATGGTTTAGTTCTGTTAGTTGAGTACATACATCACAAATAAGTTTCTGAGAATGCTTCTGTATACTTTTTATGGGAGGATATTTCCTTTTTCAACACAAGCCTGAATGCGCTCCGAATGGACACTTCCAGATATGACAAAAGGCGTGTTTCAATCCTGCTCTCTCAAAGGGAATGTTCAACTCTGTGACTTCAATGCAAACATCACAAAGAAGTTTCTGAGAATGCTTGCTGTCTGCTTTTTACATGTATTCCCGTTTCCAACGAAATCCTCAAAGCTGCCCTAATATCCACTTGCATATTCCACAAAAAGAGTGTTGCAAAACTGCTCTCTCAAAAGAAAGGTTCAACTCTGTTAGCTGAGTAGATCCATCACAGAAAAGTTTCTGACGTTGCTTCTATCTAGATTTTCTTGGAAGATATTTCCATTTTCACCGTCGTCCTGAAAGCGCTCCAAATGTCCACTTCCAGGGAATGCAGAAAGAGTGTTTCCAACCTGCTCTATAAAAGGGAATGTTCAACACTGGGACTTCAATCGAAACATCCCAACGAAGTTTCTGAGAATGCTTTCTGTCTAGAGTTTATATGAAGCCATTCCCGTTTGCAACGAAATCCTCAAAGCTATCCAAATATCCTCTTGCAGATTTTACAAAAAGAGTGTTTCAAAACTGCTCTATCAAAAGAAAGGTTCAACTCTGTTAGTTGAGGGCACACATCACAAATAAACTTCTGAGAATGCTTCTGTCTAGTTTTTACGGGAAGATATTTCCTTTTTCACCATACGCCTGAAAGCGCTCCAAATGTCCTCATCCAGATACTACAAAAAGAGTGTTTCCAACCTGCTCTATGAAAGGGAATGCTCAACTCTGTGACTTGAATGCAGACATCACAAAGAAGTTTCTGAGAATGCTGCTGTCTCCTTTTTATATGTAATCCCGTTTCCAACGAAATCCTCAAAGCTAGCCAAATATCCACTTGCAGATTCCACGAAAACAGTGTTTCAAAACTGCTCCTTCAAAACGATGGTTCAATCCTGTTAGTTGAGCAAACACATCACAAATAAGTTTCTGAGAATGCTTCCGTCTAGTTTTTATGGGAAGATATTTCCTTTTTCAACATAGGCCTGAAAGCGCTCCAAATGTCCACTTCCAGATACTACAAAAAGAGTGTTTCAAATCTGCTCTATGAATGGGAATGTTCTACTCTGTGACTTGAATGCAACATCCCAAAGAAGTTTCTGAGAATGCTTCTGTCTAGAGTTTATCTGAAGACATACCCGTTTCCAACGAAATCCTCAAAGCTATCCAAATATCCTCTTGCAGATTCTACAAAAAGTGTGTTTCAAAGCTGCTCTTTGCAAAGAAAGGTTCAACTCTGTCAGTAGAGGGCACACATCACGAACAAGTTTCTGAGAATGCTTCTGTCTAGTTTTTATGGGAAGATATTTCCTTTTTCACGTTAGGCCTGAAAGCACGCCAAATGTTCACTTATAGACACTACAAAAAGAGTGTTTCAAACCTGCTCTGTGAAAGGGAATGTTCAACACTGTGACTTCAATTGAAACATCCCAAAGAAGTTTCTGAGAATGCTTCTGTCTAGAGTTTATCTGAAGACATTCCCGTTTCCCAAGAAATCCTCAAAGCTATCCAAATATCCTCTTGCAGATTCTACAAAAAGAGTGTTTCAAAACTGCTCTTTGCAAAGAAAGGTTCAACTCTGTCAGTAGAGGGCACACATCACAAACAAGTTTCTGAGAATGCTTCTGTCTAGTTTTTATGGGAAGATATTTCCTTTTTCACCTTAGGCCTGAAAGCAATCCAAATGTTCACTTACAGACACTACAAAAAGAGTGTTTCAAACCTGCTCTGTGAAAGGGAGTGTTCAATTCTGTGACTTGAATGCAAACATCACAAAGTAGTTTCTGACAATGCTGCTGTCTGCTTTTTATACGTATTCCCGTTTCCAACGAAATCCTCCAAGCTGGCCTAATACCCACTTGCATATTCCACAAAAAGAGTGTTTCAAAACTGCTCTCCCAAAAGAAAGGTTCAACTCTGTTTGCTGAGTAGATACATCATGAAAAAAGTTCTGACATTGCTTCTATCTAGTTTTTATTGGAAGATATCTCCTTTTTCACCGTAGACCTGAAAGCGCTCCAAATGTCCACTTCCAGATAGTACAAAAAGAGTGTTTCAAACCTGCTCTATGAAAGGGAATGTTCAACACTGGGACTTCAATTGAAATATCCCAAAGCAGTTTCTGAGAATGCTTCTGTCTAGAGTTTACATGAAGACATTCCCGTTTCCAACGAAATCCTCAAAGCTATCCAAATATCCTCTTGCAGATTTTACAAAAAGTGTGTTTCAGAACTGCTCTATCAAAACAAAGGTTCAACACTGTCAGTTGAGGGCACACATCACAAATAAGTTTCTGAGAATGCTTCTGTCTAGTTTTCATGGGAAGATATTTCCTTTTTCACCATAGGCCTGAAAGCGATCCAAATGTCCACATCCAGATACTACAAAAAGAGTGTTTCAAACCTGCTCTATGAAAGGGAATGTTCAACTCTGTGACTTGAATGCAAACATCACAAAGAAGTTTCTGAGAATGCTGCTGTCTCCTTTTTATATGTAATCCCGTTTCCAACGAAATCCTCAAAGCTAGCCAAATATCCACTTGCAGATTCCACGAAAACAGTGTTTCAAAACTGCTCCTTCCAAACGATGGTTCAATTCTGTTAGTTGAGCAAACACATCACAAGTAAGTTTCTGAGAATGCTTCCGTCTAGTTTTTATGGGAAGATATTTCCTTTTTCAACATAGGCCTGAAAGCGCTCCAAATGTCCACTTCCAGATACTACAAAAAGAGTGTTTCAAATCTGCTCTATGAATGGGAATGTTCTACTCTGTGACTTGAATGCAACATCCCAAAGAAGTTTCTGAGAATGCTTCTGTCTAGAGTTTATCTGAAGACATACCCGTTTCCAACGAAATCCTCCAAGCTATCCAAATATCCTCTTGCAGATTCTACAAAAAGAGTGTTTCAAAGCTGCTCTTTGCAAAGAAAGGTTCAACTCTGTCAGTAGAGGGCACACATCACGAACAAGTTTCTGAGAATGCTTCTGTCTAGTTTTTATGGGAAGATATTTCCTTTTTCACGTTAGGCCTGAAAGCACGCCAAATGTTCACTTATAGACACTACAAAAAGAGTGTTTCAAACCTGCTCTGTGAAAGGGAATGTTCAACACTGTGACTTCAATTGAAATATCCCAAAGAAGTTTCTGAGAATGCTTCTGTCTAGAGTTTATCTGAAGACATTCCCGTTTCCCAAGAAATCCTCAAAGCTATCCAAATATCCTCTTGCAGATTCTACAAAAAGAGTGTTTCAAAACTGGTCTTTGCAAAGAAAGGTTCAACTCTGTCAGTAGAGGGCACACATCACAAACAAGTTTCTGAGAATGCTTCTGTCTAGTTTTTATGGGAAGATATTTCCTTTTTCACCTTAGGCCTGAAAGCAATCCATATGTTCACTTACAGACACTACAAAAAGAGTGTTTCAAACCTGCTCTGTGAAAGGGAGTGTTCAATTCTGTGACTTGAATGCAAACATCACAAAGTAGTTTCTGTCAATGCTGCTGTCTGCTTTTTATACGTATTCCCGTTTCCAACGAAATCCTCCAAGCTGGCCTAATACCCACTTGCATATTCCACAAAAAGTGTGTTTCAAAACTGCTCTCTCAAAAGAAAGGTTCAACTCTGTTTGCTGAGTAGATACATCATGAAAAAAGTTCTGACATTGCTTCTATCTAGTTTTTATTGGAAGATATCTCCTTTTTCACCGTAGACCTGAAAGCGCTCCAAATGTCCACTTCCAGATAGTACAAAAAGAGTGTTTCAAACCTGCTCTATGAATGGGAATGTTCAACACTGGGACTTCAATTGAAACATCCCAAAGCAGTTTCTGAGAATGCTTCTGTGTAGAGTTTACATGAAGACATTCCCGTTTCCAACGAAATCCTCAAAGCTATCCAAATATCCTCTTGCAGATTTTACAAAAAGTGTGTTTCAGAACTGCTCTATCAAAACAAAGGTTCAACACTGTCAGTTGAGGGCACACATCACAAATAAGTTTCTGAGAATGCTTGCTGTCTGCTTTTTGTATGTAATCCCGTTTCCAACGAAATCCTCCAAGCTAGCCAAATATCCAGTTGCAGATTCCGCAAAAAGGGTGTTTCAAAACTGCTCCTTCAAAACGATGGTTTAGTTCTGTTAGTTGAGTACATACATCACAAATGAGTTTCTGAGAATGCTTCTGTCTAGTTTTTATGGGAGGATATTTCCTTCTTCAACACAAGCCTGAATGCGCTCCGAATGGACACTTCCAGATATGACAAAAGGCGTGTTTCAAACCTGCTCTCTCAAAGGGAATGTTCAACTCTGTGACTTCAATGAAAAGATCACAAAGAAGTTTCTGAGAATGCTGCTGTCTGCTTTTTACATGTATTCCCGTTTCCAACGAAATCCTCAAAGCTGCCCTAATATCCACTTGCATATTCCACAAAAAGAGTGTTGCAAAACTGCTCTCTCAAAAGAAAGGTTCAACTCTGTTAGCTGAGTAGATCCATCACATAAAAGTTTCTGACATTGCTTCTATCTAGATTTTCTTGGAAGATATTTCCATTTTCATCGTCGTCCTGAAAGCGCTCCAAATGTCCACTTCCAGGGAATGCAGAAAGAGTGTTTCCAACCTGCTCTATAAAAGGGAATGTTCAACACTGGGACTTCAATCGAAACATCCCAACGAAGTTTCTGAGAATGCTTCTGTCTAGTTTATATGAAGCCATTCCCGTTTGCAACGAAATCCTCAAAGCTATCCAAATATCCTCTTGCAGATTTTACAAAAAGAGTGTTTCAAAACTGCTCTATCAAAAGAAAGGTTCAACTCTGTTAGTTGAGGGCACACATCACAAATAAACTTCTGAGAATGCTTCTGTCTAGTTTTCATGGGAAGATATTTCCTTTTTCACCATAGGCCTGAAAGCGATCCAAATGTCCACATCCAGATACTACAAAAAGAGTGTTTCAAACCTGCTCTATGAAAGGGAATGTTCAACTCTGTGACTTGAATGCAAACATCACAAAGAAGTTTCTGAGAATGCTGCTGTCTCCTTTTTATATGTAATCCCGTTTCCAACGAAATCCTCAAAGCTAGCCAAATATCCACTTGCAGATTCCACGAAAACAGTGTTTCAAAACTGCTCCTTCAAAACGATGGTTCAATTCTGTTAGTTGAGCAAACACATCACAAGTAAGTTTGCTGAGAATGCTTCCGTCTAGTTTTTATGGGAAGATATTTCCTTTTTCAACATAGGCCTGAAAGCGCTCCAAATGTCCACTTCCAGATACTACAAAAAGAGTGTTTCAAATCTGCTCTATGAATGGGAATGTTCTACACTGTGACTTGAATGCAACATCCCAAAGAAGTTTCTGAGAATGCTTCTGTCTAGAGTTTATCTGAAGACATACCCGTTTCCAACGAAATCCTCCAAGCTATCCAAATATCCTCTTGCAGATTCTACAAAAAGTGTGTTTCAAAGCTGCTCTTTGCAAAGAAAGGTTCAACTCTGTCAGTAGAGGGCACACATCACGAACAAGTTTCTGAGAATGCTTCTGTCTAGTTTTTATGGGAAGATATTTCCTTTTTCACGTTAGGCCTGAAAGCACGCCAAATGTTCACTTATAGACACTACAAAAAGAGTGTTTCAAACCTGCTCTGTGAAAGGGAATGTTCAACACTGTGACTTCAATTGAAACATCCCAAAGAAGTTTCTGAGAATGCTTCTGTCTAGAGTTTATCTGAAGACATTCCCGTTTCCCAAGAAATCCTCAAAGCTATCCAAATATCCTCTTGCAGATTCTACAAAAAGAGTGTTTCAAAACTGCTCTTTGCAAAGAAAGGTTCAACTCTGTCAGTAGAGGGCACACATCACAAACAAGTTTCTGAGAATGCTTCTGTCTAGTTTTTATGGGAAGATATTTCCTTTTTCACCTTAGGCCTGAAATCAATCCAAATGTTCACTTACAGACACTACAAAAAGAGTGTTTCAAACCTGCTCTGTGAAAGGGAGTGTTCAATTCTGTGACTTGAATGCAAACATCACAAAGTAGTTTCTGACAATGCTGCTGTCTGCTTTTTATACGTATTCCCGTTTCCAACGAAATCCTCCAAGCTGGCCTAATACCCACTTGCATATTCCACAAAAAGAGTGTTTCAAAACTGCTCTCTCAAAAGAAAGGTTCAACTCTGTTAGCTGAGTAGATACATCATGAAAAAAGTTCTGACATTGCTTCTATCTAGTTTTTATTGGAAGATATCTCCTTTTTCACCGTAGACCTGAAAGCGCTCCAAATGTCCACTTCCAGATAGTACAAAAAGAGTGTTTCAAACCTGCTCTATGAATGGGAATGTTCAACACTGGGACTTCAATTGAAACATCCCAAAGCAGTTTCTGAGAATGCTTCTGTGTAGAGTTTACATGAAGACATTCCCGTTTCCAACGAAATCCTCAAAGCTATCCAAATATCCTCTTGCAGATTTTACAAAAAGTGTGTTTCAGAACTGCTCTATCAAAACAAAGGTTCAACACTGTCAGTTGAGGGCACACATCACAAATAAGTTTCTGAGAATGCTTCTGTCTAGTTTTCATGGGAAGATATTTCCTTTTTCACCATAGGCCTGAAAGCGATCCAAATGTCCACATCCAGATACTACAAAAAGAGTGTTTCAAACCTGCTCTATGAAAGGGAATGTTCAACTCTGTGACTTGAATGCAAACATCACAAAGAAGTTTCTGAGAATGCTGCTGTCTGCTTTTTGTATGTAATCCCGTTTCCAACGAAATCCTCCCAGCTAGCCAAATATCCACTTGCAGATTCCGCAAAAAGAGTGTTTCAAAACTGCTCCTTCAAAACGATGGTTTAGTTCTGTTAGTTGAGTACATACATCACAGATAAGTTTCTGAGAATGCTTCTGTCTAGTTTTTATGGGAGGATATTTCCTTTTTCAACACAAGCCTGAATGCGCTCCGAATGGACACTTCCAGATATGACAAAAGGCGTGTTTCAAACCTGCTCTCTCAAAGGGAATGTTCAACTCTGTGACTTCAATGCAAACATCACAAAGAAGTTTCTGAGAATGCTGCTGTCTGCTTTTTACATGTATTCCCGTTTCCAACGAAATCCTCAAAGCTGCCCTAATATCCACTTGCATATTCCACAAAAAGAGTGTTGCAAAACTGCTCTCTCAAAAGAAAGGTTCAACTCTGTTAGCTGAGTAGATCCATCACAGAAAAGTTTCTGACGTTGCTTCTATCCAGATTTTATTGGAAGATATTTCCATTTTCACCGTCGTCCTGAAAGCGCTCCAATTGTCCACTTCCAGGGAATGCAGAAAGAGTGTTTCCAACCTGCTCTATAAAAGGGAATGTTCAACACTGGGACTTCAATCGAAACATCCCAACGAAGTTTCTGAGAATGCTTCTGTCTAGAGTTTATATGAAGCCATTCCCGTTTGCAACGAAATCCTCAAAGCTATCCAAATATCCTCTTGCAGATTTTACAAAAAGAGTGTTTCAAAACTGCTCTATCAAAAGAAAGGTTCAACTCTGTTAGTTGAGGGCACACATCACAAATAAATTTCTGAGAATGCTTCTGTCTAGTTTTTACGGGAAGATATTTCCTTTTTCACCATACGCCTGAAAGCGCTCCAAATGTCCTCATCCAGATACTACAAAAAGAGTGTTTCCAACCTGCTCTATGAAAGGGAATGCTCAACTCTGTGAATTGAATGCAGACATCACAAAGAAGTTTCTGAGAATGCTGCTGTTTCCTTTTTATATGTAATCCCGTTTCCAACGAAATCCTCAAAGCTAGCCAAATATCCACTTGCAGATTCCACGAAAACAGTGTTTCAAAACTGCTCCTTCAAAACGATGGTTCAATCCTGTTAGTTGAGCAAACACATCACAAATAAGTTTCTGAGAATGCTTCCGTCTAGTTTTTATGGGAAGATATTTCCTTTTTCAACATAGGCCTGAAAGCACTCCAAATGTCCACTTCCAGATACTACAAAAAGAGTGTTTCAAATCTGCTCTATGAATGGGAATGTTCTACTCTGTGACTTGAATGCAACATCCCAAAGAAGTTTCTGAGAATGCTTCTGTCTAGAGTTTATCTGAAGACATACCCGTTTCCAACGAAATCCTCAAAGCTATCCAAATATCCTCTTGCAGATTCTACAAAAAGTGTGTTTCAAAGCTGCTCTTTGCAAAGAAAGGTTCAACTCTGTCAGTAGAGGGCACACATCACGAACAAGTTTCTGAGAATGCTTCTGTCTAGTTTTTATGGGAAGATATTTCCTTTTTCACGTTAGGCCTGAAAGCACGCCAAATGTTCACTTATAGACACTACAAAAAGAGTGTTTCAAACCTGCTCTGTGAAAGGGAATGTTCAACACTGTGACTTCAATTGAAACATCCCAAAGAAGTTTCTGAGAATGCTTCTGTCTAGAGTTTATCTGAAGACATTCCCGTTTCCCAAGAAATCCTCAAAGCTATCCAAATATCCTCTTGCAGATTCTACAAAAAGAGTGTTTCAAAACTGCTCTTTGCAAAGAAAGGTTCAACTCTGTCAGTAGAGGGCACACATCACAAACAAATTTCTGAGAATGCTTCTGTCTAGTTTTTATGGGAAGATATTTCCTTTTTCACCTTAGGCCTGAAAGCAATCCAAATGTTCACTTACAGACACTACAAAAAGAGTGTTTCAAACCTGCTCTGTGAAAGGGAGTGTTCAATTCTGTGACTTGAATGCAAACATCACAAAGTAGTTTCTGACAATGCTGCTGTCTGCTTTTTATACGTATTCCCGTTTCCAACGAAATCCTCCAAGCTGGCCTAATACCCACTTGCATATTCCACAAAAAGAGTGTTTCAAAACTGCTCTCTCAAAAGAAAGGTTCAACTCTGTTTGCTGAGTAGATACATCATGAAAAAAGTTCTGACATTGCTTCTATCTAGTTTTTATTGGAAGATATCTCCTTTTTCACCGTAGACCTGAAAGCGCTCCAAATGTCCACTTCCAGATAGTACAAAAAGAGTGTTTCAAACCTGCTCTATGAATGGGAATGTTCAACACTGGGACTTCAATTGAAACATCCCAAAGCAGTTTCTGAGAATGCTTCTGTCTAGAGTTTACATGAAGACATTCCCGTTTCCAACGAAATCCTCAAAGCTATCCAAATATCCTCTTGCAGATTTTACAAAAAGTGTGTTTCAGAACTGCTCTATCAAAACAAAGGTTCAACACTGTCAGTTGAGGGCACATATCACCAATAAGTTTCTGAGAATGCTTCTGTCTAGTTTTCATGGGAAGATATTTCCTTTTTCACCATAGGCCTGAAAGCGATCCAAATGTCCACATCCAGATACTACAAAAAGAGTGTTTCAAACCTGCTCTATGAAAGGGAATATTCAACTCTGTGACTTGAATGCAAACATCACAAAGAAGTTTCTGAGAATGCTGCTGTCTCCTTTTTATATGTAATCCCGTTTCCAACGAAATCCTCAAAGCTAGCCAAATATCCACTTGCAGATTCCACGAAAACAGTGTTTCAAAACTGCTCCTTCAAAACGATGGTTCAATCCTGTTAGTTGAGGAAACACATCACAAATAAGTTTCTGAGAATGCTTCCGTCTAGTTTTTATGGGAAGATATTTCCTTTTTCAACATAGGCCTGAAAGCGCTCCAAATGTCCACTTCCAGATACTACAAAAAGAGTGTTTCAAATCTGCTCTATGAATGGGAATGTTCTACTCTGTGACTTGAATGCAACATCCCAAAGAAGTTTCTGAGAATGCTTCTGTCTAGAGTTTATCTGAAGACATACCCGTTTCCAACGAAATCCTCAAAGCTATCCAAATATCCTCTTGCAGATTCTACAAAAAGAGTGTTTCAAAGCTGCTCTTTGCAAAGAAAGGTTCAACTCTGTCAGTAGAGGGCACACATCATGAACAAGTTTCTGAGAATGCTTCTGTCTAGTTTTTATGGGAAGATATTTCCTTTTTCACGTTAGGCCTGAAAGCACGCCAAATGTTCACTTATAGACACTACAAAAAGAGTGTTTCAAACCTGCTCTGTGAAAGGGAATGTTCAACACTGTGACTTCAATTGAAACATCCCAAAGAAGTTTCTGAGAATGCTTCTGTCTAGAGTTTATCTGAAGACATTCCCGTTTCCCAAGAAATCCTCAAAGCTATCCAAATATCCTCTTGCAGATTCTACAAAAAGAGTGTTTCAAAACTGCTCTTTGCAAAGAAAGGTTCAACTCTGTCAGTAGAGGGCACACATCACAAACAAGTTTCTGAGAATGCTTCTGTCTAGTTTTTATGGGAAGATATTTCCTTTTTCACCTTAGGCCTGAAAGCAATCCAAATGTTCACTTACAGACACTACAAAAAGAGTGTTTCAAACCTGCTCTGTGAAAGGGAGTGTTCAATTCTGTGACTTGAATGCAAACATCACAAAGTAGTTTCTGACAATGCTGCTGTCTGCTTTTTATACGTAATCCCGTTTCCAACGAAATCCTTCAAGCTGGCCTAATACCCACTTGCATATTCCACAAAAAGAGTGTTTCAAAACTGCTCTCTCAAAAGAAAGGTTCAACTCTGTTTGCTGAGTAGATACATCATGAAAAAAGTTCTGACATTGCTTCTATCTAGTTTTTATTGGAAGATATCTCCTTTTTCACCGTAGACCTGAAAGCGCTCCAAATGTCCACTTCCAGATAGTACAAAAAGAGTGTTTCAAACCTGCTCTATGAATGGGAATGTTCAACACTGGGACTTCAATTGAAACATCCCAAAGCAGTTTCTGAGAATGCTTCTGTCCAGAGTTTACATGAAGACATTCCCGTTTCCAACGAAATCCTCAAAGCTATCCAAATATCCTCTTGCAGATTTTACAAAAAGTGTGTTTCAGAACTGCTCTATCAAAACAAAGGTTCAACACTGTCAGTTGAGGGCACACATCACAAATAAGTTTCTGAGAATGCTTCTGTCTAGTTTTCATGGGAAGATATTTCCTTTTTCACCATAGGCCTGAAAGCGATCCAAATGTCCACATCCAGATACTACAAAAAGAGTGTTTCCAACCTGCTCTATGAAAGGGAATGTTCAACTCTGTGACTTGAATGCAAACATCACAAAGAAGTTTCTGAGAATGCTGCTCTCTGCTTTTTGTATGTAATCCCGTTTCCAACGAAATCCTCCCAGCTAGCCAAATATCCACTTGCAGATTCCGCAAAAAGAGTGTTTCAAAACTGCTCCTTCAAAACGATGGTTTAGTTCTGTTAGTTGAGTACATACATCACAAATAAGTTTCTGAGAATGCTTCTGTCTAGTTTTTATGGGAGGATATTTCCTTTTTCAACACAAGCCTGAATGCGCTCCGAATGGACACTTCCAGATATGACAAAAGGCGTGTTTCAAACCTGCTCTCTCAAAGGGAATGTTCAACTCTGTGACTTCAATGCAAACATCACAAAGAAGTTTCTGAGAATGCTGCTGTCTGCTTTTTACATGTATTCCCGTTTCCAACGAAATCCTCAAAGCTGCCCTAATATCCACTTGCATATTCCACAAAAAGAGTGTTGCAAAACTGCTCTCTCAAAAGAAAGCTTCAACTCTGTTAGCTGAGTAGATCCATCACATAAAAGTTTCTGACGTTGCTTCTATCTAGATTTTCTTGGAAGATATTTCCATTTTCACCGTCGTCCTGAAAGCGCTCCAAATGTCCACTTCCAGGGAATGCAGAAAGAGTGTTTCCAACCTGCTCTATAAAAGGGAATGTTCAACACTGGGACTTCAATCGAAACATCCCAACGAAGTTTCTGAGAATGCTTCTGTCTAGAGTTTATATGAAGCCATTCCCGTTTGCAACGAAATCCTCAAAGCTATCCAAATATCCTCTTGCAGATTTTACAAAAAGAGTGTTTCAAAACTGCTCTATCAAAAGAAAGGTTCAACTCTGTTAGTTGAGGGCACACATCACAAATAAACTTCTGAGAATGCTTCTGTCTAGTTTTTACAGGAAGATATTTCCTTTTTCACCATAGGCCAGAAAGCGCTCCAAATGTCCTCATCCAGATACTACAAAAAGAGTGTTTCCAACCTGCTCTATGAAAGGGAATGCTCAACTCTGTGAATTGAATGCAGACATCACAAAGAAGTTTCTGAGAATGCTGCTGTCTCCTTTGTATATGTAATCCCATTTCCAACGAAATCCTCAAAGCTAGCCAAATATCCACTTGCAGATTCCACGAAAACAGTGTTTCAAAACTGCTCCTTCAAAACGATGGTTCAATCCTGTTAGTTGAGCAAACACATCACAAATAAGTTTCTGAGAATGCTTCCGTCTAGTTTTTATGGGAAGATATTTCCTTTTTCAACATAGGCCTGAAAGCGCTCCAAATGTCCACTTCCAGATACTACAAAAAGAGTGTTTCAAATCTGCTCTATGAATGGGAATGTTCTACTCTGTGACTTGAATGCAACATCCCAAAGAAGTTTCTGAGAATGCTTCTGTCTAGAGTTTATCTGAAGACATACCCGTTTCCAACGAAATCCTCCAAGCTATCCAAATATCCTCTTGCAGATTCTACAAAAAGAGTGTTTCAAAGCTGCTCTTTGCAAAGAAAGGTTCAACTCTGTCAGTAGAGGGGACACATCAAGAACAAGTTTCTGAGAATGCTTCTGTCTAGTTTTTATGGGAAGATATTTCCTTTTTCACGTTAGGCCTGAAAGCACGCCAAATGTTCACTTATAGACACTACAAAAAGAGTGTTTCAAACCTGCTCTGTGAAAGGGAATGTTCAACACTGTGACTTCAATTGAAACATCCCAAAGAAGTTTCTGAGAATGCTTCTGTCTAGAGTTTATCTGAAGACATTCCCGTTTCCCAAGAAATCCTCAAAGCTATCCAAATATCCTCTTGCAGATTCTACAAAAAGAGTGTTTCAAAACTGCTCTTTGCAAAGAAAGGTTCAACTCTGTCAGTAGAGGGCACACATCACAAACAAGTTTCTGAGAATGCTTCTGTCTAGTTTTTATGGGAAGATATTTCCTTTTTCACCTTAGGCCTGAAAGCAATCCAAATGTTCACTTACAGACACTACAAAAAGAGTGTTTCAAACCTGCTCTGTGAAAGGGAGTGTTCAATTCTGTGACTTGAATGCAAACATCACAAAGTAGTTTCTGACAATGCTGCTGTCTGCTTTTTATACGTATTCCCGTTTCCAACGAAATCCTCCAAGCTGGCCTAATACCCACTTGCATATTCCACAAAAAGAGTGTTTCAAAACTGCTCTCTCAAAAGAAAGGTTCAACTCTGTTTGCTGAGTAGATACATCATGAAAAAAGTTCTGACATTGCTTCTATCTAGTTTTTATTGGAAGATATCTCCTTTTTCACCGTAGACCTGAAAGCGCTCCAAATGTCCACTTCCAGATAGTACAAAAAGAGTGTTTCAAACCTGCTCTATGAAAGGGAATATTCAACACTGGGACTTCAATTGAAACATCCCAAAGCAGTTTCTGAGAATGCTTCTGTCTAGAGTTTACATGAAGACATTCCCGTTTCCAACGAAATCCTCAAAGCTATCCAAATATCCTCTTGCAGATTTTACAAAAAGTGTGTTTCAGAACTGCTCTATCAAAACAAAGGTTCAACACTGTCAGTTGAGGGCACACATCACAAATAAGTTTCTGAGAATGCTTCTGTCTAGTTTTCATGGGAAGATATATTTCCTTTTTCACCATAGGCCTGAAAGCGATCCAAATGTCCACATCCAGATACTACAAAAAGAGTATTTCAAACCTGCTCTATGAAAGGGAATGTTCAACTCTGTGACTTGAATGCAAACATCACAAAGAAGTTTCTGAGAATGCTGCTGTCTGCTTTTTGTATGTAATCCCGTTTCCAACGAAATCCTCCCAGCTAGCCAAATATCCACTTGCAGATTCCGCAAAAAGAGTGTTTCAAAACTGCTCCTTCAAAACGATGGTTTAGTTCTGTTAGTTGAGTACATACATCACAAATAAGTTTCTGAGAATGCTTCTGTCTAGTTTTTCTGGGAGGATATTTCCTTTTTCAACACAAGCCTGAATGCGCTCCGAATGGACACTTCCAGATATGACAAAAGGCGTGTTTCAAACCTGCTCTCTCAAAGGGAATGTTCAACTGCTGTGACTTCAATGCAAACATCACAAAGAAGTTTCTGAGAATGCTGCTGTCTGCTTTTTACATATATTCCCGTTTCCAACGAAATCCTCAAAGCTGCCCTAATATCCACTTGCATATTCCACAAAAAGAGTGTTGCAAAACTGCTCTCTCAAAAGAAAGGTTCAACTCTGTTAGCTGAGTAGATCCATCACATAAAAGTTTCTGACATTGCTTCTATCTAGATTTTCTTGGAAGATATTTCCATTTTCACCGTCGTCCTGAAAGCGCTCCAAATGTCCACTTCCAGGGAATGCAGAAAGAGTGTTTCCAACCTGCTCTATAAAAGGGAATGTTCAACACTGGGACTTCAATCGAAACATCCCAACGAAGTTTCTGAGAATGCTTCTGTCTAGAGTTTATATGAAGCCATTCCCGTTTGCAATGAAATCCTCAAAGCTATCCAAATATCCTCTTGCAGATTTTACAAAAAGAGTGTTTCAAAACTGCTCTATCAAAAGAAAGGTTCAACTCTGTTAGTTGAGGGCACACATCACAAATAAATTTCTGAGAATGCTTCTGTCTAGTTTTTACGGGAATATATTTCCTTTTTCACCATACGCCTGAAAGCGCTCCAAATGTCCTCATCCAGATACTACACAAAGAGTGTTTCCAACCTGCTCTATGAAAGGGAATGCTCAACTCTGTGACTTGAATGCAGACATCACAAAGAAGTTTCTGAGAATGCTGCTGTCTCCTTTTTATATGTAATCCCGTTTCCAACGAAATCCTCAAAGCTAGCCAAATATCCACTTGCAGATTCCACGAAAACAGTGTTTCAAAACTGCTCCTTCAAAACGATGGTTCAATTCTGTTAGTTGAGCAAACACATCACAAGTAAGTTTCTGAGAATGCTTCCGTCTAGTTTTTATGGGAAGATATTTCCTTTTTCAACATAGGCCTGAAAGCGCTCCAAATGTCCACTTCCAGATACTACAAAAAGAGTGTTTCAAATCTGCTCTATGAATGGGAATGTTCTACTCTGTGACTTGAATGCAACATCCCAAAGAAGTTTCTGAGAATGCTTCTGTCTAGAGTTTATCTGAAGACATACCCGTTTCCAACGAAATCCTCAAAGCTATCCAAATATCCTCTGGCAGATTCTACAAAAAGAGTGTTTCAAAGCTGCTCTTTGCAAAGAAAGGTTCAACTCTGTCAGTAGAGGGCACACATCACGAACAAGTTTCTGAGAATGCTTCTGTCTGGTTTTTATGGGAAGATATTTCCTTTTTCACGTTACGCCTGAAAGCACGCCAAATGTTCACTTATAGACACTACAAAAAGAGTGTTTCAAACCTGCTCTGTGAAAGGGAATGTTCAACACTGTGACTTCAATTGAAACATCCCAAAGAAGTTTCTGAGAATGCTTCTGTCTAGAGTTTATCTGAAGACATTCCCGTTTCCCAAGAAATCCTCAAAGCTATCCAAATATCCTCTTGCAGATTCTACAAAAAGAGTGTTTCAAAACTGCTCTTTGCAAAGAAAGGTTCAACTCTGTCAGTAGAGGGCACACATCACAAACAAATTTCTGAGAATGCTTCTGTCTAGTTTTTATGGGAAGATATTTCCTTTTTCACCTTAGGCCTGAAAGCAATCCAAATGTTCACTTACAGACACTACAAAAAGAGTGTTTCAAACCTGCTCTGTGAAAGGGAGTGTTCAATTCTGTGACTTGAATGCAAACATCACAAAGTAGTTTCTGACAATGCTGCTGTCTGCTTTTTATACGTATTCCCGTTTCCAACGAAATCCTCCAAGCTGGCCTAATACCCACTTGCATATTCCACAAAAAGAGTGTTTCAAAACTGCTCTCTCAAAAGAAAGGTTCAACTCTGTGTGCTGAGTAGATACATCATGAAAAAAGTTCTGACATTGCTTCTATCTAGTTTTTATTGGAAGATATCTCCTTTTTCACCGTAGACCTGAAAGCGCTCCAAATGTCCACTTCCAGATAGTACAAAAAGAGTGTTTCAAACCTGCTCTATGAATGGGAATGTTCAACACTGGGACTTCAATTGAAACATCCCAAAGCAGTTTCTGAGAATGCTTCTGTGTAGAGTTTACATGAAGACATTCCCGTTTCCAACGAAATCCTCAAAGCTATCCAAATATCCTCTTGCAGATTTTACAAAAAGTGTGTTTCAGAACTGCTCTATCAAAACAAAGGTTCAACACTGTCAGTTGAGGGCACACATCACAAATAAGTTTCTGAGAATGCTTCTGTCTAGTTTTCATGGGAAGATATTTCCTTTTTCACCATAGGCCTGAAAGCGATCCAAATGTCCACATCCAGATACTACAAAAAGAGTGTTTCAAACCTGCTCTATGAAAGGGAATGTTCAACTCTGTGACTTGAATGCAAACATCACAAAGAAGTTTCTGAGAATGCTGCTGTCTGCTTTTTGTATGTAATCCCGTTTCCAACGAAATCCTCCCAGCTAGCCAAATATCCACTTGCAGATTCCGCAAAAAGAGTGTTTCAAACCTGCTCCTTCAAAACGATGGTTTAGTTCTGTTAGTTGAGTACATACATCACAGATAAGTTTCTGAGAATGCTTCTGTCTAGTTTTTATGGGAGGATATTTCCTTTTTCAACACAAGCCTGAATGCGCTCCGAATGGACACTTCCAGATATGACAAAAGGCGTGTTTCAAACCTGCTCTCTCAAAGGGAATGTTCAACTCTGTGACTTCAATGCAAACATCACAAAGAAGTTTCTGAGAATGCTGCTGTCTGCTTTTTACATGTATTCCCGTTTCCAACGAAATCCTCAAAGCTGCCCTAATATCCACTTGCATATTCCACAAAAAGAGTGTTGCAAAACTGCTCTCTCAAAAGAAAGGTTCAACTCTGTTAGCTGAGTAGATCCATCACAGAAAAGTTTCTGACATTGCTTCTATCTAGATTTTATTGGAAGATATTTCCATTTTCACCGTCGTCCTGAAAGCGCTCCAAATGTCCACTTCCAGGGAATGCAGAAAGAGTGTTTCCAACCTGCTCTATAAAAGGGAATGTTCAACACTGGGACTTCAATCGAAACATCCCAACGAAGTTTCTGAGAATGCTTCTGTCTAGAGTTTATATGAAGCCATTCCCGTTTGCAACGAAATCCTCAAAGCTATCCAAATATCCTCTTGCAGATTTTACAAAAAGAGTGTTTCAAAACTGCTCTATCAAAAGAAAGGTTCAACTCTGTTAGTTGAGGGCACACATCACAAATAAACTTCTGAGAATGCTTCTGTCTAGTTTTTACGGGAAGATATTTCCTTTTTCACCATACGCCTGAAAGCGCTCCAAATGTCCTCATCCAGATACTACAAAAAGAGTGTTTCCAACCTTCTCTATGAAAGGGAATGCTCAACTCTGTGACTTGAATGCAGACATCACAAAGAAGTTTCTGAGAATGCTGCTGTCTCCTTTTTATATGTAATCCCGTTTCCAACGAAATCCTCAAAGCTAGCCAAATATCCACTTGCAGATTCCACGAAAACAGTGTTTCAAAACTGCTCCTTCCAAACGATGGTTCAATTCTGTTAGTTGAGCAAACACATCACAAGTAAGTTTCTGAGAATGCTTCCGTCTAGTTTTTATGGGAACATATTTCCTTTTTCAACATAGGCCTGAAAGCGCTCCAAATGTCCACTTCCAGATACTACAAAAAGAGTGTTTCAAATCTGCTCTATGAATGGGAATGTTCTACTCTGTGACTTGAATGCAACATCCCAAAGAAGTTTCTGAGAATGCTTCTGTCTAGAGTTTATCTGAAGACATACCCGTTTCCAACGAAATCCTCCAAGCTATCCAAATATCCTCTTGCAGATTCTACAAAAAGTGTGTTTCAAAGCTGCTCTTTGCAAAGAAAGGTTCAACTCTGTCAGTAGAGGGCACACATCACGAACAAGTTTCCTGAGAATGCTTCTGTCTAGTTTTTATGGGAAGATATTTCCTTTTTCACGTTACGCCTGAAAGCACGCCAAATGTTCACTTATAGACACTACAAAAAGAGTGTTTCAAACCTGCTCTGTGAAAGGGAATGTTCAACACTGTGACTTCAATTGAAATATCCCAAAGAAGTTTCTGAGAATGCTTCTGTCTAGAGTTTATCTGAAGACATTCCCGTTTCCCAAGAAATCCTCAAAGCTATCCAAATATCCTCTTGCAGATTCTACAAAAAGAGTGTTTCAAAACTGGTCTTTGCAAAGAAAGGTTCAACTCTGTCAGTAGAGGGCACACATCACAAACAAGTTTCTGAGAATGCTTCTGTCTAGTTTTTATGGGAAGATATTTCCTTTTTCACCTTAGGCCTGAAAGCAATCCATATGTTCACTTACAGACACTACAAAAACAGTGTTTGAAACCTGCTCTGTGAAAGGGAGTGTTCAATTCTGTGACTTGAATGCAAACATCACAAAGTAGTTTCTGACAATGCTGCTGTCTGCTTTTTATACGTATTCCCGTTTCCAACGAAATCCTCCAAGCTGGCCTAATACCCACTTGCATATTCCACAAAAAGAGTGTTTCAAAACTGCTCTCTCAAAAGAAAGGTTCAACTCTGTTTGCTGAGTAGATACATCATGAAAAAAGTTCTGACATTGCTTCTATCTAGTTTTTATTGGAAGATATCTCCTTTTTCACCGTAGACCTGAAAGCGCTCCAAATGTCCACTTCCAGATAGTACAAAAAGAGTGTTTCAAACCTGCTCTATGAATGGGAATGTTCAACACTGGGACTTCAATTGAAACATCCCAAAGCAGTTTCTGAGAATGCTTCTGTCCAGAGTTTACATGAAGACATTCCCGTTTCCAACGAAATCCTCAAAGCTATCCAAATATCCTCTTGCAGATTTTACAAAAAGTGTGTTTCAGAACTGCTCTATCAAAACAAAGGTTCAACACTGTCAGTTGAGGGCACACATCACAAATAAGTTTCTGAGAATGCTTCTGTCTAGTTTTCATGGGAAGATATTTCCTTTTTCACCATAGGCCTGAAAGCGATCCAAATGTCCACATCCAGATACTACAAAAAGAGTGTTTCCAACCTGCTCTATGAAAGGGAATGCTCAACTCTGTGAATTGAATGCAGACATCACAAAGAAGTTTCTGAGAATGCTGCTGTCTCCTTTGTATATGTAATCCCGTTTCCAACGAAATCCTCAAAGCTAGCCAAATATCCACTTGCAGATTCCACGAAAACAGTGTTTCAAAACTGCTCCTTCAAAACGATGGTTCAATTCTGTTAGTTGAGCAAACACATCACAAGTAAGTTTCTGAGAATGCTTCTGTCTAGTTTTCATGGGAAGATATTTCCTTTTTCAACATAGGCCTGAAAGCGCTCCAAATGTCCACTTCCAGATACTACAAAAAGAGTGTTTCAAATCTGCTCTATGAATGGGAATGTTCTACTCTGTGACTTGAATGCAACATCCCAAAGAAGTTTCTGAGAATGCTTCTGTCTAGAGTTTATCTGAAGACATACCCGTTTCCAACGAAATCCTCCAAGCTATCCAAATATCCTCTTGCAGATTCTACAAAAAGAGTGTTTCAAAGCTGCTCTTTGCAAAGAAAGGTTCAACTCTGTCAGTAGAGGGGACACATCAAGAACAAGTTTCTGAGAATGCTTCTGTCTAGTTTTTATGGGAAGATATTTCCTTTTTCACGTTAGGCCTGAAAGCACGCCAAATGTTCACTTATAGACACTACAAAAAGAGTGTTTCAAACCTGCTCTGTGAAAGGGAATGTTCAACACTGTGACTTCAATTGAAACATCCCAAAGAAGTTTCTGAGAATGCTTCTGTCTAGAGTTTATCTGAAGACATTCCCGTTTCCCAAGAAATCCTCAAAGCTATCCAAATATCCTCTTGCAGATTCTACAAAAAGAGTGTTTCAAACCTGCTCTTTGCAAAGAAAGGTTCAACTCTGTCAGTAGAGGGCACACATCACAAACAAGTTTCTGAGAATGCTTCTGTCTAGTTTTTATGGGAAGATATTTCCTTTTTCACCTTAGGCCTGAAAGCAATCCAAATGTTCACTTACAGACACTACAAAAAGAGTGTTTCAAACCTGCTCTGTGAAAGGGAGTGTTCAATTCTGTGACTTGAATGCAAACATCACAAAGTAGTTTCTGACAATGCTGCTGTCTGCTTTTTATACGTATTCCCGTTTCCAACGAAATCCTCCAAGCTGGCCTAATACCCACTTGCATATTCCACAAAAAGAGTGTTTCAAAACTGCTCTCTCAAAAGAAAGGTTCAACTCTGTGTGCTGAGTAGATACATCATGAAAAAAGTTCTGACATTGCTTCTATCTAGTTTTTATTGGAAGATATCTCCTTTTTCACCGTAGACCTGAAAGCGCTCCAAATGTCCACTTCCAGATAGTACAAAAAGAGTGTTTCAAACCTGCTCTATGAATGGGAATGTTCAACACTGGGACTTCAATTGAAACATCCCAAAGCAGTTTCTGAGAATGCTTCTGTGTAGAGTTTACATGAAGACATTCCCGTTTCCAACGAAATCCTCAAAGCTATCCAAATATCCTCTTGCAGATTTTACAAAAAGTGTGTTTCAGAACTGCTCTATCAAAACAAAGGTTCAACACTGTCAGTTGAGGGCACACATCACAAATAAGTTTCTGAGAATGCTTCTGTCTAGTTTTCATGGGAAGATATTTCCTTTTTCACCATAGGCCTGAAAGCGATCCAAATGTCCACATCCAGATACTACAAAAAGAGTGTTTCAAACCTGCTCTATGAAAGGGAATGTTCAACTCTGTGACTTGAATGCAAACATCACAAAGAAGTTTCTGAGAATGCTGCTGTCTGCTTTTTGTATGTAATCCCGTTTCCAACGAAATCCTCCCAGCTAGCCAAATATCCACTTGCAGATTCCGCAAAAAGAGTGTTTCAAAACTGCTCCTTCAAAACGATGGTTTAGTTCTGTTAGTTGAGTACATACATCACAGATAAGTTTCTGAGAATGCTTCTGTCTAGTTTTTATGGGAGGATATTTCCTTTTTCAACACAAGCCTGAATGCGCTCCGAATGGACACTTCCAGATATGACAAAAGGCGTGTTTCAAACCTGCTCTCTCAAAGGGAATGTTCAACTCTGTGACTTGAATGCAAACATCACAAAGAAGTTTCTGAGAATGCTGCTGTCTGCTTTTTACATGTATTCCCGTTTCCAACGAAATCCTCAAAGCTGCCCTAATATCCACTTGCATATTCCACAAAAAGAGTGTTGCAAAACTGCTCTCTCAAAAGAAAGGTTCAACTCTGTTAGCTGAGTAGATCCATCACATAAAAGTTTCTGACATTGCTTCTATCTAGATTTTCTTGGAAGATATTTCCATTTTCACCGTCGTCCTGAAAGCGCTCCAAATGTCCACTTCCAGGGAATGCAAAAAGAGTGTTTCCAATCTGCTCTATAAAAGGGAATGTTCAACACTGGGACTTCAATCGAAACATCCCAACGAAGTTTCTGAGAATGCTTCTGTCTAGAGTTTATATGAAGCCATTCCCGTTTGCAACGAAATCCTCAAAGCTATCCAAATATCCTCTTGCAGATTTTACAAAAAGAGTGTTTCAAAACTGCTCTATCAAAAGAAAGGTTCAACTCTGTTAGTTGAGGGCACACATCACAAATAAATTTCTGAGAATGCTTCTGTCTAGTTTTTACGGGAAGATATTTCCTTTTTCACCATAGGCCTGAAAGCGCTCCAAATGTCCTCATCCAGATACTACAAAAAGAGTGTTTCCAACCTGCTCTATGAAAGGGAATGCTCAACTCTGTGACTTGAATGCAGACATCACAAAGAAGTTTCTGAGAATGCTGCTGTCTCCTTTTTATATGTAATCCCGTTTCCAACGAAATCCTCAAAGCTAGCCAAATATCCACTTGCAGATTCCACGAAAACAGTGTTTCAAAACTGCTCCTTTAAAACGATGGTTCAATTCTGTTAGTTGAGCAAACACATCACAAGTAAGTTTCTGAGAATGCTTCCGTCTTGTTTTTATGGGAAGATATTTCCTTTTTCAACATAGGCCTGAAAGCGCTCCAAATGTCCACTTCCAGATACTACAAAAAGAGTGTTTCAAATCTGCTCTATGAATGGGAATGTTCTACTCTGTGACTTGAATGCAACATCCCAAAGAAGTTTCTGAGAATGCTTCTGTCTAGAGTTTATCTGAAGACATACCCGTTTCCAACGAAATCCTCAAAGCTATCCAAATATCCTCTTGCAGATTCTACAAAAAGAGTGTTTCAAAGCTGCTCTTTGCAAAGAAAGGTTCAACTCTGTCAGTAGAGGGCACACATCACGAACAAGTTTCTGAGAATGCTTCTGTCTAGTTTTTATGGGAAGATATTTCCTTTTTCACGTTGGCCTGAAAGCACGCCAAATGTTCACTTATAGACACTACAAAAAGAGTGTTTCAAACCTGCTCTGTGAAAGGGAATGTTCAACACTGTGACTTCAATTGAAACATCCCAAAGAAGTTTCTGAGAATGCTTCTGTCTAGAGTTTATCTGAAGACATTCCCGTTTCCCAAGAAATCCTCAAAGCTATCCAAATATCCTCTTGCAGATTCTACAAAAAGAGTGTTTCAAAACTGCTCTTTGCAAAGAAAGGTTCAACTCTGTCAGTAGAGGGCACACATCACAAACAAGTTTCTGAGAATGCTTCTGTCTAGTTTTTATGGGAAGATATTTCCTTTTTCACCTTAGGCCTGAAAGGAATCCAAATGTTCACTTACAGACACTACAAAAAGAGTGTTTCTAACCTGCTCTGTGAAAGGGAGTGTTCAATTCTGTGACTTGAATGCAAACATCACAAAGTAGTTTCTGACAATGCTGCTGTCTGCTTTTTATACGTATTCCCGTTTCCAACGAAATCCTCCAAGCTGGCCTAATACCCACTTGCATATTCCACAAAAAGAGTGTTTCAAAACTGCTCTCTCAAAAGTAAGGTTCAACTCTGTTTGCTGAGTAGATACATCATGAAAAAAGTTCTGACATTGCTTCTATCTAGTTTTTATTGGAAGATATCTCCTTTTTCACCGTAGACCGTGAAAGCGCTCCAAATGTCCACTTCCAGATACTCCAAAAAGAGTGTTTCAAACCTGCTCTATGAAAGGGAATGTTCAACACTGGGACTTCAATTGAAACATCCCAAAGCAGTTTCTGAGAATGCTTCTGTGTAGAGTTTACATGAAGACATTCCCGTTTCCAACGAAATCCTCAAAGCTATCCAAATATCCTCTTGCAGATTTTACAAAAGGTGTGTTTCAGAACTGCTCTATCAAAACAAAGGTTCAACACTGTCAGTTGAGGGCACACATCACAAATAAGTTTCTGAGAATGCTTCTGTCTAGTTTTCATGGGAAGATATTTCCTTTTTCACCATAGGCCTGAAAGCGATCCAAATGTCCACATCCAGATACTACAAAAAGAGTGTTTCAAACCTGCTCTATGAAAGGGAATGTTCAACTCTGTGACTTGAATGCAAACATCACAAAGAAGTTTCTGAGAATGCTGCTGTCTGCTTTTTGTATGTAATCCCGTTTCCAACGAAATCCTCCCAGCTAGCCAAATATCCACTTGCAGATTCCGCAAAAAGAGTGTTTCAAAACTGCTCCTTCAAAACGATGGTTTAGTTCTGTTAGTTGAGTACATACATCACAGATAAGTTTCTGAGAATGCTTCTGTCTAGTTTTTATGGGAGGATATTTCCTTTTTCAACACAAGCCTGAATGCGCTCCGAATGGACACTTCCAGATATGACAAAAGGCGTGTTTCAAACCTGCTCTCTCAAAGGGAATGTTCAACTCTGTGACTTCAATGCAAACATCACAAAGAAGTTTCTGAGAATGCTGCTGTCTGCTTTTTACATGTATTCCCGTTTCCAACGAAATCCTCAAAGCTGCCCTAATATCCACTTGCATATTCCACAAAAAGAGTGTTGCAAAACTGCTCTCTCAAAAGAAAGGTTCAACTCTGTTAGCTGAGTAGATCCATCACATAAAAGTTTCTGACATTGCTTCTATCTAGATTTTCTTGGAAGATATTTCCATTTTCACCGTCGTCCTGAAAGCGCTCCAAATGTCCACTTCCAGGGAATGCAGAAAGAGTGTTTCCAACCTGCTCTATAAAAGGGAATGTTCAACACTGGGACTTCAATCGAAACATCCCAACGAAGTTTCTGAGAATGCTTCTGTCTAGAGTTTATATGAAGCCATTCCCGTTTGCAACGAAATCCTCAAAGCTATCCAAATATCCTCTTGCAGATTTTACAAAAAGAGTGTTTCAAAACTGCTCTATCAAAAGAAAGGTTCAACTCTGTTAGTTGAGGGCACACATCACAAATAAACTTCTGAGAATGCTTCTGTCTAGTTTTTACGGGAAGATATTTCCTTTTTCACCATAGGCCTGAAAGCGCTCCAAATGTCCTCATCCAGATACTACAAAAAGAGTGTTTCCAACCTGCTCTATGAAAGGGAATGCTCAACTCTGTGAATTGAATGCAGACATCACAAAGAAGTTTCTGAGAATGCTGCTGTCTCCTTTTTATATGTAATCCCGTTTCCAACGAAATCCTCAAAGCTAGCCAAATATCCTCTTGCAGATTTTACAAAAAGTGTGTTTCAGAACTGCTCTATCAAAGCAAAGGTTCAACACTGTCAGTTGAGTGCACACATCACAAATAAGTTTCTGAGAATGCTTCCGTCTAGTTTTTATGGGAAGATATTTCCTTTTTCAACATAGGCCTGAAAGCGCTCCAAATGTCCACTTCCAGATACTACAAAAAGAGTGTTTCAAATCTGCTCTATGAATGGGAATGTTCTACTCTGTGACTTGAATGCAACATCCCAAAGAAGTTTCTGAGAATGCTTCTGTCTAGAGTTTATCTGAAGACATACCCGTTTCCAACGAAATCCTCCAAGCTATCCAAATATCCTCTTGCAGATTCTACAAAAAGTGTGTTTCAAAGCTGCTCTTTGCAAAGAAAGGTTCAACTCTGTCAGTAGAGGGCACACATCACGAACAAGTTTCTGAGAATGCTTCTGTCTAGTTTTTATGGGAAGATATTTCCTTTTTCACGTTACGCCTGAAAGCACGCCAAATGTTCACTTATAGACACTACAAAAAGAGTGTTTCAAACCTGCTCTGTGAAAGGGAATGTTCAACACTGTGACTTCAATTGAAACATCCCAAAGAAGTTTCTGAGAATGCTTCTGTCTAGAGTTTATCTGAAGACATTCCCGTTTCCCAAGAAATCCTCAAAGCTATCCAAATATCCTCTTGCAGATTCTACAAAAAGAGTGTTTCAAAACTGCTCTTTGCAAAGAAAGGTTCAACTCTGTCAGTAGAGGGCACACATCACAAACAAGTTTCTGAGAATGCTTCTGTCTAGTTTTTATGGGAAGATATTTCCTTTTTCACCTTAGGCCTGAAAGCAATCCAAATGTTCACTTACAGACACTACAAAAAGAGTGTTTCAAACCTGCTCTGTGAAAGGGAGTGTTCAATTCTGTGACTTGAATGCAAACATCACAAAGTAGTTTCTGACAATGCTGCTGTCTGCTTTTTATACGTATTCCCGTTTCCAACGAAATCCTCCAAGCTGACCTAATACCCAGTTGCATATTCCACAAAAAGAGTGTTTCAAAACTGCTCTCTCAAAAGAAAGGTTCAACTCTGTTTGCTGAGTAGATACATCATGGGAAAAGTTCTGACATTGCTTCTATCTAGTTTTTATTGGAAGATATCTCCTTTTTCACCGTAGACCTGAAAGCGCTCCAAATGTCCACTTCCAGATACTACAAAAAGAGTGTTTCAAACCTGCTGTATGAAAGGGAATGTTCAACACTGGGACTTCAATTGAAGCATCACAAAGCAGTTTCTGAGAATGCTTCTGTCTAGAGTTTACATGAAGACATTCCCGTTTCCAACGAAATCCTCCAAGCTATCCCAATATCCTCATGCAGATTTTACAAAAAGTGTGTTTCAGAACTGCTCTATCAAAACAAAGGTTCAACACTGTCAGTTGAGGGCACACATCACAAATAAGTTTCTGGGAATGCTGCTGTCTGCTTTTTATATGTAATCCCGTTTCCAACGAAATCCTCCAAGCTAGGCAAATATCCACTTGCAGATTCCGCAAAAAGAGTGTTTCAACACTGCTCCTTCAAAACGATGGTTTAGTTCTGTTAGTTGAGTACATACATCACACATAAGTTTCTGTGAATGCTTCTGTCTAGTTTTTATGGGAGGATATTTCCTTTTTCAACACAAGCCTGAATGCGCTCCGAATGGACACTTCCAGATATGACAAAAGGCGTGTTTCAAACCTGCTCTCTCAAAGGGAATGTTCAACTCTGTGACTTCAATGCAAACATCACAAAGAAGTTTCTGAGAATGCTGCTGTCTGCTTTTTACATGTATTCCCGTTTCCAACGAAATCCTCAAAGCTGCCCTAATATCCACTTGCATATTCCACAAAAAGAGTGTTGCAAAACTGCTCTCTCAAAAGAAAGGTTCAACTCTGTTAGCTGAGTAGATCCATCACATAAAAGTTTCTGACGTTGCTTCTATCTAGATTTTCTTGGAAGATATTTCCATTTTCACCGTCGTCCTGAAAGCGCTCCAAATGTCCACTTCCAGGGAATGCAGAAAGAGTGTTTCCAACCTGCTCTATAAAAGGGAATGTTCAACACTGGGACTTCAATCGAAACATCCCAACGAAGTTTCTGAGAATGCTTCTGTCTAGAGTTTATATGAAGCCATTCCCGTTTGCAACGAAATCCTCAAAGCTATCCAAATATCCTCTTGCAGATTTTACAAAAAGAGTGTTTCAAAACTGCTCTATCAAAAGAAAGGTTCAACTCTGTTAGTTGAGGGCACACATCACAAATAAATTTCTGAGAATGCTTCTGTCTAGTTTTTACGGGAAGATATTTCCTTTTTCACCATAGGCCTGAAAGCGCTCCAAATGTCCTCATCCAGATACTACAAAAAGAGTGTTTCCAACCTGCTCTATGAAAGGGAATGCTCAACTCTGTGACTTGAATGCAGACATCACAAAGAAGTTTCTGAGAATGCTGCTGACTCCTTTTTATTTGTAATCCCGTTTCCAACGAAATCCTCAAAGCTAGCCAAATATCCACTTGCAGATTCCACGAAAACAGTGTTTCAAAACTGCTCCTTCAAAACGATGGTTCAATTCTGTTAGTTGAGCAAACACATCACACGTAAGTTTCTGAGAATGCTTCCGTCTAGTTTTTATGGGAAGATATTTCCTTTTTCAACATAGGCCTGAAAGCGCTCCAAATGTCCACTTCCAGATACTACAAAAAGAGTGTTTCAAATCTGCTCTATGCATGGGAATGTTCTACTCTGTGACTTGAATGCAACATCCCAAAGAAGTTTCTGAGAATGTTTCTGTCTAGAGTTTATCTGAAGACATACCCGTTTCCAACGAAATCCTCAAAGCTATCCAAATATCCTCTTGCAGATTCTACAAAAAGAGTGTTTCAAAGCTGCTCTTTGCAAAGAAAGGTTCAACTCTGTCAGTAGAGGGCACACATCACGAACAAGTTTCTGAGAATGCTTCTGTCTAGTTTTTATGGGAAGATATTTCCTTTTTCACGTTAGGCCTGAAAGCACGCCAAATGTTCACTTATAGACACTACAAAAAGAGTGTTTCAAACCTGCTCCTGTGAAAGGGAATGTTCAACACTGTGACTTCAATTGAAACATCCCAAAGAAGTTTCTGAGAATGCTTCTGTCTAGAGTTTATCTGAAGACATTCCCGTTTCCCAAGAAATCCTCAAAGCTATCCAAATATCCTCTTGCAGATTCTACAAAAAGAGTGTTTCAAAACTGCTCTTTGCAAAGAAAGGTTCAACTCTGTCAGTAGAGGGCACACATCACAAACAAGTTTCTGAGAATGCTTCTGTCTAGTTTTTATGGGAAGATATTTCCTTTTTCACCTTAGGCCTGAAATCAATCCAAATGTTCACTTACAGACACTACAAAAAGAGTGTTTCAAACCTGCTCTGTGAAAGGGAGTGTTCAATTCTGTGACTTGAATGCAAACATCACAAAGTAGTTTCTGACAATGCTGCTGTCTGCTTTTTATACGTATTCCCGTTTCCAACGAAATCCTCCAAGCTGGCCTAATACCCACTTGCATATTCCACAAAAATAGTGTTTCAAAACTGCTCCCTCAAAAGAAAGGTTCAACTCTGTTTGCTGAGTAGATACATCATGAAAAAAGTTCTGACATTGCTTCTATCTAGTTTTTATTGGAAGATATCTCCTTTTTCACCGTAGACCTGAAAGCGCTCCAAATGTCCACTTCCAGATAGTACAAAAAGAGTGTTTCAAACCTGCTCTATGAAAGGGAATGTTCAACACTGGGACTTCAATTGAAACATCCCAAAGCAGTTTCTGAGAATGCTTCTGTCTAGAGTTTACATGAAGACATTCCCGTTTCCAACGAAATCCTCAAAGCTATCCAAATATCCTCTTGCAGATTTTACAAAAAGTGTGTTTCAGAACTGCTCTATCAAAACAAAGGTTCAACACTGTCAGTTGAGGGCACACATCACAAATAAGTTTCTGAGAATGCTTCTGTCTAGTTTTCATGGGAAGATATTTCCTTTTTCACCATAGGCCTGAAAGCGATCCAAATGTCCACATCCAGATACTACAAAAAGAGTGTTTCAAACCTGCTCTATGAAAGGGAATGTTCAACTCTGTGACTTGAATGCAAACATCACAAAGAAGTTTCTGAGAATGCTGCTGTCTGCTTTTTGTATGTAATCCCGTTTCCAACGAAATCCTCCCAGCTAGCCAAATATCCACTTTCAGATTCCGCAAAAAGAGTGTTTCAAAACTGCTCCTTCAAAACGATGGTTTAGTTCTGTTAGTTGAGTACATACATCACAGATAAGTTTCTGAGAATGCTTCTGTCTAGTTTTTATGGGAGGATATTTCCTTTTTCAACACAAGCCTGAATGCGCTCCGAATGGACACTTCCAGATATGACAAAAGGCGTGTTTCAAACCTGCTCTCTCAAAGGGAATGTTCAACTCTGTGACTTCAATGCAAACATCACAAAGAAGTTTCTGAGAATGCTGCTGTCTGCTTTTTACATGTATTCCCGTTTCCAACGAAATCCTCAAAGCTGCCCTAATATCCACTTGCATATTCCACAAAAAGAGTGTTGCAAAACTGCTCTCTCAAAAGAAAGGTTCAACTCTGTTAGCTGAGTAGATCCATCACATAAAAGTTTCTGACATTGCTTCTATCTAGATTTTATTGGAAGATATTTCCATTTTCACCGTCGTCCTGAAAGCGCTCCAAATGTCCACTTCCAGGGAATGCAGAAAGAGTGTTTCCAACCTGCTCTATAAAAGGGAATGTTCAACACTGGGACTTCAATCGAAACATCCCAACGAAGTTTCTCACAATGCTTCTGTCTAGAGTTTATATGAAGCCATTCCCGTTTGCAACGAAATCCTCAAAGCTATCCAAATATCCTCTTGCAGATTTTACAAAAAGAGTGTTTCAAAACTGCTCTATCAAAAGAAAGGTTCAACTCTGTTAGTTGAGGGCACACATCACAAATAAATTTCTGAGAATGCTTCTGTCTAGTTTTTACGGGAAGATATTTCCTTTTTCACCATAGGCCTGAAAGCGCTCCAAATGTCCTCATCCAGATACTACAAAAAGAGTGTTTCCAACCTGCTCTATGAAAGGGAATGCTCAACTCTGTGACTTGAATGCAGACATCACAAAGAAGTTTCTGAGAATGCTGCTGTCTCCTTTTTATATGTAATCCCGTTTCCAACGAAATCCTCAAAGCTAGCCAAATATCCACTTGCAGATTCCACGAAAACAGTGTTTCAAAACTGCTCCTTCAAAACGATGGTTCAATTCTGTTAGTTGAGCAAACACATCACAAGTAAGTTTCTGAGAATGCTTCCGTCTAGTTTTTATGGGAAGACATTTCCTTTTTCAACATAGGCCTGAAAGCGCTCCAAATGTCCACTTCCAGATACTACAAAAAGAGTGTTTCAAATCTGCTCTATGAATGGGAATGTTCTACTCTGTGACTTGAATGCAACATCCCAAAGAAGTTTCTGAGAATGCTTCTGTCTAGAGTTTATCTGAAGACATACCCGTTTCCAACGAAATCCTCCAAGCTATCCAAATATCCTCTTGCAGATTCTACAAAAAGAGTGTTTCAAAGCTGCTCTTTGCAAAGAAAGGTTCAACTCTGTCAGTAGAGGGCACACATCATGAACAAGTTTCTGAGAATGCTTCTGTCTAGTTTTTATGGGAAGATATTTCCTTTTTCACGTTAGGCCTGAAAGCACGCGAAATGTTCACTTATACACACTACAAAAAGAGTGTTTCAAACCTGCTCTGTGAAAGGGAATGTTCAACACTGTGACTTCAATTGAAATATCCCAAAGAAGTTTCTGAGAATGCTTCTGTCTAGAGTTTATCTGAAGACATTCCCGTTTCCCAAGAAATCCTCAAAGCTATCCAAATATCCTCTTGCAGATTCTACAAAAAGAGTGTTTCAAAACTGCTCTTTGCAAAGAAAGGTTCAACTCTGTCAGTAGAGGGCACACATCACAAACAAGTTTCTGAGAATGCTTCTGTCTAGTTTTTATGGGAAGATATTTCCTTTTTCACCTTAGGCCTGAAAGCAATCCAAATGTACACTTACAGACACTACAAAAAGAGTGTTTCAAACCTGCTCTGTGAAAGGGAGTGTTCAATTCTGTGACTTGAATGCAAACATCACAAAGTAGTTTCTGACAATGCTGCTGTCTGCTTTTTATACGTATTCCCGTTTCCAACGAAATCCTCCAAGCTGGCCTAATACCCACTTGCATATTCCACAGAAAGAGTGTTTCGAAACTGCTCTCTCAAAAGAAAGGTTCAACTCTGTTTGCTGAGTAGATACATCATGAAAAAAGTTCTGACATTGCTTCTATCTAGTTTTTATTGGAAGATATCTCCTTTTTCACCGTAGACCTGAAAGCGCTCCAAATGTCCACTTCCAGATAGTACAAAAAGAGTGTTTCAAACCTGCTCTATGAAAGGGAATGTTCAACACTGGGACTTCAATTGAAACATCCCAAAGCAGTTTCTGAGAATGCTTCTGTCTAGAGTTTACATGAAGACATTCCCGTTTCCAACGAAATCCTCAAAGCTATCCAAATATCCTCTTGCAGATTTTACAAAAAGTGTGTTTCAGAACTGCTCTATCAAAACAAAGGTTCAACACTGTCAGTTGAGGGCACACATCACAAATAAGTTTCTGAGAATGCTGCTCTCTGCTTTTTGTATGTAATCCCGTTTCCAACGAAATCCTCCCAGCTAGCCAAATATCCACTTGCAGATTCCGCAAAAAGAGTGTTTCAAAACTGCTCCTTCAAAACGATGGTTTAGTTCTGTTAGTTGAGTACATACATCACAGATAAGTTTCTGAGAATGCTTCTGTCTAGTTTTTATGGGAGGATATTTCCTTTTTCAACACAAGCCTGAATGCGCTCCGAATGGACACTTCCAGATATGACAAAAGGCGTGTTTCAAACCTGCTCTCTCAAAGGGAATGTTCAACTCTGTGACTTCAATGCAAACATCACAAAGAAGTTTCTGAGAATGCTGCTGTCTGCTTTTTACATGTATTCCCGTTTCCAACGAAATCCTCAAAGCTGCCCTAATATCCACTTGCGTATTCCACAAAAAGAGTGTTGCAAAACTGCTCTCTCAAAAGAAAGGTTCAACTCTGTTAGCTGAGTAGATCCATCACAGAAAAGTTTCTGACATTGCTTCTATCTAGATTTTCTTGGAAGATATTTCCATTTTCACCGTCGTCCTGAAAGCGCTCCAAATGTCCACTTCCAGGGAATGCAGAAAGAGTGTTTCCAACCTGCTCTATAAAAGGGAATGTTCAACACTGGGACTTCAATCGAAACATCCCAACGAAGTTTCTGAGAATGCTTCTGTCTAGAGTTTATATGAAGCCATTCCCGTTTGCAACGAAATCCTCAAAGCTATCCAAATATCCTCTTGCAGATTTTACAAAAAGAGTGTTTCAAAACTGCTCTATCAAAAGAAAGGTTCAACTCTGTTAGTTGAGGGCACACATCAGAAATAAACTTCTGAGAATGCTTCTGTCTAGTTTTTACGGGAAGATATTTCCTTTTTCACCATACGCCTGAAAGCGCTCCAAATGTCCTCATCCAGATACTACAAAAAGAGTGTTTCCAACCTGCTCTATGAAAGGGAATGCTCAACTCTGTGAATTGAATGCAGACATCACAAAGAAGTTTCTGAGAATGCTGCTGTCTCCTTTTTATATGTAATCCCGTTTCCAACGAAATCCTCAAAGCTAGCCAAATATCCACTTGCAGATTCCACGAAAACAGTGTTTCAAAACTGCTCCTTCAAAACGATGGTTCAATCCTGTTAGTTGAGCAAACACATCACAAATAAGTTTCTGAGAATGCTTCCGTCTAGTTTTTATGGGAAGATATTTCCTTTTTCAACATAGGCCTGAAAGCGCTCCAAATGTCCACTTCCAGATACTACAAAAAGAGTGTTTCAAATCTGCTCTATGAATGGGAATGTTCTACTCTGTGACTTGCATGCAACATCCCAAAGAAATTTCTGAGAATGCTTCCTGTCTAGAGTTTATCTGAAGACATACCCGTTTCCAACGAAATCCTCAAAGCTATCCAAATATCCTCTTGCAGATTCTACAAAAAGAGTGTTTCAAAGCTGCTCTTTGCAAAGAAAGGTTCAACTCTGTCAGTAGAGGGCACACATCACGAACAAGTTTCTGAGAATGCTTCTGTCTAGTTTTTATGGGAAGATATTTCCTTTTTCACGTTAGGCCTGAAAGCACGCCAAATGTTCACTTATAGACACTACAAAAAGAGTGTTTCAAACCTGCTCTGTGAAAGGGAATGTTCAACACTGTGACTTCAATTGAAATATCCCAAGAAGTTTCTGAGAATGCTTCTGTCTAGAGTTTATCTGAAGACATTCCCGTTTCCCAAGAAATCCTCAAAGCTATCCAAATATCCTCTTGCAGATTCTACAAAAAGAGTGTTTCAAAACTGCTCTTTGCAAAGAAAGGTTCAACTCTGTCAGTAGAGGGCACACATCACAAACAAGTTTCTGAGAATGCTTCTGTCTAGTTTTTATGGGAAGATATTTCCTTTTTCACCTTAGGCCTGAAAGCAATCCAAATGTTCACTTACAGACACTACAAAAAGAGTGTTTCAATCCTGCTCTGTGAAAGGGAGTGTTCAATTCTGTGACTTGAATGCAAACATCACAAAGTAGTTTCTGACAATGCTGCTGTCTGCTTTTTATACGTATTCCCGTTTCCAACGAAATCCTCCAAGCTGGCCTAATACCCACTTGCATATTCCACAAAAAGAGTGTTTCAAAACTGCTCTCTCAAAAGAAAGGTTCAACTCTGTTTGCTGAGTAGATACATCATGAAAAAAGTTCTGACATTGCTTCTATCTAGTTGTTATTGGAAGATATCTCCTTTTTCACCGTAGACCTGAAAGCGCTCCAAATGTCCACTTCCAGATAGTACAAAAAGAGTGTTTCAAACCTGCTCTATGAAAGGGAATGTTCAACACTGGGACTTCAATTGAAACATTCCAAAGCAGTTTCTGAGAATGCTTCTGTCTAGAGTTTACATGAAGACATTCCCGTTTCCAACGAAATCCTCAAAGCTATCCAAATATCCTCTTGCAGATTTTACAAAAAGTGTGTTTCAGAACTGCTCTATCAAAACAAAGGTTCAACACTGTCAGTTGAGGGCACACATCACAAATAAGTTTCTGAGAATGCTTCTGTCTAGTTTTCATGGGAAGATATTTCCTTTTTCAACATAGGCCTGAAAGCGCTCCAAATGTCCACTTCCAGATACTACAAAAAGAGTGTTTCAAATCTGCTCTATGAATGGGAATGTTCTACTCTGTGACTTGAATGCAACATCCCAAAGAAGTTTCTGAGAATGCTTCTGTCTAGAGTTTATCTGAAGACATACCCGTTTCCAACGAAATCCTCAAAGCTATCCAAATATCCTCTTGCAGATTCTACAAAAAGAGTGTTTCAAAGCTGCTCTTTGCAAAGAAAGGTTCAACTCTGTCAGTAGAGGGCACACATCACGAACAAGTTTCTGAGAATGCTTCTGTCTAGTTTTTATGGGAAGATATTTCCTTTTTCACGTTAGGCCTGAAAGCACGCCAAATGTTCAATTATAGACACTACAAAAAGAGTGTTTCAAACCTGCTCTGTGAAAGGGAATGTTCAACACTGTGACTTCAATTGAAACATCCCAAAGAAGTTTCTGAGAATGCTTCCTGTCTAGAGTTTATCTGAAGACATTCCCGTTTCCCAAGAAATCTTCAAAGCTATCCAAATATCCTCTTGCAGATTCTACAAAAAGAGTGTTTCAAAACTGCTCTTTGCAAAGAAAGGTTCAACTCTGTCAGTAGAGGGCACACATCACAAACAAGTTTCTGAGAATGCTTTCTGTCTAGTTTTTATGGGAAGATATTTCCTTTTTCACCTTAGGCCTGAAAGCAATCCATATGTTCACTTACAGACACTACAAAAAGAGTGTTTCAAACCTGCTCTGTGAAAGGGAGTGTTCAATTCTGTGACTTGAATGCAAACATCACAAAGTAGTTTCTGACAATGCTGCTGTCTGCTTTTTATACGTATTCCCGTTTCCAACGAAATCCTCCAAGCTGGCCTAATACCCACTTGCATATTCCACAAAAAGAGTGTTTCAAAACTGCTCTCTCAAAAGAAAGGTTCAACTCTGTTTGCTGAGTAGATACATCATGAAAAAAGTTCTGACATTGCTTCTATCTAGTTTTTATTGGAAGATATCTCCTTTTTCACCGTAGACCTGAAAGCGCTCCAAATGTCCACTTCCAGATAGTACAAAAAGAGTGTTTCAAACCTGCTCTATGAATGGGAATGTTCAACACTGGGACTTCAATTGAAACATCCCAAAGCAGTTTCTGAGAATGCTTCTGTCTAGAGTTTACATGAAGACATTCCCGTTTCCAACGAAATCCTCAAAGCTATCCAAATATCCTCTTGCAGATTTTACAAAAAGTGTGTTTCAGAACTGCTCTATCAAAACAAAGGTTCAGCACTGTCAGTTGAGGGCACACATCACAAATAAGTTTCTGAGAATGCTTCTGTCTAGTTTTCATGGGAAGATATTTCCTTTTTCACCATAGGCCTGAAAGCGATCCAAATGTCCACATCCAGATACTACAAAAAGAGTGTTTCAAACCTGCTCTATGAAAGGGAATGTTCAACTCTGTGACTTGAATGCAAACATCACAAAGAAGTTTCTGAGAATGCTGCTGTCTGCTTTTTGTATGTAATCCCGTTTCCAACGAAATCCTCCCAGCTAGCCAAATATCCTCTTGCAGATTCCGCAAAAAGAGTGTTTCAAAACTGCTCCTTCAAAACGATGGTTTAGTTCTGTTAGTTGAGTACATACATCACAGATAAGTTTCTGAGAATGCTTCTGTCTAGTTTTTATGGGAGGATATTTCCTTTTTCAACACAAGCCTGAATGCGCTCCGAATGGACACTTCCAGATATGACAAAAGGCGTGTTTCAAACCTGCTCTCTCAAAGGGAATGTTCAACTCTGTGACTTCAATGCAAACATCACAAAGAAGTTTCTGAGAATGCTGCTGTCTGCTTTTTACATGTATTCCCGTTTCCAACGAAATCCTCAAAGCTGCCCTAATATCCACTTGCATATTCCACAAAAAGAGTGTTGCAAAACTGCTCTCTCAAAAGAAAGGTTCAACTCTGTTAGCTGAGTAGATCCATCACATAAAAGTTTCTGACGTTGCTTCTATCTAGATTTTCTTGGAAGATATTTCCATTTTCACCGTCGTCCTGAAAGCGCTCCAAATGTCCACTTCCAGGGAATGCAGAAAGAGTGTTTCCAACCTGCTCTATAAAAGGGAAAGTTCAACACTGGGACTTCAATCGAAACATCCCAAAGAAGTTTCTGAGAATGTTTCTGTCTAGAGTTTATATGAAGCCATTCCCGTTTGCAATGAAATCCTCAAAGCTATCCAAATATCCTCTTGCAGATTTTACAAAAAGAGTGTTTCAAAACTGCTCTATCAAAAGAAAGGTTCAACTCTGTTAGTTGAGGGCACACATCACAAATAAATTTCTGAGAATGCTTCTGTCTAGTTTTTACGGGAAGATATTTCCTTTTTCACCATAGGCCTGAAAGCGCTCCAAATGTCCTCATCCAGATACTACACAAAGAGTGTTTCCAACCTGCTCTATGAAAGGGAATGCTCAACTCTGTGAATTGAATGCAGACATCACAAAGAAGTTTCTGAGAATGCTGCTGTCTCCTTTTTATATGTAATCCCGTTTCCAACGAAATCCTCAAAGCTAGCCAAATATCCACTTGCAGATTCCACGAAAACAGTGTTTCAAAACTGCTCCTTTAAAACGATGGTTCAATTCTGTTAGTTGAGCAAACACATCACAAGTAAGTTTCTGAGAATGCTTCCGTCTAGTTTTTATGGGAAGATATTTCCTTTTTCAACATAGGCCTGAAAGCGCTCCAAATGTCCACTTCCAGATACTACAAAAAGAGTGTTTCAAATCTGCTCTATGAATGGGAATGTTCTACTCTGTGACTTGAATGCAACATCCCAAAGAAGTTTCTGAGAATGCTTCTGTCTAGAGTTTATCTGAAGACATACCCGTTTCCAACGAAATCCTCAAAGCTATCCAAATATCCTCTTGCAGATTCTACAAAAAGAGTGTTTCAAAGCTGCTCTTTGCAAAGAAAGGTTCAACTCTGTCAGTAGAGGGCACACATCACGAACAAGTTTCTGAGAATGCTTCTGTCTAGTTTTTATGGGAAGATATTTCCTTTTTCACGTTAGGCCTGAAAGCACGCCAAATGTTCAATTATAGACACTACAAAAAGAGTGTTTCAAACCTGCTCTGTGAAAGGGAATGTTCAACACTGTGACTTCAATTGAAACATCCCAAAGAAGTTTCTGAGAATGCTTCTGTCTAGAGTTTATCTGAAGACATTCCCGTTTCCCAAGAAATCCTCAAAGCTATCCAAATATCCTCTTGCAGATTCTACAAAAAGAGTGTTTCAAAACTGGTCTTTGCAAAGAAAGGTTCAACTCTGTCAGTAGAGGGCACACATCACAAACAAGTTTCTGAGAATGCTTCTGTCTAGTTTTTATGGGAAGACATTTCCTTTTTCACCTTAGGCCTGAAAGCAATCCAAATGTTCACTTACAGACACTACAAAAAGAGTGTTTCAAACCTGCTCTGTGAAAGGGAGTGTTCAATTCTGTGACTTGAATGTAAACATCACAAAGTAGTTTCTGACAATGCTGCTGTCTGCTTTTTATACGTATTCCCGTTTCCAACGAAATCCTCCAAGCTGGCCTAATACCCACTTGCATATTCCACAAAAAGAGTGTTTCAAAACTGCTCTCTCAAAAGAAAGGTTCAACTCTGTTTGCTGAGTAGATACATCATGAAAAAAGTTCTGACATTGCTTCTATCTAGTTTTTATTGGAAGATATCTCCTTTTTCACCGTAGACCTGAAAGCGCTCCAAATGTCCACTTCCAGATAGTACAAAAAGAGTGTTTCAAACCTGCTCTATGAAAGGGAATGTTCAACACTGGGACTTCAATTGAAACATCCCAAAGCAGTTTCTGAGAATGCTTCTGTCTAGAGTTTACATGAAGACATTCCCGTTTCCAACGAAATCCTCAAAGCTATCCAAATATCCTCTTGCAGATTTTACAAAAAGTGTGTTTCAGAACTGCTCTATCAAAACAAAGGTTCAACACTGTCAGTTGAGGGCACACATCACAAATAAGTTTCTGAGAATGCTTCTGTCTAGTTTTCATGGGAAGATATTTCCTTTTTCACCATAGGCCTGAAAGCGATCCAAATGTCCACATCCAGATACTACAAAAAGAGTGTTTCAAACCTGCTCTATGAAAGGGAATGTTCAACTCTGTGACTTGAATGCAAACATCACAAAGAAGTTTCTGAGAATGCTGCTGTCTGCTTTTTGTATGTAATCCCGTTTCCAACGAAATCCTCCCAGCTAGCCAAATATCCACTTGCAGATTCCGCAAAAAGAGTGTTTCAAAACTGCTCCTTCAAAACGATGGTTTAGTTCTGTTAGTTGAGTACATACATCACAGATAAGTTTCTGAGAATGCTTATCTGTCTAGTTTTTATGGGAGGATATTTCCTTTTTCAACACAAGCCTGAATGCGCTCCGAATGGACACTTCCAGATATGACAAAAGGCGTGTTTCAAACCTGCTCTCTCAAAGGGAATGTTCAACTCTGTGACTTCAATGCAAACATCACAAAGAAGTTTCTGAGAATGCTGCTGTCTGCTTTTTACATGTATTCCCGTTTCCAACGAAATCCTCAAAGCTGCCCTAATATCCACTTGCATATTCCACAAAAAGAGTGTTGCAAAACTGCTCTCTCAAAAGAAAGGTTCAACTCTGTTAGCTGAGTAGATCCATCACATAAAAGTTTCTGACATTGCTTCTATCTAGATTTTATTGGAAGATATTTCCATTTTCACCGTCGTCCTGAAAGCGCTCCAAATGTCCACTTCCAGGGAATGCAGAAAGAGTGTTTCCAACCTGCTCTATAAAAGGGAATGTTCAACACTGGGACTTCAATCAAAACATCCCAACGAAGTTTCTGAGAATGCTTCTGTCTAGAGTTTATATGAAGCCATTCCCGTTTGCAACGAAATCCTCAAAGCTATCCAAATATCCTCTTGCAGATTTTACAAAAAGAGTGTTTCAAAACTGCTCTATCAAAAGAAAGGTTCAACTCTGTTAGTTGAGGGCACACATCTCAAATAAACTTCTGAGAATGCTTCTGTCTAGTTTTTACGGGAAGATATTTCCTTTTTCACCATACGCCTGAAAGCGCTCCAAATGTCCTCATCCAGATACTACAAAAAGAGTGTTTCCAACCTGCTCTATGAAAGGGAATGCTCAACTCTGTGAATTGAATGCAGACATCACAAAGAAGTTTCTGAGAATGCTGCTGTCTCCTTTTTATATGTAATCCCGTTTCCAACGAAATCCTCAAAGCTAGCCAAATATCCACTTGCAGATTCCACGAAAACAGTGTTTCAAAACTGCTCCTTCAAAACGATGGTTCAATCCTGTTAGTTGAGCAAACACATCACAAATAAGTTTCTGAGAATGCTTCCGTCTAGTTTTTATGGGAAGATATTTCCTTTTTCAACATAGGCCTGAAAGCGCTCCAAATGTCCACTTCCAGATACTACAAAAAGAGTGTTTCAAATCTGCTCTATGAATGGGAATGTTCTACTCTGTGACTTGCATGCAACATCCCAAAGAAGTTTCTGAGAATGCTTCTGTCTAGAGTTTATCTGAAGACATACCCGTTTCCAACGAAATCCTCAAAGCTATCCAAATATCCTCTTGCAGATTCTACAAAAAGTGTGTTTCAAAGCTGCTCTTTGCAAAGAAAGGTTCAACTCTGTCAGTAGAGGGCACACATCACAAACAAGTTTCTGAGAATGCTTCTGTCTAGTTTTTATGGGAAGATATTTCCTTTTTCACGTTACGCCTGAAAGCACGCCAAATGTTCACTTATAGACACTACAAAAAGAGTGTTTCAAACCTGCTCTGTGAAAGGGAATGTTCAACACTGTGACTTCAATTGAAACATCCCAAAGAAGTTTCTGAGAATGCTTCTGTCTAGAGTTTATCTGAAGACATTCCCGTTTCCCAAGAAATCCTCAAAGCTATCCAAATATCCTCTTGCAGATTCTACAAAAAGAGTGTTTCAAAACTGCTCTTTGCAAAGAAAGGTTCAACTCTGTCAGTAGAGGGCACACATCACAAACAAGTTTCTGAGAATGCTTCTGTCTAGTTTTTATGGGAAGATATTACCTTTTTCACCATAGGCCTGAAAGCAATCCAAATGTTCACTTACAGACACTACAAAAAGAGTGTTTCAAACCTGCTCTGTGAAAGGGAGTGTTCAATTCTGTGACTTGAATGCAAACATCACAAAGTAGTTTCTGACAATGCTGCTGTCTGCTTTTTATACGTATTCCCGTTTCCAACGAAATCCTCCAAGCTGGCCTAATACCCACTTGCATATTCCACAAAGACTGTGTCAAAACTGCTCTCTCAAAAGAAAGGTTCAACTCTGTTTGCTGAGTAGATACATCATGAAAAAAGTTCTGACATTGCTTCTATCTAGTTTTTATTGGAAGATATCTCCTTTTTCACCGTAGACCTGAAAGCGCTCCAAATGTCCACTTCCAGATAGTACAAAAAGAGTGTTTCAAACCTGCTCTATGAATGGGAATGTTCAACACTGGGACTTCAATTGAAACATCCCAAAGCAGTTTCTGAGAATGCTTCTGTCTAGAGTTTACATGAAGACATTCCCGTTTCCAACGAAATCCTCAAAGCTATCCAAATATCCTCTTGCAGATTTTACAAAAAGTGTGTTTCAGAACTGCTCTATCAAAACAAAGGTTCAACACTGTCAGTTGAGGGCACACATCACAAATAAGTTTCTGAGAATGCTTCTGTCTAGTTTTCATGGGAAGATATTTCCTTTTTCACCATAGGCCTGAAAGCGATCCAAAGGTCCACATCCAGATACTACAAAAAGAGTGTTTCAAACCTGCTCTATGAAAGGGAATGTTCAACTCTGCGACTTGAATGCAAACATCACAAAGAAGTTTCTGAGAATGCTGCTGTCTGCTTTTTGTATGTAATCCCGTTTCCAACGAAATCCTCCAAGCTAGCCAAATATCCAGTTGCAGATTCCGCAAAAAGAGTGTTTCAAAACTGCTCCTTCAAAACGATGGTTTAGTTCTGTTAGTTGAGTACATACATCACAAATAAGTTTCTGAGAATGCTTCTGTCTAGTTTTTATGGGAGGATATTTCCTTTTTCAACACAAGCCTGAATGCGCTCCGAATGGACACTTCCAGATATGACAAAAGGCGTGTTTCAAACCTGCTCTCTCAAAGGGAATGTTCAACTCTGTGACTTCAATGCAAACATCACAAAGAAGTTTCTGAGAATGCTGCTGTCTGCTTTTTACATGTATTCCCGTTTCCAACGAAATCCTCAAAGCTGCCCTAATATCCACTTGCATATTCCACAAAAAGAGTGTTGCAAAACTGCTCTCTCAAAAGAAAGGTTCAACTCTGTTAGCTGAGTAGATCCATCACAGAAAAGTTTATGACATTGCTTCTATCTAGATTTTCTTGGAAGATATTTCCATTTTCACCGTCGTCCTGAAAGCGCTCCAAATGTCCACTTCCAGGGAATGCAGAAAGAGTGTTTCCAACCTGCTCTATAAAAGGGAATGTTCAACACTGGGACTTCAATCGAAACATCCCAACGAAGTTTCTGAGAATGCTTCTGTCTAGAGTTTATATGAAGCCATTCCCGTTTGCAACGAAATCCTCAAAGCTATCCAAATATCCTCTTGCAGATTTTACAAAAAGAGTGTTTCAAAACTGCTCTATCAAAAGAAAGGTTCAACTCTGTTAGTTGAGGGCACACATCACAAATAAACTTCTGAGAATGCTTCTGTCTAGTTTTTACGGGAAGATATTTCCTTTTTCACCATACGCCTGAAAGCGCTCCAAATGTCCTCATCCAGATACTACAAAAAGAGTGTTTCCAACCTGCTCTATGAAAGGGAATGCTCAACTCTGTGAATTGAATGCAGACATCACAAAGAAGTTTCTGAGAATGCTGCTGTCTCCTTTGTATATGTAATCCCGTTTCCAACGAAATCCTCAAAGCTAGCCAAATATCCACTTGCAGATTCCACGAAAACAGTGTTTCAAAACTGCTCCTTCAAAACGATGGTTCAATCCTGTTAGTTGAGCAAACACATCACAAATAAGTTTCTGAGAATGCTTCCGTCTAGTTTTTATGGGAAGATATTTCCTTTTTCAACATAGGCCTGAAAGCGCTCCAAATGTCCACTTCCAGATACTACAAAAAGAGTGTTTCAAATCTGCTCTATGAATGGGAATGTTCTACTCTGTGACTTGAATGCAACATCCCAAAGAAGTTTCTGAGAATGCTTCTGTCTAGAGTTTATCTGAAGACATACCCGTTTCCAACGAAATCCTCAAAGCTATCCAAATATCCTCTGGCAGATTCTACAAAAAGAGTGTTTCAAAGCTGCTCTTTGCAAAGAAAGGTTCAACTCTGTCAGTAGAGGGCACACATCACAAACAAGTTTCTGAGAATGCTTCTGTCTAGTTTTTATGGGAAGATATTTCCTTTTTCACGTTAGGCCTGAAAGCACGCCAAATGTTCACTTATAGACACTACAAAAAGAGTGTTTGAAACCTGCTCTGTGAAAGGGAATGTTCAACACTGTGACTTCAATTGAAACATCCCAAAGAAGTTTCTGAGAATGCTTCTGTCTAGAGTTTATCTGAAGACATTCCCGTTTCCCAAGAAATCCTCAAAGCTATCCAAATATCCTCTTGCAGATTCTACAAAAAGAGTGTTTCAAAACTGCTCTTTGCAAAGAAAGGTTCAACTCTGTCAGTAGAGGGCACACATCACAAACAAGTTTCTGAGAATGCTTCTGTCTAGTTTTTATGGGAAGATATTTCCTTTTTCACCTTAGGCCTGAAAGCAATCCAAATGTTCACTTACAGACACTACAAAAAGAGTGTTTCAAACCTGCTCTGTGAAAGGGAGTGTTCAATTCTGTGACTTGAATGCAAATATCACAAAGTAGTTTCTGACAATGCTGCTGTCCGCTTTTTATACGTATTCCCGTTTCCAACGAAATCCTCCAAGCTGGCCTAATACCCACTTGCATATTCCACAAAAGGAGTGTTTCAAAACTGCTCTCTCAAAAGAAAGGTTCAACTCTGTTTGCTGAGTAGATACATCATGAAAAAAGTTCTGACATTGCTTCTATCTAGTTTTTATTGGAAGATATCTCCTTTTTCACCGTAGACCTGAAAGCGCTCCAAATGTCCACTTCCAGATAGTACAAAAAGAGGGTTTCAAACCTGCTCTATGAAAGGGAATGTTCAACACTGGGACTTCAATTGAAACATCCCAAAGCAGTTTCTGAGAATGCTTCTGTCTAGAGTTTACATGAAGACATTCCCGTTTCCAACGAAATCCTCAAAGCTATCCAAATATCCTCTTGCAGATTTTACAAAAAGTGTGTTTCAGAACTGCTCTATCAAAACAAAGGTTCAACACTGTCAGTTGAGGGCACACATCACAAATAAGTTTCTGAGAATGCTTCTGTCTAGTTTTCATGGGAAGATATTTCCTTTTTCACCATAGGCCTGAAAGCGATCCAAATGTCCACATCCAGATACTACAAAAAGAGTGTTTCAAACCTGCTCTATGAAAGGGAATGTTCAACTCTGTGACTTGAATGCAAACATCACAAAGAAGTTTCTGAGAATGCTGCTGTCTGCTTTTTGTATGTAATCCCGTTTCCAACGAAATCCTCCCAGCTAGCCAAATATCCACTTGCAGATTCCGCAAAAAGAGTGTTTCAAAACTGCTCCTTCAAAACGATGGTTTAGTTCTGTTAGTTGAGTACATACATCACAGATAAGTTTCTGAGAATGCTTCTGTCTAGTTTTTATGGGAGGATATTTCCTTTTTCAACACAAGCCTGAATGCGCTCCGAATGGACACTTCCAGATATGACAAAAGGCGTGTTTCAAACCTGCTCTCTCAAAGGGAATGTTCAACTCTGTGACTTCAATGCAAACATCACAAAGAAGTTTCTGAGAATGCTGCTGTCTGCTTTTTACATGTATTCCCGTTTCCAACGAAATCCTCAAAGCTGCCCTAATATCCACTTGCATATTCCACAAAAAGAGTGTTGCAAAACTGCTCTCTCAAAAGAAAGGTTCAACTCTGTTAGCTGAGTAGATCCATCACAGAAAAGTTTCTGACGTTGCTTCTATCTAGATTTTCTTGGAAGATATTTCCATTTTCACCGTCGTCCTGAAAGCGCTCCAAATGTCCACTTCCAGGGAATGCAGAAAGAGTGTTTCCAACCTGCTCTATAAAAGGGAATGTTCAACACTGGGACTTCAATCGAAACATCCCAACGGAGTTTCTGAGAATGCTTCTGTCTAGAGTTTATATGAAGCCATTCCCGTTTGCAACGAAATCCTCAAAGCTATCCAAATATCCTCTTGCAGATTTTACAAAAAGAGTGTTTCAAAACTGCTCTATCAAAAGAAAGGTTCAACTCTGTTAGTTGAGGGCACACATCACAAATAAATTTCTGAGAATGCTTCTGTCTAGTTTTCATGGGAAGATATTTCCTTTTTCACCATAGGCCTGAAAGCGATCCAAATGTCCACATCCAGATACTACAAAAAGAGTGTTTCAAACCTGCTCTATGAAAGGGAATGTTCAACTCTGTGACTTGAATGCAAACATCACAAAGTAGTTTCTGAAAATGCTGCTGTCTGCTTTTTATATGTAATCCCGTTTCCAACGAAATCCTCAAAGCTAGACAAATATCCACTTGCAGATTCCACAAAAGGAGTGTTTCAAAACTGCTCTTTCAAAACGATGATTCAATTCTGTTAGTTGAGTACACACATCACAAATAAGTTTCTCAGAATGCTTCTGTCTAGTTTTTATGGGAGGATATTTCCTTTTTCATCACAAGCCTGAATGCGCTCCGAATGGACACTTCCAGATATGACAAAAGGCGTGTTTCAAACCTGCTCTCTCAAAGGGAATGTTCAACTCTGTGACTTCAATGCAAACATCACAAAGAAGTTTCTGAGAATGCTGCTGTCTGCTTTTTACATGTATACCCGTTTCCAACGAAATCCTCAAAGCTGCCCTAATATCCACTTGCATATTCCACAAAAAGAGTGTTGCAAAACTGCTCTCTCAAAAGAAAGGTTCAACTCTGTTAGCTGAGTAGATCCATCACATAAAAGTTTCTGACATTGCTTCTATCTAGATTTTCTTGGAAGATATTTCCATTTTCACCGTCGTCCTGAAAGCGCTCCAAATGTCCACTTCCAGGGAATGCAGAAAGAGTGTTTCCAACCTGCTCTATAAAAGGGAATGTTCAACACTGGGACTTCAATCGAAACATCCCAACGAAGTTTCTGAGAATGCTTCTGTCTAGAGTTTATATGAAGCCATTCCCGTTTGCAACGAAATCCTCAAAGCTATCCAAATATCCTCTTGCAGATTTTACAAAAAGAGTGTTTCAAAACTGCTCTATCAAAAGAAAGGTTCAACTCTGTTAGTTGAGGGCACACATCACAAATAAACTTCTGAGAATGCTTCTGTCTAGTTTTTACGGGAAGATATTTCCTTTTTCACCATACGCCTGAAAGCGCTCCAAATGTCCTCATCCAGATACTACAAAAAGAGTGTTTCCAACCTGCTCTATGAAAGGGAATGCTCAACTCTGTGAATTGAATGCAGACATCACAAAGAAGTTTCTGAGAATGCTGCTGTCTCCTTTTTATATGTAATCCCGTTTCCAACGAAATCCCCAAAGCTAGCCAAATATCCACTTGCAGATTCCACGAAAACAGTGTTTCAAAACTGCTCCTTCAAAACGATGGTTCAATCCTGTTAGTTGAGCAAACACATCACAAATAAGTTTCTGAGAATGCTTCCGTCTAGTTTTTATGGGAAGATATTTCCTTTTTCAACATAGGCCTGAAAGCGCTCCAAATGTCCACTTCCAGATACTACAAAAAGAGTGTTTCAAATCTGCTCTATGAATGGGAATGTTCTACTCTGTGACTTGAATGCAACATCCCAAAGAAGTTTCTGAGAATGCTTCTGTCTAGAAGTTTATCTGAAGACATACCCGTTTCCAACGAAATCCTCAAAGCTATCCAAATATCCTCTTGCAGATTCTACAAAAAGAGTGTTTCAAAGCTGCTCTTTGCAAAGAAAGGTTCAACTCTGTCAGTAGAGGGCACACATCACGAACAAGTTTCTGAGAATGCTTCTGTCTAGTTTTTATGGGAAGATATTTCCTTTTTCACGTTAGGCCTGAAAGCACGCCAAATGTTCACTTATAGACACTACAAAAAGAGTGTTTCAAACCTGCTCTGTGAAAGGGAATGTTCAACACTGTGACTTCAATTGAAACATCCCAAAGAAGTTTCTGAGAATGCTTCTGTCTAGAGTTTATCTGAAGACATTCCCGTTTCCCAAGAAATCCTCAAAGCTATCCAAATATCCTCTTGCAGATTCTACAAAAAGAGTGTTTCAAAACTGCTCTTTGCAAAGAAAGGTTCAACTCTGTCAGTAGAGGGCACACATCACAAACAAGTTTCTGAGAATGCTTCTGTCTAGTTTTTATGGGAAGATATTTCCTTTTTCACCATAGGCCTGAAAGCAATCCAAATGTTCACTTACAGACACTACAAAAAGAGTGTTTCAAACCTGCTCTGTGAAAGGGAGTGTTCAATTCTGTGACTTGAATGCAAACATCACAAAGCAGTTTCTGACAATGCTGCTTTCTGCTTTTTATACGTATTCCCGTTTCCAACGAAATCCTCCAAGCTGGCCTAATACCCACTTGCATATTCCACAAAGACAGTGTCAAAACTGCTCTCTCAAAACAAAGGTTCAACTCTGTTTGCTGAGTAGATACATCATGAAAAAAGTTCTGACATTGCTTCTATCTAGTTTTTATTGGAAGATATCTCCTTTTTCACCGTAGACCTGAAAGCGCTCCAAATGTCCACTTCCAGATAGTAGAAAAAGAGTGTTTCAAACCTGCTCTATGAATGGGAATGTTCAACACTGGGACTTCAATTGAAACATCCCAAAGCAGTTTCTGAGAATGCTTCTGTCTAGAGTTTACATGAAGACATTCCCGTTTCCAACGAAATCCTCAAAGCTATCCAAATATCCTCTTGCAGATTTTACAAAAAGTGTGTTTCAGAACTGCTCTATCAAAACAAAGGTTCAACACTGTCAGTTGAGGGCACACATCACAAATAAGTTTCTGAGAATGCTGCTCTCTGCTTTTTGTATGTAATCCCGTTTCCAACGAAATCCTCCAAGCTAGCCAAATATCCACTTGCAGATTCCGCAAAAAGAGTGTTTCAAAACTGCTCCTTCAAAACGATGGTTCAGTTCTGTTAGTTGAGTACATACATCACAAATAAGTTTCTGAGAATGCTTCTGTCTAGTTTTTCTGGGAGGATATTTCCTTTTTCAACACAAGCCTGAATGCGCTCCGAATGGACACTTCCAGATATGACAAAAGGCGTGTTTCAAACCTGCTCTCTCAAAGGGAATGTTCAACTCTGTGACTTCAATGCAAACATCACAAAGAAGTTTCTGAGAATGCTGCTGTCTGCTTTTTACATGTATTCCCGTTTCCAACGAAATCCTCAAAGCTGCCCTAATATCCACTTGCATATTCCACAAAAAGAGTGTTGCAAAACTGCTCTCTCAAAAGAAAGGTTCAACTCTGTTAGCTGAGTAGATCCATCACATAAAAGTTTCTGACGTTGCTTCTATGTAGATTTTATTGGAAGATATTTCCATTTTCACCGTCGTCCTGAAAGCGCTCCAAATGTCCACTTCCAGGGAATGCAGAAAGAGTGTTTCCAACCTGCTCTATAAAAGGGAATGTTCAACACTGGGACTTCAATCGAAACATCCCAATGAAGTTTCTGAGAATGCTTCTGTCTAGAGTTTATATGAAGCCATTCCCGTTTGCAACGAAATCCTCAAAGCTATCCAAATATCCTCTTGCAGATTTTACAAAAAGAGTGTTTCAAAACTGCTCTATCAAAAGAAAGGTTCAACTCTGTTAGTTGAGGGCACACATCACAAATAAACTTCTGAGAATGCTTCTGTCTAGTTTTTACGGGAAGATATTTCCCTTTTCACCATACGCCTGAAAGCGCTCCAAATGTCCTCATCCAGATACTACAAAAAGAGTGTTTCCAACCTGCTCTATGAAAAGGAATGCTCAACTCTGTGAATTGAATGCAGACATCACAAAGAAGTTTCTGAGAATGATGCTGTCTCCTTTTTATATGTAATCCCGTTTCCAACGAAATCCTCAAAGCTAGCCAAATATCCACTTGCAGATTCCACGAAAACAGTGTTTCAAAACTGCTCCTTCAAAACGATGGTTCAATCCTGTTAGTTGAGCAAACACATCACAAATAAGTTTCTGAGAATGCTTCCGTCTAGTTTTTATGGGAAGATATTTCCTTTTTCAACATAGGCCTGAAAGCGCTCCAAATGTCCACTTCCAGATACTACAAAAAGAGTGTTTCAAATCTGCTCTATGAATGGGAATGTTCTACTCTGTGACTTGAATGCAACATCCCAAAGAAGTTTCTGAGAATGCTTCTGTCTAGAGTTTATCTGAAGACATACCCGTTTCCAACGAAATCCTCAAAGCTTTCCAAATATCCTCTTGCAGATTCTACAAAAAGTGTGTTTCAAAGCTGCTCTTTGCAAAGAAAGGTTCAACTCTGTCAGTAGAGGGCACACATCACGAACAAGTTTCTGAGAATGCTTCTGTCTGGTTTTTATGGGAAGATATTTCCTTTTTCACGTTACGCCTGAAAGCACGCCAAATGTTCACTTATAGACACTACAAAAAGAGTGTTTCAAACCTGCTCTGTGAAAGGGAATGTTCAACACTGTGACTTCAATTGAAACATCCCAAAGAAGTTTCTGAGAATGCTTCTGTCTAGAGTTTATCTGAAGACATTCCCGTTTCCCAAGAAATCCTCAAAGCTATCCAAATATCCTCTTGCAGATTCTACAAAAAGAGTGTTTCAAAGCTGCTCTTTGCAAAGAAAGGTTCAACTCTGTCAGTAGAGGGCACACATCACAAACAAGTTTCTGAGAATGCTTCTGTCTAGTTTTTATGGGAAGATATTTCCTTTTTCACCTTAGGCCTGAAAGCAATCCAAATGTTCACTTACAGACACTACAAAAAGAGTGTTTCAAACCTGCTCTGTGAAAGGGAGTGTTCAATTCTGTGACTTGAATGCAAACATCACAAAGTAGTTTCTGACAATGCTGCTGTCTGCTTTTTATACGTATTCCCGTTTCCAACGAAATCCTCCAAGCTGGCCTAATACCCACTTGCATATTCCACAAAAAGAGTGTTTCAAAACTGCTCTCTCAAAAGAAAGGTTCAGCTCTGTTAGCTGAGTAGATACATCATGAAAAAAGTTCTGACATTGCTTCTATCTAGTTTTTATTGGAAGATATCTCCTTTTTCACCGTAGACCTGAAAGCGCTCCAAATGTCCACTTCCAGATAGTACAAAAAGAGTGTTTCAAACCTGCTCTATGAATGGGAATGTTCAACACTGGGACTTCAATTGAAACATCCCAAAGCAGTTTCTGAGAATGCTTCTGTCTAGAGTTTACATGAAGACATTCCCGTTTCCAACGAAATCCTCAAAGCTATCCCAATATCCTCTTGCAGATTTTACAAAAAGTGTGTTTCAGAACTGCTCTATCAAAACAAAGGTTCAACACTGTCAGTTGAGGGCACACATCACAAATAAGTTTCTGAGAATGCTTCTGTCTAGTTTTCATGGGAAGATATTTCCTTTTTCACCATAGGCCTGAAAGCGATCCAAATGTCCACATCCAGATACTACAAAAAGAGTGTTTCAAACCTGCTCTATGAAAGGGAATGTTCAACTCTGTGACTTGAATGCAAACATCACAAAGAAGTTTCTGAGAATGCTGCTGTCTGCTTTTTGTATGTAATCCCGTTTCCAACGAAATCCTCCCAGCTAGCCAAATATCCACTTGCAGATTCCGCAAAAAGAGTGTTTCAAAACTGCTCCTTCAAAACGATGGTTTAGTTCTGTTAGTTGAGTACATACATCACAGATAAGTTTCTGAGAATGCTTCTGTCTAGTTTTTCTGGGAGGATATTTCCTTTTTCAACACAAGCCTGAATGCGCTCCGAATGGACACTTCCAGATATGACAAAAGGCGTGTTTCAAACCTGCTCTCTCAAAGGGAATGTTCAACTCTGTGACTTCAATGCAAACATCACAAAGAAGTTTCTGAGAATGCTGCTGTCTGCTTTTTACATGTATTCCCGTTTCCAACGAAATCCTCAAAGCTGCCCTAATATCCACTTGCATATTCCACAAAAAGAGTGTTGCAAAACTGCTCTCTCAAAAGAAAGGTTCAACTCTGTTAGCTGAGTAGATCCATCACAGAAAAGTTTCTGACGTTGCTTCTATCTAGATTTTCTTGGAAGATATTTCCATTTTCACCGTCGTCCTGAAAGCGCTCCAAATGTCCACTTCCAGGGAATGCAGAAAGAGTGTTTCCAACCTGCTCTATAAAAGGGAATGTTCAACACTGGGACTTCAATCGAAACATCCCAACGAAGTTTCTGAGAATGCTTCTGTCTAGAGTTTATATGAAGCCATTCCCGTTTGCAATGAAATCCTCAAAGCTATCCAAATATCCTCTTGCAGATTTTACAAAAAGAGTGTTTCAAAACTGCTCTATCAAAAGAAAGGTTCAACTCTGTTAGTTGAGGGCACACATCACAAATAAATTTCTGAGAATGCTTCTGTCTAGTTTTTACGGGAAGATATTTCCTTTTTCACCATACGCCTGAAAGCGCTCCAAATGTCCTCATCCAGATACTACAAAAAGAGTGTTTCCAACCTTCTCTATGAAAGGGAATGCTCAACTCTGTGACTTGAATGCAGACATCACAAAGAAGTTTCTGAGAATGCTGCTGTCTCCTTTTTATATGTAATCCCGTTTCCAACGAAATCCTCAAAGCTAGCCAAATATCCACTTGCAGATTCCACGAAAACAGTGTTTCAAAACTGCTCCTTCAAAACGATGGTTCAATTCTGTTAGTTGAGCAAACACATCACAAGTAAGTTTCTGAGAATGCTTCCGTCTAGTTTTTATGGGAAGATATTTCCTTTTTCAACATAGGCCTGAAAGCGCTCCAAATGTCCACTTCCAGATACTACAAAAAGAGTGTTTCAAATCTGCTCTATGAATGGGAATGTTCTACTCTGTGACTTGAATGCAACATCCCAAAGAAGTTTCTGAGAATGCTTCTGTCTAGAGTTTATCTGAAGACATACCCGTTTCCAACGAAATCCTCAAAGCTATCCAAATATCCTCTTGCAGATTCTACAAAAAGAGTGTTTCAAAGCTGCTCTTTGCAAAGAAAGGTTCAACTCTGTCAGTAGAGGGCACACATCACGAACAAGTTTCTGAGAATGCTTCTGTCTAGTTTTTATGGGAAGATATTTCCTTTTTCACGTTAGGCCTGAAAGCACGCCAAATGTTCACTTATAGACACTACAAAAAGAGTGTTTCAAACCTGCTCTGTGAAAGGGAATGTTCAACACTGTGACTTCAATTGAAACATCCCAAAGAAGTTTCTGAGAATGCTTCTGTCTAGAGTTTATCTGAAGACATTCCCGTTTCCCAAGAAATCCTCAAAGCTATCCAAATATCCTCTTGCAGATTCTACAAAAAGAGTGTTTCAAAACTGCTCTTTGCAAAGAAAGGTTCAACTCTGTCAGTAGAGGGCACACATCACAAACAAGTTTCTGAGAATGCTTCTGTCTAGTTTTTATGGGAAGATATTTCCTTTTTCACCTTAGGCCTGAAAGCAATCCAAATGTTCACTTACAGACACTACAAAAAGAGTGTTTCAAACCTGCTCTGTGAAAGGGAGTGTTCAATTCTGTGACTTGAATGCAAACATCACAAAGTAGTTTCTGACAATGCTGCTGTCTGCTTTTTATACGTATTCCCGTTTCCAACGAAATCCTCCAAGCTGGCCTAATACCCACTTGCATATTCCACAAAAAGAGTGTTTCAAAACTGCTCTCTCAAAAGAAAGCTTCAACTCTGTTTGCTGAGTAGATACATCATGAAAAAAGTTCTGACATTGCTTCTATCTAGTTTTTATTGGAAGATATCTCCTTTTTCACCGTAGACCTGAAAGCGCTCCAAATGTCCACTTCCAGATAGTACAAAAAGAGTGTTTCAAACCTGCTCTATGAATGGGAATGTTCAACACTGGGACTTCAATTGAAACATCCCAAAGCAGTTTCTGAGAATGCTTCTGTGTAGAGTTTACATGAAGACATTCCCGTTTCCAACGAAATCCTCAAAGCTATCCAAATATCCTCTTGCAGATTTTACAAAAAGTGTGTTTCAGAACTGCTCTATCAAAACAAAGGTTCAACACTGTCAGTTGAGGGCACACATCACAAATAAGTTTCTGAGAATGCTTCTGTCTAGTTTTCATGGGAAGATATTTCCTTTTTCACCATAGGCCTGAAAGCGATCCAAATGTCCACATCCAGATACTACAAAAAGAGTGTTTCAAACCTGCTCTATGAAAGGGAATGTTCAACTCTGTGACTTGAATGCCAACATCACAAAGAAGTTTCTGAGAATGCTGCTGTCTGCTTTTTGTATGTAATCCCGTTTCCAACGAAATCCTCCCAGCTAGCCAAATATCCACTTGCAGATTCCGCAAAAAGAGTGTTTCAAAACTGCTCCTTCAAAACGATGGTTTAGTTCTGTTAGTTGAGTACATACATCACAGATAAGTTTCTGAGAATGCTTCTGTCTAGTTTTTATGGGAGGATATTTCCTTTTTCAACACAAGCCTGAATGCGCTCCGAATGGACACTTCCAGATATGACAAAAGGCGTGTTTCAAACCTGCTCTCTCAAAGGGAATGTTCAACTCTGTGACTTCAATGCAAACATCACAAAGAAGTTTCTGAGAATGCTGCTGTCTGCTTTTTGTATGTAATCCCGTTTCCAACGAAATCCTCCCAGCTAGCCAAATATCCACTTGCAGATTCCGCAAAAAGAGTGTTTCAAAACTGCTCCTTCAAAACGATGGTTTAGTTCTGTTAGTTGAGTACATACATCACAGATAAGTTTCTGAGAATGCTTCTGTCTAGTTTTTATGGGAGGATATTTCCTTTTTCAACACAAGCCTGAATGCGCTCCGAATGGACACTTCCAGATATGACAAAAGGCGTGTTTCAAACCTGCTCTCTCAAAGGGAATGTTCAACTCTGTGACTTCAATGCAAACATCACAAAGAAGTTTCTGAGAATGCTGCTGTCTGCTTTTTACATGTATTCCCGTTTCCAACGAAATCCTCAAAGCTGCCCTAATATCCACTTGCATATTCCACAAAAAGAGTGTTGCAAAACTGCTCTCTCAAAAGAAAGGTTCAACTCTGTTAGCTGAGTAGATCCATCACAGAAAAGTTTCTGACGTTGCTTCTATCTAGATTTTCTTGGAAGATATTTCCATTTTCACCGTCGTCCAGAAAGCGCTCCAAATGTCCACTTCCAGGGAATGCAGAAAGAGTGTTTCCAACCTGCTCTATAAAAGGGAATGTTCAACACTGGGACTTCAATCGAAACATCCCAACGAAGTTTCTGAGAATGCTTCTGTCTAGAGTTTATATGAAGCCATTCCCGTTTGCAACGAAATCCTCAAAGCTATCCAAATATCCTCTTGCAGATTTTACAAAAAGAGTGTTTCAAAACTGCTCTATCAAAAGAAAGGTTCAACTCTGTTAGTTGAGGGCACACATCACAAATAAATTTCTGAGAATGCTCTGTCTAGTTTTCATGGGAAGATATTTCCTTTTTCACCATAGGCCTGAAAGCGATCCAAATGTCCACATCCAGATACTACAAAAAGAGTGTTTCCAACCTGCTCTATGAAAGGGAATGCTCAACTCTGTGAATTGAATGCAAACATCACAAAGAAGTTTCTGAGAATGCTGGCTGTCTCCTTTTTATATGTAATCCCGTTTCCAACGAAATCCTCAAAGCTAGCCAAATATCCACTTGCAGATTCCACGAAAACAGTGTTTCAAAACTGCTCCTTCAAAACGATGGTTCAATCCTGTTAGTTGAGCAAACACATCACAAATAAGTTTCTGAGAATGCTTCCGTCTAGTTTTTATGGGAAGATATTTCCTTTTTCAACATAGGCCTGAAAGCGCTCCAAATGTCCACTTCCAGATACTACAAAAAGAGTGTTTCAAATCTGCTCTATGAATGGGAATGTTCTACTCTGTGACTTGAATGCAACATCCCAAAGAAGTTTCTGAGAATGCTTCTGTCTAGAGTTTATCTGAAGACATACCCGTTTCCAACGAAATCCTCCAAGCTATCCAAATATCCTCTTGCAGATTCTACAAAAAGAGTGTTTCAAAGCTGCTCTTTGCAAAGAAAGTTTCAACTCTGTCAGTAGAGGGGACACATCAAGAACAAGTTTCTGAGAATGCTTCTGTCTAGTTTTTATGGGAAGATATTTCCTTTTTCACGTTAGGCCTGAAAGCACGCCAAATGTTCACTTATAGACACTACAAAAAGAGTGTTTCAAACCTGCTCTGTGAAAGGGAATGTTCAACACTGTGACTTCAATTGAAACATCCCAAAGAAGTTTCTGAGAATGCTTCTGTCTAGAGTTTATCTGAAGACATTCCCGTTTCCCAGGAAATCCTCAAAGCTATCCAAATATCCTCTTGCAGATTCTACAAAAAGAGTGTTTCAAAACTGCTCTTTGCAAAGAAAGGTTTAACTCTGTCAGTAGAGGGCACACATCACAAACAAGTTTCTGAGAATGCTTCTGTCTAGTTTTTATGGGAAGATATTTCCTTTTTCACCTTAGGCCTGAAAGCAATCCAAATGTTCACTTACAGACACTACAAAAAGAGTGTTTCAAACCTGCTCTGTGAAAGGGAGTGTTCAATTCTGTGACTTGAATGCAAACATCACAAAGTAGTTTCTGACAATGCTGCTGTCTGCTTTTTATACGTATTCCCGTTTCCAACGAAATCCTCCAAGCTGGCCTAATACCCACTTGCATATTCCACAGAAAGAGTGTTTCGAAACTGCTCTCTCAAAAGAAAGGTTCAACTCTGTTTGCTGAGTAGATACATCATGAAAAAAGTTCTGACATTGCTTCTATCTAGTTTTTATTGGAAGATATCTCCTTTTTCACCGTAGACCTGAAAGCGCTCCAAATGTCCACTTCCAGATAGTACAAAAAGAGTGTTTCAAACCTGCTCTATGAATGGGAATGTTCAACACTGGGACTTCAATTGAAACATCCCAAAGCAGTTTCTGAGAATGCTTCTGTCTAGAGTTTACATGAAGACATTCCCGTTTCCAACGAAATCCTCAAAGCTATCCAAATATCCTCTTGCAGATTTTACAAAAAGTGTGTTTCAGAACTGCTCTATCAAAACAAAGGTTCAACACTGTCAGTTGAGGGCACACATCACAAATAAGTTTCTGAGAATGCTGCTGTCTGCTTTTTGTATGTAATCCCGTTTCCAACGAAATCCTCCCAGCTAGCCAAATATCCACTTGCAGATTCCGCAAAAAGAGTGTTTCAAAACTGCTCCTTCAAAAGGATGGTTTAGTTCTGTTAGTTGAGTACATACATCACAGATAAGTTTCTGAGAATGCTTCTGTCTAGTTTTTATGGGAGGATATTTCCTTTTTCAACACAAGCCTGAATGCGCTCCGAATGGACACTTCCAGATATGACAAAAGGCGTGTTTCAAACCTGCTCTCTCAAAGGGAATGTTCAACTCTGTGACTTCAATGCAAACATCACAAAGAAGTTTCTGAGAATGCTGCTGTCTGCTTTTTACATGTATTCCCGTTTCCAACGAAATCCTCAAAGCTGCCCTAATATCCACTTGCATATTCCACAAAAAGAGTGTTGCAAAACTGCTCTCTCAAAAGAAAGGTTCAACTCTGTTAGCTGAGTAGATCCATCACAGAAAAGTTTCTGACGTTGCTTCTATCTAGATTTTCTTGGAAGATATTTCCATTTTCACCGTCGTCCTGAAAGCGCTCCAAATGTCCACTTCCAGGGAATGCAGAAAGAGTGTTTCCAACCTGCTCTATAAAAGGGAATGTTCAACACTGGGACTTCAATCGAAACATCCCAACGAAGTTTCTGAGAATGCTTCTGCCTAGAGTTTATATGAAGCCATTCCCGTTTGCAACGAAATCCTCAAAGCTATCCAAATATCCTCTTGCAGATTTTACAAAAAGAGTGTTTCAAAACTGCTCTATCAAAAGAAAGATTCAACTCTGTTAGTTGAGGGCACACATCACAAATAAACTTCTGAGAATGCTTCTGTCTAGTTTTCATGGGAAGATATTTCCTTTTTCACCATAGGCCTGAAAGCGATCCAAATGTCCACATCCAGATACTACAAAAAGAGTGTTTCAAACCTGCTCTATGAAAGGGAATGTTCAACTCTTTGACTTGAATGCAAACATCACAAAGAAGTTTCTGAGAATGCTGCTGTCTGCTTTTTGTATGTAATCCCGTTTCCAACGAAATCCTCCCAGCTAGCCAAATATCCACTTGCAGATTCCGCAAAAAGAGTGTTTCAAAACTGCTCCTTCAAAACGATGGTTTAGTTCTGTTAGTTGAGTACATACATCACAGATAAGTTTCTGAGAATGCTTCTGTCTAGTATTTCTGGGAGGATATTTCCTTTTTCAACACAAGCCTGAATGCGCTCCGAATGGACACTTCCAGATATGACAAAAGGCGTGTTTCAAACCTGCTCTCTCAAAGGGAATGTTCAACTCTGTGACTTGAATGCAAACATCACAAAGAAGTTTCTGAGAATGCTGCTGTCTGCTTTTTACATGTATTCCCGTTTCCAACGAAATCCTCAAAGCTGCCCTAATATCCACTTGCATATTCCACAAAAAGAGTGTTGCAAAACTGCTCTCTCAAAAGAAAGGTTCAACTCTGTTAGCTGAGTAGATCCATCACAGAAAAGTTTCTGACGTTGCTTCTATCTAGATTTTATTGGAAGATATTTCCATTTTCACCGTCGTCCTGAAAGCGCTCCAAATGTCCACTTCCAGGGAATGCAGAAAGAGTGTTTCCAACCTGCTCTATAAAAGGGAATGTTCAACACTGGGACTTCAATCAAAACATCCCAACGAAGTTTCTGAGAATGCTTCTGTCTAGAGTTTATATGAAGCCATTCCCGTTTGCAACGAAATCCTCAAAGCTATCCAAATATCCTCTTGCAGATTTTACAAAAAGAGTGTTTCAAAACTGCTCTATCAAAAGAAAGGTTCAACTCTGTTAGTTGAGGGCACACATCACAAATAAATTTCTGAGAATGCTTCTGTCTAGTTTTTACGGGAAGATATTTCCTTTTTCACCATACGCCTGAAAGCGCTCCAAATGTCCTCATCCAGATACTACAAAAAGAGTGTTTCCAACCTGCTCTATGAAAGGGAATGCCCAACTCTGTGAATTGAATGCAGACATCACAAAGAAGTTTCTGAGAATGCTGCTGTCTCCTTTTTATATGTAATCCCGTTTCCAACGAAATCCTCAAAGCTAGCCAAATATCCACTTGCAGATTCCACGAAAACAGTGTTTCAAAACTGCTCCTTCAAAACGATGGTTCAATCCTGTTAGTTGAGCAAACACATCACAAATAAGTTTCTGAGAATGCTTCCGTCTAGTTTTTATGGGAAGATATTTCCTTTTTCATCATAGGCCTGAAAGCGCTCCAAATGTCCACTTTCAGATACTACAAAAAGAGTGTTTCAAATCTGCTCTATGAATGGGAATGTTCTACTCTGTGACTTGAATGCAACATCTCAAAGAAGTTTCTGAGAATGCTTCTGTCTAGAGTTTATCTGAAGACATACCCGTTTCCAACGAAATCCTCAAAGCTATCCAAATAGCCTCTTGCAGATTCTACAAAAAGTGTGTGTCAAAGCTGCTCTTTGCAAGGAAAGGTTCAACTCTGTCAGTAGAGGGCACACATCACAAACAAGTTTCTGAGAATGCTTCTGTCTAGTTTTTATGGGAAGATATTTCCTTTTTCACGTTAGGCCTGAAAGCACGCCAAATGTTCACTTATAGACACTACAAAAAGAGTGTTTCAAACCTGCTCTGTGAAAGGGAATGTTCAACACTGGGACTTCAATTGAAACATCCCAAAGAAGTTTCTGAGAATGCTTCTGTCTAGAGTTTATCTGAAGACATTCCCGTTTCCCAAGAAATCCTCAAAGCTATCCAAATATCCTCTTGCAGATTCTACAAAAAGAGTGTTTCAAAACTGCTCTTTGCAAAGAAAGGTTCAACTCTGTCAGTAGAGGGCACACATCACAAACAAGTTTCTGAGAATGCTTCTGTCTAGTTTTTATGGGAAGATATTTCCTTTTTCACCTTAGGCCTGAAAGCAATCCAAATGTTCACTTACAGACACTACAAAAAGAGTGTTTCAAACCTGCTCTGTGAAAGGGAGTGTTCAATTCTGTGACTTGAATGCAAACATCACAAAGTAGTTTCTGACAATGCTGCTGTCTGCTTTTTATACGTATTCCCGTTTCCAACGAAATCCTCCAAGCTGGCCTAATACCCACTTGCATATTCCACAAAAAGAGTGTTTCAAAACTGCTCTCTCAAAAGAAAGGTTCAACTGTGTTTGCTGAGTAGATACATCATGGAAAAAGTTCTGACATTGCTTCTATCTAGTTTTTATTGGAAGATATCTCCTTTTTCACCGTAGACCTGAAAGCGCTCCAAATGTCCACTTCCAGATAGTACAAAAAGAGTGTTTCAAACCTGCTCTATGAATGGGAATGTTCAACACTGGGACTTCAATTGAAACATCCCAAAGCAGTTTCTGAGAATGCTTCTGTCTAGAGTTTACATGAAGACACTCCCGTTTCCAACGAAATCCTCAGAGCTATCCAAATATCCTCTTGCAGATTTTACAAAAAGTGTGTTTCAGAACTGCTCTATCAAAACAAAGGTTCAACACTGTCAGTTGAGGGCACACATCACAAATAAGTTTCTGAGAATGCTTCTGTCTAGTTTTCATGGGAAGATATTTCCTTTTTCACCATAGGCCTGAAAGCGATCCAAATGTCCACATCCAGATACTACAAAAAGAGTGTTTCAAACCTGCTCTATGAAAGGGAATGTTCAACTCTGTGACTTGAATGCAAACATCACAAAGAAGTTTCTGAGAATGCTGCTGTCTGCTTTTTGTATGTAATCCCGTTTCCAACGAAATCCTCCCAGCTAGCCAAATATCCACTTGCAGATTCCGCAAAAAGAGTGTTTCAAAACTGCTCCTTCAAAACGATGGTTTAGTTCTGTTAGTTGAGTACATACATCACAGATAAGTTTCTGAGAATGCTTCTGTCTAGTTTTTATGGGAGGATATTTCCTTTTTCAACACAAGCCTGAATGCGCTCCGAATGGACACTTCCAGATATGACAAAAGGCGTGTTTCAAACCTGCTCTCTCAAAGGGAATGTTCAACTCTGTGACTTCAATGCAAACATCACAAAGAAGTTTCTGAGAATGCTGCTGTCTGCTTTTTACATGTATTCCCGTTTCCAACGAAATCCTCAAAGCTGCCCTAATATCCACTTGCATATTCCACAAAAAGAGTGTTGCAAAACTGCTCTCTCAAAAGAAAGGTTCAACTCTGTTAGCTGAGTAGATCCATCACATAAAAGTTTCTGACATTGCTTCTATCTAGATTTTCTTGGAAGATATTTCCATTTTCACCGTCGTCCTGAAAGCGCTCCAAATGTCCACTTCCAGGGAATGCAGAAAGAGTGTTTCCAACCTGCTCTATAAAAGGGAATGTTCAACACTGGGACTTCAATCGAAACATCCCAACGAAGTTTCTGAGAATGCTTCTGTCTAGAGTTTATATGAAGCCATTCCCGTTTGCAACGAAATCCTCAAAGCTATCCAAATATCCTCTTGCAGATTTTACAAAAAGAGTGTTTCAAAACTGCTCTATCAAAAGAAAGGTTCAACTCTGTTAGTTGAGGGCACACATCACAAATAAATTTCTGAGAATGCTTCTGTCTAGTTTTTACGGGAAGATATTTCCTTTTTCACCATACGCCTGAAAGCGCTCCAAATGTCCTCATCCAGATACTACAAAAAGAGTGTTTCCAACCTGCTCTATGAAAGGGAATGCTCAACTCTGTGACTTGAATGCAGACATCACAAAGAAGTTTCTGAGAATGCTGCTGTCTCCTTTTTATATGTAATCCCGTTTCCAACGAAATCCTCAAAGCTAGCCAAATATCCACTTGCAGATTCTACGAAAACATTGTTTCAAAACTGCTCCTTCAAAACGATGGTTCAATTCTGTTAGTTGAGCAAACACATCACAAGTAAGTTTCTGAGAATGCTTCCGTCTAGTTTTTATGGGAAGATATTTCCTTTTTCAACATAGGCCTGAAAGCGCTCCAAATGTCCACTTCCAGATACTACAAAAAGAGTGTTTCAAATCTGCTCTATGAATGGGAATGTTCTACTCTGTGACTTGAATGCAACATCCCAAAGAAGTTTCTGAGAATGCTTCTGTCTAGAGTTTATCTGAAGACATACCCGTTTCCAACGAAATCCTCAAAGCTATCCAAATATCCTCTTGCAGATTCTACAAAAAGAGTGTTTCAAAGCTGCTCTTTGCAAAGAAAGGTTCAACTCTGTCAGTAGAGGGCACACATCATGAACAAGTTTCTGAGAATGCTTCTGTCTGGTTTTTATGGGAAGATATTTCCTTTTTCACGTTACGCCTGAAAGCACGCCAAATGTTCACTTATAGACACTACAAAAAGAGTGTTTCAAACCTGCTCTGTGAAAGGGAATGTTCAACACTGTGACTTCAATTGAAACATCCCAAAGAAGTTTCTGAGAATGCTTCTGTCTAGAGTTTATCTGAAGACATTCCCGTTTCCCAAGAAATCCTCAAAGCTATCCAAATATCCTCTTGCAGATTCTACAAAAAGAGTGTTTCAAAACTGGTCTTTGCAAAGAAAGGTTCAACTCTGTCAGTAGAGGGCACACATCACAAACAAGTTTCTGAGAATGCTTCTGTCTAGTTTTTATGGGAAGATATTTCCTTTTTCACCTTAGGCCTGAAAGCAATCCAAATGTTCACTTACAGACACTACAAAAAGAGTGTTTCAAACCTGCTCTGTGAAAGGGAGTGTTCAATTCTGTGACTTGAATGCAAACATCACAAAGTAGTTTCTGACAATGCTGCTGTCTGCTTTTTATACGTATTCCCGTTTCCAACGAAATCCTCCAAGCTGGCCTAATACCCACTTGCATATTCCACAAAAAGAGTGTTTCAAAACTGCTCTCTCAAAAGAAAGGTTCAACTCTGTTTGCTGAGTAGATACATCATGAAAAAAGTTCTGACATTGCTTCTATCTAGTTTTTATTGGAAGATATCTCCTTTTTCACCGTAGACCTGAAAGCGCTCCAAATGTCCACTTCCAGATAGTACAAAAAGAGTGTTTCAAACCTGCTCTATGAAAGGGAATGTTCAACACTGGGACTTCAATTGAAACATCCCAAAGCAGTTTCTGAGAATGCTTCTGTCTAGAGTTTACATGAAGACATTCCCGTTTCCAACGAAATCCTCAAAGCTATCCAAATATCCTCTTGCAGATTTTACAAAAAGTGTGTTTCAGAACTGCTCTATCAAAACAAAGGTTCAACACTGTCAGTTGAGGGCACACATCACAAATAAGTTTCTGAGAATGCTTCTGTCTAGTTTTCATGGGAAGATATTTCCTTTTTCACCATAGGCCTGAAAGCGATCCAAATGTCCACATCCAGATACTACAAAAAGAGTGTTTCAAACCTGCTCTATGAAAGGGAATGTTCAACTCTGTGACTTGAATGCAAACATCACAAAGAAGTTTCTGAGAATGCTGCTGTCTGCTTTTTGTATGTAATCCCGTTTCCAACGAAATCCTCCCAGCTAGCCAAATATCCACTTGCAGATTCCGCAAAAAGAGTGTTTCAAAACTGCTCCTTCAAAACGATGGTTTAGTTCTGTTAGTTGAGTACATACATCACAGATAAGTTTCTGAGAATGCTTCTGTCTAGTTTTTATGGGAGGATATTTCCTTTTTCAACACAAGCCTGAATGCGCTCCGAATGGACACTTCCAGATATGACAAAAGGCGTGTTTCAAACCTGCTCTCTCAAAGGGAATGTTCAACTCTGTGACTTCAATGCAAACATCACAAAGAAGTTTCTGAGAATGCTGCTGTCTGCTTTTTACATGTATTCCCGTTTCCAACGAAATCCTCAAAGCTGCCCTAATATCCACTTGCATATTCCACAAAAAGAGTGTTGCAAAACTGCTCTCTCAAAAGAAAGCTTCAACTCTGTTAGCTGAGTAGATCCATCACATAAAAGTTTCTGACATTGCTTCTATCTAGATTTTCTTGGAAGATATTTCCATTTTCACCGTCGTCCTGAAAGCGCTCCAAATGTCCACTTCCAGGGAATGCAGAAAGAGTGTTTCCAACCTGCTCTATAAAAGGGAATGTTCAACACTGGGACTTCAATCGAAACATCCCAACGAAGTTTCTGAGAATGCTTCTGTCTAGAGTTTATATGAAGCCATTCCCGTTTGCAACGAAATCCTCAAAGCTATCCAAATATCCTCTTGCAGATTTTACAAAAAGAGTGTTTCAAAACTGCTCTATCAAAAGAAAGGTTCAACTCTGTTAGTTGAGGGCACACATCACAAATAAACTTCTGAGAATGCTTCTGTCTAGTTTTTACGGGAAGATATTTCCTTTTTCACCATACGCCTGAAAGCGCTCCAAATGTCCTCATCCAGATACTACAAAAAGAGTGTTTCCAACCTGCTCTATGAAAGGGAATGCTCAACTCTGTGAATTGAATGCAGACATCACAAAGAAGTTTCTGAGAATGCTGCTGTCTCCTTTGTATATGTAATCCCGTTTCCAACGAAATCCTCAAAGCTAGCCAAATATCCACTTGCAGATTCCACGAAAACAGTGTTTCAAAACTGCTCCTTCAAAACGATGGTTCAATCCTGTTAGTTGAGCAAACACATCACAATTAAGTTTCTGAGAATGCTTCCGTCTAGTTTTTATGGGAAGATATTTCCTTTTTCAACATAGGCCTGAAAGCGCTCCAAATGTCCACTTCCAGATACTACAAAAAGAGTGTTTCAAATCTGCTCTATGAATGGGAATGTTCTACTCTGTGACTTGAATGCAACATCCCAAAGAAGTTTCTGAGAATGCTTCTGTCTAGAGTTTATCTGAAGACATACCCGTTTCCAACGAAATCCTCCAAGCTATCCAAATATCCTCTTGCAGATTCTACAAAAAGAGTGTTTCAAAGCTGCTCTTTGCAAAGAAAGGTTCAACTCTGTCAGTAGAGGGGACACATCAAGAACAAGTTTCTGAGAATGCTTCTGTCTAGTTTTTATGGGAAGATATTTCCTTTTTCACGTTAGGCCTGAAAGCACGCCAAATGTTCACTTATAGACACTACAAAAAGAGTGTTTCAAACCTGCTCTGTGAAAGGGAATGTTCAACACTGTGACTTCAATTGAAACATCCCAAAGAAGTTTCTGAGAATGCTTCTGTCTAGAGTTTATCTGAAGACATTCCCGTTTCCCAAGTAAATCCTCAAAGCTATCCAAATATCCTCTTGCAGATTCTACAAAAAGAGTGTTTCAAAACTGCTCTTTGCAAAGAAAGGTTCAACTCTGTCAGTAGAGGGCACACATCACAAACAAGTTTCTGAGAATGCTTCTGTCTAGTTTTTATGGGAAGATATTTCCTTTTTCACCTTAGGCCTGAAAGCAATCCATATGTTCACTTACAGACACTACAAAAAGAGTGTTTCAAACCTGCTCTGTGAAAGGGAGTGTTCAATTCTGTGACTTGAATGCAAACATCACAAAGTAGTTTCTGACAATGCTGCTGTCTGCTTTTTATACCGTATTCCCGTTTCCAACGAAATCCTCCAAGCTGGCCTAATACCCACTTGCATATTCCACAAAAAGAGTGTTTCAAAACTGCTCTCTCAAAAGAAAGGTTCAACTCTGTTAGCTGAGTAGATACATCATGAAAAAAGTTCTGACATTGCTTCTATCTAGTTTTTATTGGAAGATATCTCCTTTTTCACCGTAGACCTGAAAGCGCTCCAAATGTCCACTTCCAGATAGTAGAAAAAGAGTGTTTCAAACCTGCTCTATGAATGGGAATGTTCAACACTGGGACTTCAATTGAAACATCCCAAAGCAGTTTCTGAGAATGCTTCTGTCTAGAGTTTACATGAAGACATTCCCGTTTCCAACGAAATCCTCAAAGCTATCCAAATATCCTCTTGCAGATTTTACAAAAAGTGTGTTTCAGAACTGCTCTATCAAAACAAAGGTTCAACACTGTCAGTTGAGGGCACACATCACAAATAAGTTTCTGAGAATGCTTCTGTCTAGTTTTCATGGGAAGATATTTCCTTTTTCACCATAGGCCTGAAAGCGATCCAAATGTCCACATCCAGATACTACAAAAAGAGTGTTTCAAACCTGCTCTATGAAAGGGAATGTTCAACTCTGTGACTTGAATGCAAACATCACAAAGAAGTTTCTGAGAATGCTGCTGTCTGCTTTTTGTATGTAATCCCGTTTCCAACGAAATCCTCCCAGCTAGCCAAATATCCACTTGCAGATTCCGCAAAAAGAGTGTTTCAAAACTGCCCTTCAAAACGATGGTTTAGTTCTGTTAGTTGAGTACATACATCACAGATAAGTTTCTGAGAATGCTTCTGTCTAGTTTTTATGGGAGGATATTTCCTTTTTCAACACAAGCCTGAATGCGCTCCGAATGGACACTTCCAGATATGACAAAAGGCGTGTTTCAAACCTGCTCTCTCAAAGGGGATGTTCAACTCTGTGACTTCAATGCAAACATCACAAAGAAGTTTCTGAGAATGCTGCTGTCTGCTTTTTACATGTATTCCCGTTTCCAACGAAATCCTCAAAGCTGCCCTAATATCCACTTGCATATTCCACAAAAAGAGTGTTGCAAAACTGCTCTCTCAAAAGAAAGGTTCAACTCTGTTAGCTGAGTAGATCCATCACATAAAAGTTTCTGACGTTGCTTCTATCTAGATTTTCTTGGAAGATATTTCCATTTTCACCGTCGTCCTGAAAGCGCTCCAAATGTCCACTTCCAGGGAATGCAGAAAGAGTGTTTCCAACCTGCTCTATAAAAGGGAATGTTCAACACTGGGACTTCAATCGAAACATCCCAACGAAGTTTCTGAGAATGCTTCTGTCTAGAGTTTATATGAAGCCATTCCCGTTTGCAACGAAATCCTCAAAGCTATCCAAATATCCTCTTGCAGATTTTACAAAAAGAGTGTTTCAAAACTGCTCTATCAAAAGAAAGGTTCAACTCTGTTAGTTGAGGGCACACATCACAAATAAATTTCTGAGAATGCTTCTGTCTAGTTTTTACGGGAAGATATTTCCTTTTTCACCATACGCCTGAAAGCGCTCCAAATGTCCTCATCCAGATACTACAAAAAGAGTGTTTCCAACCTGCTCTATGAAAGGGAATGCTCAACTCTGTGACTTGAATGCAGACATCACAAAGAAGTTTCTGAGAATGCTGCTGTCTCCTTTGTATATGTAATCCCGTTTCCAACGAAATCCTCAAAGCTAGCCAAATATCCACTTGCAGATTCCACGAAAACAGTGTTTCAAAACTGCTCCTACAAAACGATGGTTCAATTCTGTTAGTTGAGCAAACACATCACAAGTAAGTTTCTGAGAATGCTTCCGTCTAGTTTTTATGGGAAGATATTTCCTTTTTCAACATAGGCCTGAAAGCGCTCCAAATGTCCACTTCCAGATACTACAAAAAGAGTGTTTCAAATCTGCTGTATGAATGGGAATGTTCTACTCTGTGACTTGAATGCAACATCCCAAAGAAGTTTCTGAGAATGCTTCTGTCTAGAGTTTATCTGAAGACATACCCGTTTCCAACGAAATCCTCAAAGCTATCCAAATATCCTCTTGCAGATTCTACAAAAAGAGTGTTTCAAAGCTGCTCTTTGCAAAGAAAGGTTCAACTCTGTCAGTAGAGGGCACACATCACGAACAAGTTTCTGAGAATGCTTCTGTCTAGTTTTTATGGGAAGATATTTCCTTTTTCACGTTAGGCCTGAAAGCACGCCAAATGTTCACTTATAGACACTACAAAAAGAGTGTTTCAAACCTGCTCTGTGAAAGGGAATGTTCAACACTGTGACTTCAATTGAAACATCCCAAAGAAGTTTCTGAGAATGCTTCTGTCTAGAGTTTATCTGAAGACATACCCGTTTCCAACGAAATCCTCAAAGCTATCCACATATCCTCTTGCAGATTCTACAAAAAGAGTGTTTCAAAGCTGCTCTTTGCAAAGAAAGGTTCAACTCTGTCAGTAGAGGGCACACATCACGAACAAGTTTCTGAGAATGCTTCTGTCTAGTTTTTATGGGAAGATATTTCCTTTCTCACGTTAGGCCTGAAAGCACGCCAAATGTTCAATTATAGACACTACAAAAAGAGTGTTTCAAACCTGCTCTGTGAAAGGGAATGTTCAACACTGTGACTTCAATTGAAACATCCCAAAGAAGTTTCTGAGAATGCTTCTGTCTAGAGTTTATCTGAAGACATTCCCGTTTCCCAAGAAATCCTCAAAGCTATCCAAATATCCTCTTGCAGATTCTACAAAAAGAGTGTTTCAAAACTGCTCTTTGCAAAGAAAGTTTCAACTCTGTCAGTAGAGGGCACACATCACAAACAAGTTTCTGAGAATGCTTCTGTCTAGTTTTTATGGGAAGATATTTCCTTTTTCACCTTAGGCCTGAAAGCAATCCAAATGTTCACTTACAGACACTACAAAAAGAGTGTTTCAAACCTGCTCTGTGAAAGGGAGTGTTCAATTCTGTGACTTGAATGCAAACATCACAAAGTAGTTTCTGACAATGCTGCTGTCTGCTTTTTATACGTATTCCCGTTTCCAACGAAATCCTCCAAGCTGGCCTAATACCCACTTGCATATTCCACAAAAAGAGTGTTTCAAAACTGCTCTCTCAAAAGAAAGGTTCAACTCTGTTTGCTGAGTAGATACATCACGAAAAAAGTTCTGACATTGCTTCTATCTAGTTTTTATTGGAAGATATCTCCTTTTTCACCGTAGACCTGAAAGCGCTCCAAATGTCCACTTCCAGATAGTACAAAAAGAGTGTTTCAAACCTGCTCTATGAAAGGGAATGTTCAACACTGGGACTTCAATTGAAACATCCCAAAGCAGTTTCTGAGAATGCTTCTGTCCAGAGTTTACATGAAGACATTCCCGTTTCCAACGAAATCCTCAAAGCTATCCAAATATCCTCTTGCAGATTTTACAAAAAGTGTGTTTCAGAACTGCTCTATCAAAACAAAGGTTCAACACTGTCAGTTGAGGGCACACATCACAAATAAGTTTCTGAGAATGCTTCTGTCTAGTTTTCATGGGAAGATATTTCCTTTTTCACCATAGGCCTGAAAGCGATCCAAATGTCCACATCCAGATACTACAAAAAGAGTGTTTCAAACCTGCTCTATGAAAGGGAATGTTCAACTCTGTGACTTGAATGCAAACATCACAAAGAAGTTTCTGAGAATGCTGCTGTCTGCTTTTTGTATGTAATCCCGTTTCCAACGAAATCCTCCCAGCTAGCCAAATATCCACTTGCAGATTCCGCAAAAAGAGTGTTTCAAAACTGCTCCTTCAAAACGATGGTTTAGTTCTGTTAGTTGAGTACATACATCACAGATAAGTTTCTGAGAATGCTTCTGTCTAGTTTTTCTGGGAGGATATTTCCTTTTTCAACACAAGCCTGAATGCGCTCCGAATGGACACTTCCAGATATGACAAAAGGCGTGTTTCAAACCTGCTCTCTCAAAGGGAATGTTCAACTCTGTGACTTCAATGCAAACATCACAAAGAAGTTTCTGAGAATGCTGCTGTCTGCTTTTTACATGTATTCCCGTTTCCAACGAAATCCTCAAAGCTGCCCTAATATCCACTTGCATATTCCACAAAAAGAGTGTTGCAAAACTGCTCTCTCAAAAGAAAGGTTCAACTCTGTTAGCTGAGTAGATCCATCACAGAAAAGTTTCTGACGTTGCTTCTATCTAGATTTTCTTGGAAGATATTTCCATTTTCACCGTCGTCCTGAAAGCGCTCCAAATGTCCACTTCCAGGGAATGCAGAAAGAGTGTTTCCAACCTGCTCTATAAAAGGGAATGTTCAACACTGGGACTTCAATCGAAACATCCCAACGAAGTTTCTGAGAATGCTTCTGTCTAGAGTTTATATGAAGCCATTCCCGTTTGCAACGAAATCCTCAAAGCTATCCAAATATCCTCTAGCAGATTTTACAAAAAGAGTGTTTCAAAACTGCTGTATCAAAAGAAAAGTTCAACTCTGTTAGTTGAGGGCACACATCACAAATAAATTTCTGAGAATGCTTCTGTCTAGTTTTTACGGGAAGATATTTCCTTTTTCACCATAGGCCTGAAAGCGCTCCAAATGTCCTCATCCAGATACTACAAAAAGAGTGTTTCCAACCTGCTCTATGAAAGGGAATGCTCAACTCTGTGAATTGAATGCAGACATCACAAAGAAGTTTCTGAGAATGCTGCTGTCTCCTTTTTATATGTAATCCCGTTTCCAACGAAATCCTCAAAGCTAGCCAAATATCCACTTGCAGATTCCACGAAAACAGTGTTTCAAAACTGCTCCTTTAAAACGATGGTTCAATTCTGTTAGTTGAGCAAACACATCACAAGTAAGTTTCTGAGAATGCTTCCGTCTAGTTTTTATGGGAAGATATTTCCTTTTTCAACATAGGCCTGAAAGCGCTCCAAATGTCCACTTCCAGATACTACAAAAAGAGTGTTTCAAATCTGCTCTATGAATGGGAATGTTCTACTCTGTGACTTGAATGCAACATCCCAAAGAAGTTTCTGAGAATGCTTCTGTCTAGAGTTTATCTGAAGACATACCCGTTTCCAACGAAATCCTCAAAGCTATCCAAATATCCTCTTGCAGATTCTACAAAAAGTGTGTTTCAAAGCTGCTCTTTGCAAAGAAAGGTTCAACTCTGTCAGTAGAGGGCACACATCACGAACAAGTTTCTGAGAATGCTTCTGTCTAGTTTTTATGGGAAGATATTTCCTTTTTCACGTTACGCCTGAAAGCACGCCAAATGTTCACTTATAGACACTACAAAAAGAGTGTTTCAAACCTGCTCTGTGAAAGGGAATGTTCAACACTGTGACTTCAATTGAAACATCCCAAAGAAGTTTCTGAGAATGCTTCCTGTCTAGAGTTTATCTGAAGACATTCCCGTTTCCCAAGAAATCTTCAAAGCTATCCAAATATCCTCTTGCAGATTCTACAAAAAGAGTGTTTCAAAACTGCTCTTTGCAAAGAAAGGTTCAACTCTGTCAGTAGAGGGCACACATCACAAACAAGTTTCTGAGAATGCTTCTGTCTAGTTTTTATGGGAAGATATTTCCTTTTTCACCTTAGGCCTGAAAGCAATCCAAATGTTCACTTACAGACACTACAAAAAGAGTGTTTCAAACCTGCTCTGTGAAAGGGAGTGTTCAATTCTGTGACTTGAATGCAAACATCACAAAGTAGTTTCTGACAATGCTGCTGTCTGCTTTTTATACGTATTCCCGTTTCCAACGAAATCCTCCAAGCTGGCCTAATACCCACTTGCATATTCCACAAAAAGAGTGTTTCAAAACTGCTCTCTCAAAAGAAAGGTTCAACTCTGTTTGCTGAGTAGATACATCATGAAAAAAGTTCTGACATTGCTTCTATCTAGTTTTTATTGGAAGATATCTCCTTTTTCACCGTAGACCTGAAAGCGCTCCAAATGTCCACTTCCAGATAGTACAAAAAGAGTGTTTCAAACCTGCTCTATGAATGGGAATGTTCAACACTGGGACTTCAATTGAAACATCCCAAAGCAGTTTCTGAGAATGCTTCTGTCTAGAGTTTACATGAAGACATTCCCGTTTCCAACGAAATCCTCAAAGCTATCCAAATATCCTCTTGCAGATTTTACAAAAAGTGTGTTTCAGAACTGCTCTATCAAAACAAAGGTTCAACACTGTCAGTTGAGGGCACACATCACAAATAAGTTTCTGAGAATGCTTCTGTCTAGTTTTCATGGGAAGATATTTCCTTTTTCACCATAGGCCTGAAAGCGATCCAAATGTCCACATCCAGATACTACAAAAAGAGTGTTTCAAACCTGCTCTATGAAAGGGAATGTTCAACTCTGTGACTTGAATGCAAACATCACAAAGAAGTTTCTGAGAATGCTGCTGTCTCCTTTTTATATGTAATCCCGTTTCCAACGAAATCCTCAAAGCTAGCCAAATATCCACTTGCAGATTCCACGAAAACTGTGTTTCAAAACTGCTCCTTCAAAACGATGGTTCAATCCTGTTAGTTGAGCAAACACATCACAAGTAAGTTTCTGAGAATGCTTCCCGTCTAGTTTTTATGGGAAGATATTTCCTTTTTCAACATAGGCCTGAAAGCGCTCCAAATGTCCACTTCCAGATACTACAAAAAGAGTGTTTCAAATCTGCTCTATGCATGGGAATGTTCTACTCTGTGACTTGAATGCAACATCCCAAAGAAGTTTCTGAGAATGTTTCTGTCTAGAGTTTATCTGAAGACATACCCGTTTCCAACGAAATCCTCCAAGCTATCCAAATATCCTCTTGCAGATTCTACAAAAAGAGTGTTTCAAAGCTGCTCTTTGCAAAGAAAGGTTCAACTCTCTCAGTAGAGGGGACACATCAAGAACAAGTTTCTGAGAATGCTTCTGTCTAGTTTTTATGGGAAGATATTTCCTTTTTCACGTTAGGCCTGAAAGCACGCCAAATGTTCACTTATAGACACTACAAAAAGAGTGTTTCAAACCTGCTCTGTGAAAGGGAATGTTCAACACTGTGACTTCAATTGAAACATCCCAAAGAAGTTTCTGAGAATGCTTCTGTCTAGAGTTTATCTGAAGACATTCCCGTTTCCCAAGAAATCCTCAAAGCTATCCAAATATCCTCTTGCAGATTCTACAAAAAGAGTGTTTCAAAACTGGTCTTTGCAAAGAAAGGTTCAACTCTGTCAGTAGAGGGCACACATCACAAACAAGTTTCTGAGAATGCTTCTGTCTAGTTTTTATGGGAAGATATTTCCTTTTTCACCTTAGGCCTGAAAGCAATCCATATGTTCACTTACAGACACTACAAAAAGAGTGTTTCAAACCTGCTCTGTGAAAGGGAGTGTTCAATTCTGTGACTTGAATGCAAACATCACAAAGTAGTTTCTGACAATGCTGCTGTCTGCTTTTTATACGTATTCCCGTTTCCAACGAAATCCTCCAAGCTGGCCTAATACCCACTTGCATATTCCACAAAAAGAGTGTTTCAAAACTGCTCTCTCAAAAGAAAGGTTCAACTCTGTGTGCTGAGTAGATACATCATGAAAAAAGTTCTGACATTGCTTCTATCTAGTTTTTATTGGAAGATATCTCCTTTTTCACCGTAGACCTGAAAGCGCTCCAAATGTCCACTTCCAGATAGTACAAAAAGAGTGTTTCAAACCTGCTCTATGAATGGGAATGTTCAACACTGGGACTTCAATTGAAACATCCCAAAGCAGTTTCTGAGAATGCTTCTGTGTAGAGTTTACATGAAGACATTCCCGTTTCCAACGAAATCCTCAAAGCTATCCAAATATCCTCTTGCAGATTTTACAAAAAGTGTGTTTCAGAACTGCTCTATCAAAACAAAGGTTCAACACTGTCAGTTGAGGGCACACATCACAAATAAGTTTCTGAGAATGCTTCTGTCTAGTTTTCATGGGAAGATATTTCCTTTTTCACCATAGGCCTGAAAGCGAACCAAATGTCCACATCCAGATACTACAAAAAGAGTGTTTCCAACCTGCTCTATGAAAGGGAATGCTCAGCTTCTGTGAATTGAATGCAGACATCACAAAGAAGTTTCTCAGAATGCTGCTGTCTGCTTTTTGTATGTAATCCCGTTTCCAACGAAATCCTCCCAGCTAGCCAAATATCCACTTGCAGATTCCGCAAAAAGAGTGTTTCAAAACTGCTCCTTCAAAACGATGGTTTAGTTCTGTTAGTTGAGTACATACATCACAGATAAGTTTCTGAGAATGCTTCTGTCTAGTTTTTCTGGGAGGATATTTCCTTTTTCAACACAAGCCTGAATGCGCTCCGAATGGACACTTCCAGATATGACAAAAGGCGTGTTTCAATCCTGCTCTCTCAAAGGGAATGTTCAACTCTGTGACTTCAATGCAAACATCACAAAGAAGTTTCTGAGAATGCTGCTGTCTGCTTTTTACATGTATTCCCGTTTCCAACGAAATCCTCAAAGCTGCCCTAATATCCACTTGCATATTCCACAAAAAGAGTGTTGCAAAACTGCTCTCTCAAAAGAAAGGTTCAACTCTGTTAGCTGAGTAGATCCATCACATAAAAGTTTCTGACGTTGCTTCTATCTAGATTTTCTTGGAAGATATTTCCATTTTCACCGTCGTCCTGAAAGCGCTCCAAATGTACACTTCCAGGGAATGCAGAAAGAGTGTTTCCAACCTGCTCTATAAAAGGGAATGTTCAACACTGGGACTTCAATCGAAACATCCCAACGAAGTTTCTGAGAATGCTTTCTGTCTAGAGTTTATATGAAGCCATTCCCGTTTGCAACGAAATCCTCAAAGCTATCCAAATATCCTCTTGCAGATTTTACAAAAAGAGTGTTTCAAAACTGCTCTATCAAAAGAAAGGTTCAACTCTGTTAGTTGAGGGCACACATCACAAATAAACTTCTGAGAATGCTTCTGTCTAGTTTTTACAGGGAAGATATTTCCTTTTTCACCATACGCCTGAAAGCGCTCCAAATGTCCTCATCCAGATACTACAAAAAGAGTGTTTCCAACCTGCTCTATGAAAGGGAATGCTCAACTCTGTGAATTGAATGCAGACATCACAAAGAAGTTTCTGAGAATGCTGCTGTCTCCTTTGTATATGTAATCCCGTTTCCAACGAAATCCTCAAAGCTAGCCAAATATCCACTTGCAGATTCCACGAAAACAGTGTTTCAAAACTGCTCCTTCAAAACGATGGTTCAATCCTGTTAGTTGAGCAAACACATCACAAATAAGTTTCTGAGAATGCTTCCGTCTAGTTTTTATGGGAAGATATTTCCTTTTTCAACATAGGCCTGAAAGCGCTCCAAATGTCCACTTCCAGATACTACAAAAAGAGTGTTTCAAATCTGCTCTATGAATGGGAATGTTCTACTCTGTGACTTGAATGCAACATCCCAAAGAAGTTTCTGAGAATGCTTCTGTCTAGAGTTTATCTGAAGACATACCCGTTTCCAACGAAATCCTCAAAGCTATCCAAATATCCTCTTGCAGATTCTACAAAAAGTGTGTTTCAAAGCTGCTCTTTGCAAAGAAAGGTTCAACTCTGTCAGTAGAGGGCACACATCACGAACAAATTTCTGAGAATGCTTCTATCTAGTTTTTATGGGAAGATATTTCCTTTTTCACGTTAGGCCTGAAAGTACGCCAAATGTTCACTTATAGACACTACAAAAAGAGTGTTTCAAACCTGCTCTGTGAAAGGGAATGTTCAACACTGTGACTTCAATTGAAACATCCCAAAGAAGTTTCTGAGAATGCTTCTGTCTAGAGTTTATCTGAAGACATTCCCGTTTCCCAAGAAATCCTCAAAGCTATCCAAATATCCTCTTGCAGATTCTACAAAAAGAGTGTTTCAAAACTGGTCTTTGCAAAGAAAGGTTCAACTCTGTCAGTAGAGGGCACACATCACAAACAAGTTTCTGAGAATGCTTCTGTCTAGTTTTTATGGGAAGATATTTCCTTTTTCACCTTAGGCCTGAAAGCAATCCAAATGTTCACTTACAGACACTACAAAAAGAGTGTTTCAAACCTGCTCTGTGAAAGGGAGTGTTCAATTCTGTGACTTGAATGCAAACATCACAAAGTAGTTTCTGAGAATGCTGCTGTCCGCTTTTTATACGTATTCCCGTTTCCAACGAAATCCTCCAAGCTGGCCTAATACCCACTTGCATATTCCACAAAAGGAGTGTTTCAAAACTGCTCTCTCAAAAGAAAGGTTCAACTCTGTTTGCTGAGTAGATACATCATGAAAAAAGTTCTGACATTGCTTCTATCTAGTTTTTATTGGAAGATATCTCCTTTTTCACCGTAGACCTGAAAGCGCTCCAAATGTCCACTTCCAGATACTACAAAAAGAGTGTTTCAAACCTGCTCTATGAATGGGAATGTTCAACACTGGGACTTCAATTGAAACATCCCAAAGCAGTTTCTGAGAATGCTTCTGTGTAGAGTTTACATGAAGACATTCCCGTTTCCAACGAAATCCTCAAAGCTATCCAAATATCCTCTTGCAGATTTTACAAAAAGTGTGTTTCAGAACTGCTCTATCAAAACAAAGGTTCAACACTGTCAGTTGAGGGCACACATCACAAATAAGTTTCTGAGAATGCTTCTGTCTAGTTTTCATGGGAAGATATTTCCTTTTTCACCATAGGCCTGAAAGCGATCCAAATGTCCACATCCAGATACTACAAAAAGAGTGTTTCAAACCTGCTCTATGAAAGGGAATGTTCAACTCTGTGACTTGAATGCAAACATCACAAAGAAGTTTCTGAGAATGCTGCTGTCTGCTTTTTGTATGTAATCCCGTTTCCAACGAAATCCTCCCAGCTAGCCAAATATCCACTTGCAGATTCCGCAAAAAGAGTGTTTCAAAACTGCTCCTTCAAAACGATGGTTTAGTTCTGTTAGTTGAGTACATACATCACAGATAAGTTTCTGAGAATGCTTCTGTCTAGTTTTTATGGGAGGATATTTCCTTTTTCAACACAAGCCTGAATGCGCTCCGAATGGACACTTCCAGATATGACAAAAGGCGTGTTTCAAACCTGCTCTCTCAAAGGGAATGTTCAACTCTGTGACTTCAATGCAAACATCACAAAGAAGTTTCTGAGAATGCTGCTGTCTGCTTTTTACATGTATTCCCGTTTCCAACGAAATCCTCAAAGCTGCCCTAATATCCACTTGCATATTCCACAAAAAGAGTGTTGCAAAACTGCTCTCTCAAAAGAAAGGTTCAACTCTGTTAGCTGAGTAGATCCATCACAGAAAAGTTTCTGACGTTGCTTCTATCTAGATTTTATTGGAAGATATTTCCATTTTCACCGTCGTCCTGAAAGCGCTCCAAATGTCCACTTCCAGGGAATGCAGAAAGAGTGTTTCCAACCTGCTCTATAAAAGGGAATGTTCAACACTGGGACTTCAATCAAAACATCCCAACGAAGTTTCTGAGAATGCTTCTGTCTAGAGTTTATATGAAGCCATTCCCGTTTGCAACGAAATCCTCAAAGCTATCCAAATATCCTCTTGCAGATTTTACAAAAAGAGTGTTTCAAAACTGCTCTATCAAAAGAAAGGTTCAACTCTGTTAGTTGAGGGCACACATCACAAATAAATTTCTGAGAATGCTTCTGTCTAGTTTTTACGGGAAGATATTTCCTTTTTCACCATACGCCTGAAAGCGCTCCAAATGTCCTCATCCAGATACTACAAAAAGAGTGTTTCCAACCTGCTCTATGAAAGGGAATGCTCAACTCTGTGAATTGAATGCAGACATCACAAAGAAGTTTCTGAGAATGCTGCTGTCTCCTTTGTATATGTAATCCCATTTCCAACGAAATCCTCAAAGCTAGCCAAATATCCACTTGCAGATTCCACGAAAACAGTGTTTCAAAACTGCTCCTTCAAAACGATGGTTCAATCCTGTTAGTTGAGCAAACACATCACAAATAAGTTTCTGAGAATGCTTCCGTCTAGTTTTTATGGGAAGATATTTCCTTTTTCAACATAGGCCTGAAAGCGCTCCAAATGTCCACTTCCAGATACTACAAAAAGAGTGTTTCAAATCTGCTCTATGAATGGGAATGTTCTACTCTGTGACTTGAATGCAACATCCCAAAGAAGTTTCTGAGAATGCTTCTGTCTAGAGTTTATCTGAAGACATACCCGTTTCCAACGAAATCCTCCAAGCTATCCAAATATCCTCTTGCAGATTCTACAAAAAGAGTGTTTCAAAGCTGCTCTTTGCAAAGAAAGGTTCAACTCTGTCAGTAGAGGGGACACATCAAGAACAAGTTTCTGAGAATGCTTCTGTCTAGTTTTTTTGGGAAGATATTTCCTTTTTCACGTTAGGCCTGAAAGCACGCCAAATGTTCACTTATAGACACTACAAAAAGAGTGTTTCAAACCTGCTCTGTGAAAGGGAATGTTCAACACTGTGACTTCAATTGAAACATCGCAAAGAAGTTTCTGAGAATGCTTCTGTCTAGAGTTTATCTGAAGACATTCCCGTTTCCCAAGAAATCCTCAAAGCTATCCAAATATCCTCTTGCAGATTCTACAAAAAGAGTGTTTCAAAACTGCTCTTTGCAAAGAAAGGTTCAACTCTGTCAGTAGAGGGCACACATCACAAACAAGTTTCTGAGAATGCTTCTGTCTAGTTTTTATGGGAAGATATTTCCTTTTTCACCTTAGGCCTGAAAGCAATCCAAATGTTCACTTACAGACACTACAAAAAGAGTGTTTCAAACCTGCTCTGTGAAAGGGAGTGTTCAATTCTGTGACTTGAATGCAAACATCACAAAGTAGTTTCTGACAATGCTGCTGTCTGCTTTTTATACGTATTCCCGTTTCCAACGAAATCCTCCAAGCTGGCCTAATACCCACTTGCATATTCCACAAAAAGAGTGTTTCAAAACTGCTCTCTCAAAAGAAAGGTTCAACTCTGTTTGCTGAGTAGATACATCATGAAAAAAGTTCTGACATTGCTTCTATCTAGTTTTTATTTTAAGATATCTCCTTTTTCACCGTAGACCTGAAAGCGCTCCAAATGTCCACTTCCAGATAGTACAAAAAGAGTGTTTCAAACCTGCTCTATGAATGGGAATGTTCAACACTGGGACTTCAATTGAAACATCCCAAAGCAGTTTCTGAGAATGCTTCTGTCTAGAGTTTACATGAAGACATTCCCGTTTCCAACGAAATCCTCAAAGCTATCCAAATATCCTCTTGCAGATTTTACAAAAAGTGTGTTTCAGAACTGCTCTATCAAAACAAAGGTTCAACACTGTCAGTTGAGGGCACACATCACAAATAAGTTTCTGAGAATGCTTCTGTCTAGTTTTCATGGGAAGATATTTCCTTTTTCACCATACGCCTGAAAGCGATCCAAATGTCCACATCCAGATACTACAAAAAGAGTGTTTCCAACCTGCTCTATGAAAGGGAATGCTCAACTCTGTGACTTGAATGCAAACATCACAAAGAAGTTTCTGAGAATGCTGCTGTCTGCTTTTTGTATGTAATCCCGTTTCCAACGAAATCCTCCCAGCTAGCCAAATATCCACTTGCAGATTCCGCAAAAAGAGTGTTTCAAAACTGCTCCTTCAAAACGATGGTTTAGTTCTGTTAGTTGAGTACATACATCACAGATAAGTTTCTGAGAATGCTTCTGTCTAGTTTTTATGGGAGGATATTTCCTTTTTCAACACAAGCCTGAATGCGCTCCGAATGGACACTTCCAGATATGACAAAAGGCGTGTTTCAAACCTGCTCTCTCAAAGGGAATGTTCAACTGCTGTGACTTCAATGCAAACATCACAAAGAAGTTTCTGAGAATGCTGCTGTCTGCTTTTTACATGTATTCCCGTTTCCAACGAAATCCTCAAAGCTGCCCTAATATCCACTTGCATATTCCACAAAAAGAGTGTTGCAAAACTGCTCTCTCAAAAGAAAGGTTCAACTCTGTTAGCTGAGTAGATCCATCACATAAAAGTTTCTGACATTGCTTCTATCTAGATTTTCTTGGAAGATATTTCCATTTTCACCGTCGTCCTGAAAGCGCTCCAAATGTCCACTTCCAGGGAATGCAAAAAGAGTGTTTCCAACCTGCTCTATAAAAGGGAATGTTCAACACTGGGACTTCAATCGAAACATCCCAACGAAGTTTCTGAGAATGCTTCTGTCTAGAGTTTATATGAAGCCATTCCCGTTTGCAACGAAATCCTCAAAGCTATCCAAATATCCTCTTGCAGATTTTACAAAAAGAGTGTTTCAAAACTGCTCTATCAAAAGAAAGGTTCAACTCTGTTAGTTGAGGGCACACATCACAAATAAACTTCTGAGAATGCTTCTGTCTAGTTTTTACGGGAAGATATTTCCTTTTTCACCATACGCCTGAAAGCGCTCCAAATGTCCTCATCCAGATACTACAAAAAGAGTGTTTCCAACCTGCTCTATGAAAGGGAATGCTCAACTCTGTGAATTGAATGCAGACATCACAAAGAAGTTTCTGAGAATGCTGCTGTCTCCTTTTTATATGTAATCCCGTTTCCAACGAAATCCTCAAAGCTAGCCAAATATCCACTTGCAGATTCCACGAAAACAGTGTTTCAAAACTGCTCCTTCAAAACGATGGTTCAATCCTGTTAGTTGAGCAAACACATCACAAATAAGTTTCTGAGAATGCTTCCGTCTAGTTTTTATGGGAAGATATTTCCTTTTTCAACATAGGCCTGAAAGCGCTCCAAATGTCCACTTCCAGATACTACAAAAAGAGTGTTTCAAATCTGCTCTATGAATGGGAATGTTCTACTCTGTGACTTGCATGCAACATCCCAAAGAAGTTTCTGAGAATGCTTCTGTCTAGAGTTTATCTGAAGACATACCCGTTTCCAACGAAATCCTCAAAGCTATCCAAATATCCTCTTGCAGATTCTACAAAAAGTGTGTTTCAAAGCTGCTCTTTGCAAAGAAAGGTTCAACTCTGTCAGTAGAGGGCACACATCACGAACAAATTTCTGAGAATGCTTCTGTCTAGTTTTTATGGGAAGATATTTCCTTTTTCACGTTAGGCCTGAAAGCACGCCAAATGTTCACTTATAGACACTACAAAAAGAGTGTTTGAAACCTGCTCTGTGAAAGGGAATGTTCAACACTGTGACTTCAATTGAAACATCCCAAAGAAGTTTCTGAGAATGCTTCTGTCTAGAGTTTATCTGAAGACATTCCCGTTTCCCAAGAAATCCTCAAAGCTATCCAAATATCCTCTTGCAGATTCTACAAAAAGACTGTTTCAAAACTGCTCTTTGCAAAGAAAGGTTCAACTCTGTCAGTAGAGGGCACACATCACAAACAAGTTTCTGAGAATGCTTCTGTCTAGTTTTTATGGGAAGATATTTCCTTTTTCACCTTAGGCCTGAAAGCAATCCAAATGTTCACTTACAGACACTACAAAAAGAGTGTTTCAAACCTGCTCTGTGAAAGGGAGTGTTCAATTCTGTGACTTGAATGCAAACATCACAAAGTAGTTTCTGACAATGCTGCTGTCTGCTTTTTATACGTATTCCCGTTTCCAACGAAATCCTCCAAGCTGGCCTAATACCCACTTGCATATTCCACAAAGACAGTGTCAAAACTGCTCTCTCAAAAGAAAGGTTCAACTCTGTTTGCTGAGTAGATACATCATGAAAAAAGTTCTGACATTGCTTCTATCTAGTTTTTATTGTAAGATATCTCCTTTTTCACCGTAGACCTGAAAGCGCTCCAAATGTCCACTTCCAGATAGTAGAAAAAGAGTGTTTCAAACCTGCTCTATGAATGGGAATGTTCAACACTGGGACTTCAATTGAAACATCCCAAAGCAGTTTCTGAGAATGCTTCTGTCTAGAGTTTACATGAAGACATTCCCGTTTCCAACGAAATCCTCAAAGCTATCCAAATATCCTCTTGCAGATTTTACAAAAATTGTGTTTCAGAACTGCTCTATCAAAACAAAGGTTCAACACTGTCAGTTGAGTGCACACATCACAAATAAGTTTCTGAGAATGCTTCTGTCTAGTTTTCATGGGAAGATATTTCCTTTTTCACCATAGGCCTGAAAGCGATCCAAATGTCCACATCCAGATACTACAAAAAGAGTGTTTCCAACCTGCTCTATGAAAGGGAATGCTCAACTCTGTGAATTGAATGCAGACATCACAAAGAAGTTTCTGAGAATGCTGCTGTCTCCTTTTTATATGTAATCCCGTTTCCAACGAAATCCTCAAAGCTAGCCAAATATCCACTTGCAGATTCCACGAAAACAGTGTTTCAAAACTGCTCCTTCAAAACGATGGTTCAATCCTGTTAGTTGAGCAAACACATCACAAATAAGTTTCTGAGATTGCTTCCGTCTAGTTTTTATGGGAAGATATTTCCTTTTTCAACATAGGCCTGAAAGCGCTCCAAATGTCCACTTCCAGATACTACAAAAAGAGTGTTTCAAATCTGCTCTATGAATGGGAATGTTCTACTCTGTGACTTGAATGCAACATCCCAAAGAAGTTTCTGAGAATGCTTCTGTCTAGAGTTTATCTGAAGACATACCCGTTTCCAACGAAATCCTCCAAGCTATCCAAATATCCTCTTGCAGATTCTACAAAAAGAGTGTTTCAAAGCTGCTCTTTGCAAAGAAAGGTTCAACTCTGTCAGTAGAGGGCACACATCACGAACAAGTTTCTGAGAATGCTTCTGTCTAGTTTTGTATGGGAAGATATTTCCTTTTTCACGTTAGGCCTGAAAGCACGCCAAATGTTCAATTATAGACACTACAAAAAGAGTGTTTCAAACCTGCTCTGTGAAAGGGAATGTTCAACACTGTGACTTCAATTGAAACATCCCAAAGAAGTTTCTGAGAATGCTTCTGTCTAGAGTTTATCTGAAGACATTCCCGTTTCCCAAGAAATCCTCAAAGCTATCCAAATATCCTCTTGCAGATTCTACAAAAAGAGTGTTTCAAAACTGCTCTTTGCAAAGAAAGGTTCAACTCTGTCAGTAGAGGGCACACATCACAAACAAGTTTCTGAGAATGCTTCTGTCTAGTTTTTATGGGAAGATATTTCCTTTTTCACCTTAGGCCTGAAAGCAATCCAAATGTTCACTTACAGACACTACAAAAAGAGTGTTTCAAACCTGCTCTGTGAAAGGGAGTGTTCAGTTCTGTGACTTGAATGCAAACATCACAAAGTAGTTTCTGACAATGCTGCTGTCTGCTTTTTATACGTATTCCCGTTTCCAACGAAATCCTCCAAGCTGGCCTAATACCCACTTTCATATTCCACAAAAAGAGTGTTTCAAAACTGCTCTCTCAAAAGAAAGGTTCAACTCTGTTTGCTGAGTAGATACATCATGAAAAAAGTTCTGACATTGCTTCTATCTAGTTTTTATTGGAAGATATCTCCTTTTTCACCGTAGACCTGAAAGCGCTCCAAATGTCCACTTCCAGATAGTACAAAAAGAGTGTTTCAAACCTGCTCTATGAATGGGAATGTTCAACACTGGGACTTCAATTGAAACATCCCAAAGCAGTTTCTGAGAATGCTTCTGTGTAGAGTTTACATGAAGACATTCCCGTTTCCAACGAAATCCTCAAAGCTATCCAAATATCCTCTTGCAGATTTTACAAAAAGTGTGTTTCAGAACTGCTCTATCAAAACAAAGGTTCAACACTGTCAGTTGAGGGCACACATCACAAATAAGTTTCTGAGAATGCTTCTGTCTAGTTTTCATGGGAAGATATTTCCTTTTTCACCATAGGCCTGAAAGCGATCCAAATGTCCACATCCAGATACTACAAAAAGAGTGTTTCAAACCTGCTCTATGAAAGGGAATGTTCAACTCTGTGACTTGAATGCAAACATCACAAAGAAGTTTCTGAGAATGCTGCTGTCTGCTTTTTGTATGTAATCCCGTTTCCAACGAAATCCTCCCAGCTAGCCAAATATCCACTTGCAGATTCCGCAAAAAGAGTGTTTCAAAACTGCTCCTTCAAAACGATGGTTTAGTTCTGTTAGTTGAGTACATACATCACAGATAAGTTTCTGAGAATGCTTCTGTCTAGTTTTTATGGGAGGATATTTCCTTTTTCAACACAAGCCTGAATGCGCTCCGAATGGACACTTCCAGATATGACAAAAGGCGTGTTTCAAACCTGCTCTCTCAAAGGGAATGTTCAACTCTGTGACTTCAATGCAAACATCACAAAGAAGTTTCTGAGAATGCTGCTGTCTGCTTTTTACATGTATTCCCGTTTCCAACGAAATCCTCAAAGCTGCCCTAATATCCACTTGCATATTCCACAAAAAGAGTGTTGCAAAACTGCTCTCTCAAAAGAAAGGTTCAACTCTGTTAGCTGAGTAGATCCATCACAGAAAAGTTTCTGACGTTGCTTCTATCTAGATTTTCTTGGAAGATATTTCCATTTTCACCGTCGTCCTGAAAGCGCTCCAAATGTCCACTTCCAGGGAATGCAGAAAGAGTGTTTCCAACCTGCTCTATAAAAGGGAATGTTCAACACTGGGACTTCAATCGAAACATCCCAACGAAGTTTCTGAGAATGCTTCTGTCTAGAGTTTATATGAAGCCATTCCCGTTTGCAACGAAATCCTCAAAGCTATCCAAATATCCTCTTGCAGATTTTACAAAAAGAGTGTTTCAAAACTGCTCTATCAAAAGAAAGGTTCAACTCTGTTAGTTGAGGGCACACATCACAAATAAATTTCTGAGAATCTTCTGTCTAGTTTTTACGGGAAGATATTTCCTTTTTCACCATACGCCTGAAAGCGCTCCAAATGTCCTCATCCAGATACTACAAAAAGAGTGTTTCCAACCTGCTCTATGAAAGGGAATGCTCAACTCTGTGACTTGAATGCAGACATCACAAAGAAGTTTCTGAGAATGCTGCTGTCTCCTTTTTATATGTAATCCCGTTTCCAACGAAATCCTCAAAGCTAGCCAAATATCCACTTGCAGATTCCACGAAAACAGTGTTTCAAAACTGCTCCTTCAAAACGATGGTTCAATTCTGTTAGTTGAGCAAACACATCACAAGTAAGTTTCTGAGAATGCTTCCGTCTAGTTTTTATGGGAAGATATATCCTTTTTCAACATAGGCCTGAAAGCGTTCCAAATGTCCACTTCCAGATACTACAAAAAGAGTGTTTCAAATCTGCTCTATGAATGGGAATGTTCTACTCTGTGACTTGAATGCAACATCCCAAAGAAGTTTCTGAGAATGCTTCTGTCTAAGTTTATCTGAAGACATACCCGTTTCCAACGAAATCCTCAAAGCTATCCAAATATCCTCTTGCAGATTCTACAAAAAGAGTGTTTCAAAGCTGCTCTTTGCAAAGAAAGGTTCAACTCTGTCAGTAGAGGGCACACATCACGAACAAGTTTCTGAGAATGCTTTTGTCTAGTTTTTATGGGAAGATATTTCCTTTTTCACGTTAGGCCTGAAAGCACGCCAAATGTTCACTTATAGACACTACAAAAAGAGTGTTTCAAACCTGCTCTGTGAAAGGGAATGTTCAACACTGTGACTTCAATTGAAATATCCCAAAGAAGTTTCTGAGAATGCTTCTGTCTAGAGTTTATCTGAAGACATTCCCGTTTCCCAAGAAATCCTCAAAGCTATCCAAATATCCTCTTGCAGATTCTACAAAAAGAGTGTTTCAAAACTGCTCTTTGCAAAGAAAGGTTCAACTCTGTCAGTAGAGGGCACACATCACAAACAAGTTTCTGAGAATGCTTCTGTCTAGTTTTTATGGGAAGATATTTCCTTTTTCACCTTAGGCCTGAAATCAATCCAAATGTTCACTTACAGACACTACAAAAAGAGTGTTTCAAACCTGCTCTGTGAAAGGGAGTGTTCAATTCTGTGACTTGAATGCAAACATCACAAAGTAGTTTCTGACAATGCTGCTGTCTGCTTTTTATACGTATTCCCGTTTCCAACGAAATCCTCCAAGCTGGCCTAATACCCACTTGCATATTCCACAAAAAGAGTGTTTCAAAACTGCTCTCTCAAAAGAAAGGTTCAACTCTGTTAGCTGAGTAGATACATCATGAAAAAAGTTCTGACATTGCTTCTATCTAGTTTTTATTGGAAGATATCTCCTTTTTCACCGTAGACCTGAAAGCGCTCCAAATGTCCACTTCCAGATAGTACAAAAAGAGTGTTTCAAACCTGCTCTATGAATGGGAATGTTCAACACTGGGACTTCAATTGAAACATCCCAAAGCAGTTTCTGAGAATGCTTCTGTCTAGACTTTACATGAAGACATTCCCGTTTCCAACGAAATCCTCAAAGCTATCCAAATATCCTCTTGCAGATTTTACAAAAAGTGTGTTTCAGAACTGCTCTATCAAAACAAAGGTTCAACACTGTCAGTTGAGTGCACACATCACAAATAAGTTTCTGAGAATGCTGCTCTCTGCTTTTTGTATGTAATCCCGTTTCCAACGAAATCCTCCCAGCTAGCCAAATATCCACTTGCAGATTCCGCAAAAAGAGTGTTTCAAAACTGCTCCTTCAAAACGATGGTTTAGTTCTGTTAGTTGAGTACATACATCACAGATAAGTTTCTGAGAATGCTTCTGTCTAGTTTTTATGGGAGGATATTTCCTTTTTCAACACAAGCCTGAATGCGCTCCGAATGGACACTTCCAGATATGACAAAAGGCGTGTTTCAAACCTGCTCTCTCAAAGGGAATGTTCAACTCTGTGACTTCAATGCAAACATCACAAAGAAATTTCTGAGAATGCTGCTGTCTGCTTTTTACATGTATTCCCGTTTCCAACGAAATCCTCAAAGCTGCCCTAATATCCACTTGCATATTCCACAAAAAGAGTGTTGCAAAACTGCTCTCTCAAAAGAAAGCTTCAACTCTGTTAGCTGAGTAGATCCATCACATAAAAGTTTCTGACATTGCTTCTATCTAGATTTTCTTGGAAGATATTTCCATTTTCACCGTCGTCCTGAAAGCGCTCCAAATGTCCACTTCCAGGGAATGCAGAAAGAGTGTTTCCAACCTGCTCTATAAAAGGGAATGTTCAACACTGGGACTTCAATCGAAACATCCCAACGAAGTTTCTGAGAATGCTTCTGTCTAGAGTTTATATGAAGCCATTCCCGTTTGCAACGAAATCCTCAAAGCTATCCAAATATCCTCTTGCAGATTTTACAAAAAGAGTGTTTCAAAACTGCTCTATCAAAAGAAAGGTTCAACTCTGTTAGTTGAGGGCACACATCACAAATAAACTTCTGAGAATGCTTCTGTCTAGTTTTTACGGGAAGATATTTCCTTTTTCACCATACGCCTGAAAGCGCTCCAAATGTCCTCATCCAGATACTACAAAAAGAGTGTTTCCAACGTGCTCTATGAAAGGGAATGCTCAACTCTGTGAATTGAATGCAGACATCACAAAGAAGTTTCTGAGAATGCTGCTGTCTCCTTTTTATATGTAATCCCGTTTCCAACGAAATCCTCAAAGCTAGCCAAATATCCACTTGCAGATTCCACGAAAACAGTGTTTCAAAACTGCTCCTTCAAAACGATGGTTCAATCCTGTTAGTTGAGCAAACACATCACAAATAAGTTTCTGAGAATGCTTCCGTCTAGTTTTTATGGGAAGATATTTCCTTTTTCAACATAGGCCTGAAAGCGCTCCAAATGTCCACTTCCAGATACTACAAAAAGAGTGTTTCAAATCTGCTCTATGAATGGGAATGTTCTACTCTGTGACTTGCATGCAACATCCCAAAGAAGTTTCTGAGAATGCTTCTGTCTAGAGTTTATCTGAAGACATACCCGTTTCCAACGAAATCCTCAAAGCTATCCAAATATCCTCTTGCAGATTCTACAAAAAGAATGTTTCAAAGCTGCTCTTTGCAAAGAAAGGTTCAACTCTGTCAGTAGAGGGCACACATCACGAACAAGTTTCTGAGAATGCTTCTGTCTAGTTTTTATGGGAAGATATTTCCTTTTTCACGTTAGGCCTGAAAGCACGCCAAATGTTCACTTATAGACACTACAAAAAGAGTGTTTCAAACCTGCTCTGTGAAAGGGAATGTTCAACACTGTGACTTCAATTGAAATATCCCAAGAAGTTTCTGAAAATGCTTCTGTCTAGAGTTTATCTGAAGACATTCCCGTTTCCCAAGAAATCCTCAAAGCTATCCAAATATCCTCTTGCAGATTCTACAAAAAGTGTGTTTCAAAACTGCTCTTTGCAAAGAAAGGTTCAACTCTGTCAGTAGAGGGCACACATCACAAACAAGTTTCTGAGAATGCTTCTGTCTAGTTTTTATGGGAAGATATTTCCTTTTTCACCTTAGGCCTGAAAGCAATCCATATGTTCACTTACAGACACTACAAAAAGAGTGTTTCAAACCTGCTCTGTGAAAGGGAGTGTTCAATTCTGTGACTTGAATGCAAACATCACAAAGTAGTTTCTGACAATGCTGCTGTCTGCTTTTTATACGTATTCCCGTTTCCAACGAAATCCTCCAAGCTGGCCTAATACCCACTTGCATATTCCACAAAAAGAGTGTTTCAAAACTGCTCTCTCAAAAGAAAGGTTCAACTCTGTTTGCTGAGTAGATACATCATGAAAAAAGTTCTGACATTGCTTCTATCTAGTTTTTATTGGAAGATATCTCCTTTTTCACCGTAGACCTGAAAGCGCTCCAAATGTCCACTTCCACATACTACAAAAAGAGTGTTTCAAACCTGCTCTATGAAAGGGAATGTTCAACACTGGGACTTCAATTGAAACATCCCAAAGCAGTTTCTGAGAATGCTTCTGTCTAGAGTTTACATGAAGACATTCCCGTTTCCAACGAAATCCTCAAAGCTATCCAAATATCCTCTTGCAGATTTTACAAAAAGTGTGTTTCAGAACTGCTCTATCAAAACAAAGGTTCAACACTGTCAGTTGAGGGCACACATCACAAATAAGTTTCTGAGAATGCTTCTGTCTAGTTTTCATGGGAAGATATTTCCTTTTTCACCATAGGCCTGAAAGCGATCCAAATGTCCACATCCAGATACTACAAAAAGAGTGTTTCAAACCTGCTCTATGAAAGGGAATGTTCAACTCTGCGACTTGAATGCAAACATCACAAAGAAGTTTCTGAGAATGCTGCTGTCTGCTTTTTGTATGTAATCCCGTTTCCAACGAAATCCTCCAAGCTAGCCAAATATCCAGTTGCAGATTCCGCAAAAAGGGTGTTTCAAAACTGCTCCTTCAAAACGATGGTTTAGTTCTGTTAGTTGAGTACATACATCACAAATAAGTTTCTGAGAATGCTTCTGTCTAGTTTTTATGGGAGGATATTTCCTTTTTCAACACAAGCCTGAATGCGCTCCGAATGGACACTTCCAGATATGACAAAAGGCGTGTTTCAAACCTGCTCTCTCAAAGGGAATGTTCAACTCTGTGACTTCAATGCAAACATCACAAAGAAGTTTCAGAGAATGCTGCTGTCTGCTTTTTACATGTATTCCCGTTTCCAACGAAATCCTCAAAGCTGCCCTAATATCCACTTGCATATTCCACAAAAAGAGTGTTGCAAAACTGCTCTCTCAAAAGAAAGGTTCAACTCTGTTAGCTGAGTAGATCCATCACATAAAAGTTTCTGACATTGCTTCTATCTAGATTTTCTTGGAAGATATTTCCATTTTCACCGTCGTCCTGAAAGCGCTCCAAATGTCCACTTCCAGGGAATGCAGAAAGAGTGTTTCCAACCTGCTCTATAAAAGGGAATGTTCAACACTGGGACTTCAATCGAAACATCCCAACGAAGTTTCTGAGAATGCTTCTGTCTAGAGTTTATATGAAGCCATTCCCGTTTGCAACGAAATCCTCAAAGCTATCCAAATATCCTCTTGCAGATTTTACAAAAAGAGTGTTTCAAAACTGCTCTATCAAAAGAAAGGTTCAACTCTGTTAGTTGAGGGCACACATCACAAATAAACTTCTGAGAATGCTTCTGTCTAGTTTTTACGGGAAGATATTTCCTTTTTCACCATATGCCTGAAAGCGCTCCAAATGTCCTCATCCAGATACTACAAAAAGAGTGTTTCCAACGTGCTCTATGAAAGGGAATGCTCAACTCTGTGAATTGAATGCAGACATCACAAAGAAGTTTCTGAGAATGCTGCTGTCTCCTTTTTATATGTAATCCCGTTTCCAACGAAATCCTCAAAGCTAGCCAAATATCCACTTGCAGATTCCACGAAAACAGTGTTTCAAAACTGCTCCTTCAAAACGATGGTTCAATCCTGTTAGTTGAGCAAACACATCACAAATAAGTTTCTGAGAATGCTTCCGTCTAGTTTTTATGGGAAGATATTTCCTTTTTCAACATAGGCCTGAAAGCGCTCCAAATGTCCACTTCCAGATACTACAAAAAGAGTGTTTCAAATCTGCTCTATGAATGGGAATGTTCTACTCTGTGACTTGAATGCAACATCCCAAAGAAGTTTCTGAGAATGCTTCTGTCTAGAGTTTATCTGAAAACATACCCGTTTCCAACGAAATCCTCAAAGCTATCCAAATATCCTCTTGCAGATTCTACAAAAAGAGTGTTTCAAAGCTGCTCTTTGCAAAGAAAGGTTCAACTCTGTCAGTAGAGGGCACACATCACAAACAAGTTTCTGAGAATGCTTCTGTCTGGTTTTTATGGGAAGATATTTCCTTTTTCACGTTACGCCTGAAAGCACGCCAAATGTTCACTTATAGACACTACAAAAAGAGTGTTTCAAACCTGCTCTGTGAAAGGGAATGTTCAACACTGTGACTTCAATTGAAACATCCCAAAGAAGTTTCTGAGAATGCTTCTGTCTAGAGTTTATCTGAAGACATTCCCGTTTCCCAAGAAATCCTCAAAGCTATCCAAATATCCTCTTGCAGGTTCTACAAAAAGAGTGTTTCAAAACTTCTCTTTGCAAAGAAAGGTTCAACTCTGTCAGTAGAGGGCACACATCACAAACAAGTTTCTGAGAATGCTTCTGTCTAGTTTTTATGGGAAGATATTTCCTTTTTCACCTTAGGCCTGAAAGCAATCCAAATGTTCACTTACAGACACTACAAAAAGAGTGTTTCAAACCTGCTCTGTGAAAGGGAGTGTTCAATTCTGTGACTTGAATGCAAACATCACAAAGTAGTTTCTGACAATGCTGCTGTCTGCTTTTTATACGTATTCCCGTTTCCAACGAAATCCTCCAAGCTGGCCTAATACCCACTTGCATATTCCACAAAAAGAGTGTTTCAAAACTGCTCTCTCAAAAGAAAGGTTCAACTACTGTTTGCTGAGTAGATACATCATGAAAAAAGTTCTGACATTGCTTTCTATCTAGTTTTTATTGGAAGATATCTCCTTTTTCACCGTAGACCTGAAATCCCTCCAAATGTCCACTTCCAGATACTACAAAAAGAGTGTTTCAAACCTGCTCTATGAATGGGAATGTTCAACACTGGGACTTCAATTGAAACATCCCAAAGCAGTTTCTGAGAATGCTTCTGTCTAGAGTTTACATGAAGACATTCCCGTTTCCAACGAAATCCTCAAAGCTATCCAAATATCCTCTTGCAGATTTTACAAAAAGTGTGTTTCAGAACTGCTCTATCAAAACAAAGGTTCAACACTGTCAGTTGAGGGCACACATCACAAATAAGTTTCTGAGAATGCTGCTGTCTGCTTTTTGTATGTAATCCCGTTTCCAACGAAATCCTCCCAGCTAGCCAAATATCCACTTGCAGATTCCGCAAAAAGAGTGTTTCAAAACTGCTCCTTCAAAACGATGGTTTAGTTCTGTTAGTTGAGTACATACATCACAAATAAGTTTCTGAGAATGCTTCTGTCTAGTTTTTCTGGGAGGATATTTCCTTTTTCAACACAAGCCTGAATGCGCTCCGAATGGACACTTCCAGATATGACAAAAGGCGTGTTTCAAACCTGCTCTCTCAAAGGGAATGTTCAACTCTGTGACTTCAATGCAAACATCACAAAGAAGTTTCTGAGAATGCTGCTGTCTGCTTTTTACATGTATTCCCGTTTCCAACGAAATCCTCAAAGCTGCCCTAATATCCACTTGCATATTCCACAAAAAGAGTGTTGCAAAACTGCTCTCTCAAAAGAAAGGTTCAACTCTGTTAGCTGAGTAGATCCATCACATAAAAGTTTCTGACATTGCTTCTATCTAGATTTTCTTGGAAGATATTTCCATTTTCACCGTCGTCCTGAAAGCGCTCCAAATGTCCACTTCCAGGGAATGCAAAAAGAGTGTTTCCAACCTGCTCTATAAAAGGGAATGTTCAACACTGGGACTTCAATCGAAACATCCCAACGAAGTTTCTGAGAATGCTTCTGTCTAGAGTTTATATGAAGCCATTCCCGTTTGCAACGAAATCCTCAAAGCTATCCAAATATCCTCTTGCAGATTTTACAAAAAGAGTGTTTCAAAACTGCTCTATCAAAAGAAAGGTTCAACTCTGTTAGTTGAGGGCACACATCAGAAATAAACTTCTGAGAATGCTTCTGTCTAGTTTTTACGGGAAGATATTTCCTTTTTCACCAAACGCCTGAAAGCGCTCCAAATGTCCTCATCCAGATACTACAAAAAGAGTGTTTCAAACCTGCTCTATGAAAGGGAATGTTCAACACTGGGACTTCAATTGAAACATCCCAAAGCAGTTTCTGAGAATGCTTCTGTCTAGAGTTTACATGAAGACATTCCCGTTTCCAACGAAATCCTCAAAGCTATCCAAATATCCTCTTGCAGATTTTACAAAAAGTGTGTTTCAGAACTGCTCTATCAAAACAAAGGTTCAACACTGTCAGTTGAGGGCACACATCACAAATAAGTTTCTGAGAATGCTTCTGTCTAGTTTTCATGGGAAGATATTTCCTTTTTCACCATAGGCCTGAAAGCGATCCAAATGTCCACATCCAGATACTACAAAAAGAGTGTTTCAAACCTGCTCTATGAAAGGGAATGTTCAACTCTGTGACTTGAATGCAAACATCACAAAGAAGTTTCTGAGAATGCTGCTGTCTGCTTTTTGTATGTAATCCCGTTTCCAACGAAATCCTCCCAGCTAGCCAAATATCCACTTGCAGATTCCGCAAAAAGAGTGTTTCAAAACTGCTCCTTCAAAACGATGGTTTAGTTCTGTTAGTTGAGTACATACATCACAGATAAGTTTCTGAGAATGCTTCTGTCTAGTTTTTATGGGAGGATATTTCCTTTTTCAACACAAGCCTGAATGCGCTCCGAATGGACACTTCCAGATATGACAAAAGGCGTGTTTCAAACCTGCTCTCTCAAAGGGAATGTTCAACTCTGTGACTTCAATGCAAACATCACAAAGAAGTTTCTGAGAATGCTGCTGTCTGCTTTTTACATGTATTCCCGTTTCCAACGAAATCCTCAAAGCTGCCCTAATATCCACTTGCATATTCCACAAAAAGAGTGTTGCAAAACTGCTCTCTCAAAAGAAAGGTTCAACTCTGTTAGCTGAGTAGATCCATCACATAAAAGTTTCTGACATTGCTTCTATCTAGATTTTCTTGGAAGATATTTCCATTTTCACCGTCGTCCTGAAAGCGCTCCAAATGTCCACTTCCAGGGAATGCAGAAAGAGTGTTTCCAACCTGCTCTATAAAAGGGAATGTTCAACACTGGGACTTCAATCGAAACATCCCAACGAAGTTTCTGAGAATGCTTCTGTCTAGAGTTTATATGAAGCCATTCCCGTTTGCAAGGAAATCCTCAAAGCTATCCAAATATCCTCTTGCAGATTTTACAAAAAGAGTGTTTCAAAACTGCTCTATCAAAAGAAAGGTTCAACTCTGTTAGTTGAGGGCACACATCACAAATAAACTTCTGAGAATGCTTCTGTCTAGTTTTTACGGGAAGATATTTCCTTTTTCACCATAGGCCTGAAAGCGCTCCAAATGTCCTCATCCAGATACTACAAAAAGAGTGTTTCCAACCTGCTCTATGAAAGGGAATGCTCAACTCTGTGAATTGAATGCAGACATCACAAAGAAGTTTCTGAGAATGCTGCTGTCTCCTTTTTATATGTAATCCCGTTTCCAACGAAATCCTCAAAGCTAGCCAAATATCCACTTGCAGATTCCACGAAAACAGAGTTTCAAAACTGCTCCTTCAAAACGATGGTTCAATCCTGTTAGTTGAGCAAACACATCACAAATAAGTTTCTGAGAATGCTTCCGTCTAGTTTTTATGGGAAGATATTTCCTTTTTCAACATAGGCCTGAAAGCGCTCCAAATGTCCACTTCCAGATACTACAAAAAGAGTGTTTCAAATCTGCTCTATGAATGGGAATGTTCTACTCTGTGACTTGAATGCAACATCCCAAAGAAGTTTCTGAGAATGCTTCTGTCTAGAGTTTATCTGAAGACATACCCGTTTCCAACGAAATCCTCCAAGCTATCCAAATATCCTCTTGCAGATTCTACAAAAAGAGTGTTTCAAAGCTGCTCTTTGCAAAGAAAGGTTCAACTCTGTCAGTAGAGGGCACACATCATGAACAAGTTTCTGAGAATGCTTCTGTCTAGTTTTTATGGGAAGATATTTCCTTTTTCACGTTAGGCCTGAAAGCACGCCAAATGTTCACTTATACACACTACAAAAAGAGTGTTTCAAACCTGCTCTGTGAAAGGGAATGTTCAACACTGTGACTTCAATTGAAACATCCCAAAGAAGTTTCTGAGAATGCTTCTGTCTAGAGTTTATCTGAAGACATTCCCGTTTCCCAAGAAATCTTCAAAGCTATCCAAATATCCTCTTGCAGATTCTACAAAAAGAGTGTTTCAAAACTGCTCTTTGCAAAGAAAGGTTCAACTCTGTCAGTAGAGGGCACACATCACAAACAAGTTTCTGAGAATGCTTCTGTCTAGTTTTTATGGGAAGATATTTCCTTTTTCACCTTAGGCCTGAAAGCAATCCATATGTTCACTTACAGACACTACAAAAAGAGTGTTTCAAACCTGCTCTGTGAAAGGGAGTGTTCAATTCTGTGACTTGAATGCAAACATCACAAAGTAGTTTCTGACAATGCTGCTGTCTGCTTTTTATACGTATTCCCGTTTCCAACGAAATCCTCCAAGCTGGCCTAATACCCACTTGCATATTCCACAAAGACTGTTTCAAAACTGCTCTCTCAAAAGAAAGGTTCAACTCTGTTTGCTGAGTAGATACATCATGAAAAAAGTTCTGACATTGCTTCTATCTAGTTTTTATTGGAAGATATCTCCTTTTTCACCGTAGACCTGAAAGCGCTCCAAATGTCCACTTCCAGATAGTACAAAAAGAGTGTTTCAAACCTGCTCTATGAATGGGAATGTTCAACACTGGGACTTCAATTGAAACATCCCAAAGCAGTTTCTGAGAATGCTTCTGTCTAGAGTTTACATGAAGACATTCCCGTTTCCAACGAAATCCTCAAACCTATCCAAATATCCTCTTGCAGATTTTACAAAAAGTGTGTTTCAGAACTGCTCTATCAAAACAAAGGTTCAACACTGTCAGTTGAGGGCACACATCACAAATAAGTTTCTGAGAATGCTTCTGTCTAGTTTTCATGGGAAGATATTTCCTTTTTCACCATAGGCCTGAAAGCGATCCAAATGTCCACATCCAGATACTGCAAAAAGAGTGTTTCAAACCTGCTCTATGAAAGGGAATGTTCAACTCTGTGACTTGAATGCAAACATCACAAAGAAGTTTCTGAGAATGCTGCTGTCTGCTTTTTGTATGTAATCCCGTTTCCAACGAAATCCTCCCAGCTAGCCAAATATCCACTTGCAGATTCCGCAAAAAGAGTGTTTCAAAACTGCTCCTTCAAAACGATGGTTTAGTTCTGTTAGTTGAGTACATACATCACAGATAAGTTTCTGAGAATGCTTCTGTCTAGTTTTTATGGGAGGATATTTCCTTTTTCAACACAAGCCTGAATGCGCTCCGAATGGACACTTCCAGATATGACAAAAGGCGTGTTTCAAACCTGCTCTCTCAAAGGGAATGTTCAACTCTGTGACTTCAATGCAAACATCACAAAGAAGTTTCTGAGAATGCTGCTGTCTGCTTTTTACATGTATTCCCGTTTCCAACGAAATCCTCAAAGCTGCCCTAATATCCACTTGCATATTCCACAAAAAGAGTGTTGCAAAACTGCTCTCTCAAAAGAAAGGTTCAACTCTGTTAGCTGAGTAGATCCATCACATAAAAGTTTCTGACATTGCTTCTATCTAGATTTTCTTGGAAGATATTTCCATTTTCACCGTCGTCCTGAAAGCGCTCCAAATGTCCACTTCCAGGGAATGCAGAAAGAGTGTTTCCAACCTGCTCTATAAAAGGGAATGTTCAACACTGGGACTTCAATCGAAACATCCCAACGAAGTTTCTGAGAATGCTTCTGTCTAGAGTTTATATGAAGCCATTCCCGTTTGCAACGAAATCCTCAAAGCTATCCAAATATCCTCTTGCAGATTTTACAAAAAGAGTGTTTCAAAACTGCTCTATCAAAAGAAAGGTTCAACTCTGTTAGTTGAGGGCACACATCACAAATAAACTTCTGAGAATGCTTCTGTCTAGTTTTTACGGGAAGATATTTCCTTTTTCACCATACGCCTGAAAGCGCTCCAAATGTCCTCATCCAGATACTACAAAAAGAGTGTTTCCAACGTGCTCTAGGAAAGGGAATGCTCAACTCTGTGAATTGAATGCAGACATCACAAAGAAGTTTCTGAGAATGCTGCTGTCTCCTTTTTATATGTAATCCCGTTTCCAACGAAATCCTCAAAGCTAGCCAAATATCCACTTGCAGATTCCACGAAAACAGTGTTTCAAAACTGCTCCTTCAAAACGATGGTTCAATTCTGTTAGTTGAGCAAACACATCACAAGTAAGTTTCTGAGAATGCTTCCCGTCTAGTTTTTATGGGAAGATATTTCCTTTTTCAACATAGGCCTGAAAGCGCTCCAAATGTCCACTTCCAGATACTACAAAAAGAGTGTTTCAAATCTGCTCTATGCATGGGAATGTTCTACTCTGTGACTTGAATGCAACATCCCAAAGAAGTTTCTGAGAATGTTTCTGTCTAGAGTTTATCTGAAGACATACCCGTTTCCAACGAAATCCTCCAAGCTATCCAAATATCCTCTTGCAGATTCTACAAAAAGTGTGTTTCAAAGCTGCTCTTTGCAAAGAAAGGTTCAACTCTGTCAGTAGAGGGCACACATCACGAACAAGTTTCTGAGAATGCTTCTGTCTAGTTTTTATGGGAAGATATTTCCTTTTTCACGTTAGGCCTGAAAGCACGCCAAATGTTCACTTATAGACACTACAAAAAGAGTGTTTCAAACCTGCTCTGTGAAAGGGAATGTTCAACACTGTGACTTCAATTGAAACATCCCAAAGGAGTTTCTGAGAATGCTTCTGTCTAGAGTTTATCTGAAGACATTCCCGTTTCCCAAGAAATCCTCAAAGCTATCCAAATATCCTCTTGCAGATTCTACAAAAAGAGTGTTTCAAAACTGCTCTTTGCAAAGAAAGGTTCAACTCTGTCAGTAGAGGGCACACATCACAAACAAGTTTCTGAGAATGCTTCTGTCTAGTTTTTATGGGAAGATATTTCCTTTTTCACCTTAGGCCTGAAAGCAATCCAAATGTTCACTTACAGACACTACAAAAAGAGTGTTTCAAACCTGCTCTGTGAAAGGGAGTGTTCAATTCTGTGACTTGAATGCAAACATCACAAAGTAGTTTCTGACAATGCTGCTGTCTGCTTTTTATACGTATTCCCGTTTCCAACGAAATCCTCCAAGCTGGCCTAATACCCACTTGCATATTCCACAAAAAGAGTGTTTCAAAACTGCTCTCTCAAAAGAAAGGTTCAACTCTGTTTGCTGAGTAGATACATCATGAAAAAAGTTCTGACATTGCTTCTATCTAGTTTTTATTGGAAGATATCTCCTTTTTCACCGTAGACCTGAAAGCGCTCCAAATGTCCACTTCCAGATAGTACAAAAAGAGTGTTTCAAACCTGCTCTATGAATGGGAATGTTCAACACTGGGACTTCAATTGAAACATCCCAAAGCAGTTTCTGAGAATGCTTCTGTGTAGAGTTTACATGAAGACATTCCCGTTTCCAACGAAATCCTCAAAGCTATCCAAATATCCTCTTGCAGATTTTACAAAAAGTGTGTTTCAGAACTGCTCTATCAAAACAAAGGTTCAACACTGTCAGTTGAGGGCACACATCACAAATAAGTTTCTGAGAATGCTGCTCTCTGCTTTTTGTATGTAATCCCGTTTCCAACGAAATCCTCCAAGCTAGCCAAATATCCACTTGCAGATTCCGCAAAAAGAGTGTTTCAAAACTGCTCCTTCAAAACGATGGTTTAGTTCTGTTAGTTGAGTACATACATCACAGATAAGTTTCTGAGAATGCTTCTGTCTAGTTTTTATGGGAGGATATTTCCTTTTTCAACACAAGCCTGAATGCGCTCCGAATGGACACTTCCAGATATGACAAAAGGCGTGTTTCAAACCTGCTCTCTCAAAGGGAATGTTCAACTCTGTGACTTCAATGCAAACATCACAAAGAAGTTTCTGAGAATGCTGCTGTCTGCTTTTTACATGTATTCCCGTTTCCAACGAAATCCTCAAAGCTGCCCTAATATCCACTTGCATATTCCACAAAAAGAGTGTTGCAAAACTGCTCTCTCAAAAGAAAGGTTCAACTCTGTTAGCTGAGTAGATCCATCACATAAAAGTTTCTGACGTTGCTTCTATCTAGATTTTCTTGGAAGATATTTCCATTTTCACCGTCGTCCTGAAAGCGCTCCAAATGTCCACTTCCAGGGAATGCAGAAAGAGTGTTTCCAACCTGCTCTATAAAAGGGAATGTTCAACACTGGGACTTCAATCGAAACATCCCAACGAAGTTTCTGAGAATGCTTCTGTCTAGAGTTTATATGAAGCCATTCCCGTTTGCAACGAAATCCTCAAAGCTATCCAAATATCCTCTTGCAGATTTTACAAAAAGAGTGTTTCAAAACTGCTCTATCAAAAGAAAGGTTCAACTCTGTTAGTTGAGGGCACACATCACAAATAAATTTCTGAGAATCTTCTGTCTAGTTTTTACGGGAAGATATTTCCTTTTTCACCATACGCCTGAAAGCGCTCCAAATGTCCTCATCCAGATACTACAAAAAGAGTGTTTCCAACCTGCTCTATGAAAGGGAATGCTCAACTCTGTGACTTGAATGCAGACATCACAAAGAAGTTTCTGAGAATGCTGCTGTCTCCTTTTTATATGTAATCCCGTTTCCAACGAAATCCTCAAAGCTAGCCAAATATCCACTTGCAGATTCCACGAAAAGAGTGTTTCAAAACTGCTCCTTCAAAACGATGGTTCAATTCTGTTAGTTGAGCAAACACATCACAAGTAAGTTTCTGAGAATGCTTCCGTCTAGTTTTTATGGGAAGATATTTCCTTTTTCAACATAGGCCTGAAAGCGCTCCAAATGTCCACTTCCAGATACTACAAAAAGAGTGTTTCAAATCTGCTCTATGAATGGGAATGTTCTACTCTGTGACTTGAATGCAACATCCCAAAGAAGTTTCTGAGAATGCTTCTGTCTAGAGTTTATCTGAAGACATACCCGTTTCCAACGAAATCCTCAAAGCTATCCAAATATCCTCTTGCAGATTCTACAAACAGAGTGTTTCAAAGCTGCTCTTTGCAAAGAAAGGTTCAACTCTGTCAGTAGAGGGCACACATCACGAACAAGTTTCTGAGAATGCTTCTGTCTAGTTTTTATGGGAAGATATTTCCTTTTTCACGTTAGGCCTGAAAGCACGCCAAATGTTCACTTATAGACACTACAAAAAGAGTGTTTCAAACCTGCTCTGTGAAAGGGAATGTTCAACACTGTGACTTCAATTGAAACATCCCAAAGAAGTTTCTGAGAATGCTTCTGTCTAGAGTTTATCTGAAGACATTCCCGTTTCCCAAGAAATCCTCAAAGCTATCCAAATATCCTCTTGCAGATTCTACAAAAAGAGTGTTTCAAAACTGCTCTTTGCAAAGAAAGGTTCAACTCTGTCAGTAGAGGGCACACATCACAAACAAGTTTCTGAGAATGCTCTGTCTAGTTTTTATGGGAAGATATTTCCTTTTTCACCTTAGGCCTGAAAGCAATCCAAATGTTCACTTACAGACACTACAAAAAGAGTGTTTCAAACCTGCTCTGTGAAAGGGAGTGTTCAATTCTGTGACTTGAATGCAAACATCACAAAGTAGTTTCTGACAATGCTGGCTGTCTGCTTTTTATACGTATTCCCGTTTCCAACGAAATCCTCCAAGCTGGCCTAATACCCACTTGCATATTCCACAAAAAGAGTGTTTCAAAACTGCTCTCTCAAAAGAAAGGTTCAACTCTGTTTGCTGAGTAGATACATCATGAAAAAAGTTCTGACATTGCTTCTATCTAGTTTTTATTGGAAGATATCTCCTTTTTCACCGTAGACCTGAAAGCGCTCCAAATGTCCACTTCCAGATAGTAGAAAAAGAGTGTTTCAAACCTGCTCTATGAATGGGAATGTTCAACACTGGGACTTCAATTGAAACATCCCAAAGCAGTTTCTGAGAATGCTTCTGTCTAGAGTTTACATGAAGACATTCCCGTTTCCAACGAAATCCTCAAAGCTATCCAAATATCCTCTTGCAGATTTTACAAAAAGTGTGTTTCAGAACTGCTCTATCAAAACAAAGGTTCAACAGTGTCAGTTGAGTGCACACATCACAAATAAGTTTCTGAGAATGCTTCTGTCTAGTTTTCATGGGAAGATATTTCCTTTTTCACCATAGGCCTGAAAGCGATCCAAATGTCCACATCCAGATACTACAAAAAGAGTGTTTCCAACCTGCTCTATGAAAGGGAATGCTCAACTCTGTGAATTGAATGCAGACATCACAAAGAAGTTTCTGAGAATGCTGCTGTCTCCTTTTTATATGTAATCCCGTTTCCAACGAAATCCTCAAAGCTAGCCAAATATCCACTTGCAGATTCCACGAAAACAGTGTTTCAAAACTGCTCCTTCAAAACGATGGTTCAATCCTGTTAGTTGAGCAAACACATCACAAATAAGTTTCTGAGAATGCTTCCGTCTAGTTTTTATGGGAAGATATTTCCTTTTTCAACATAGGCCTGAAAGCGCTCCAAATGTCCACTTTCAGATACTACAAAAAGAGTGTTTCAAATCTGCTCTATGAATGGGAATGTTCTACTCTGTGACTTGCATGCAACATCCCAAAGAAGTTTCTGAGAATGCTTCTGTCTAGAGTTTATCTGAAGACATACCCGTTTCCAACGAAATCCTCCAAGCTATCCAAATATCCTCTTGCAGATTCTACAAAAAGAGTGTTTCAAAGCTGCTCTTTGCAAAGAAAGGTTCAACTCTGTCAGTAGAGGGGACACATCAACAACAAGTTTCTGAGAATGCTTCTGTCTAGTTTTTATGGGAAGATATTTCCTTTTTCACGTTACGCCTGAAAGCACGCCAAATGTTCACTTATAGACACTACAAAAAGAGTGTTTCAAACCTGCTCTGTGAAAGGGAGTGTTCAATTCTGTGACTTGAATGCAAACATCACAAAGTAGTTTCTGACAATGCTGCTGTCTGCTTTTTATACGTATTCCCGTTTCCAACGAAATCCTCCAAGCTGGCCTAATACCCACTTCCATATTCCACAGAAAGAGTGTTTCGAAACTGCTCTCTCAAAAGAAAGGTTCAACTCTGTTTGCTGAGTAGATACATCATGAAAAAAGTTCTGACATTGCTTCTATCTAGTTTTTATTGGAAGATATCTCCTTTTTCACCGTAGACCTGAAAGCGCTCCAAATGTCCACTTCCAGATAGTACAAAAAGAGTGTTTCAAACCTGCTCTATGAAAGGGAATGTTCAACACTGGGACTTCAATTGAAACATCCCAAAGCAGTTTCTGAGAATGCTTCTGTCTAGAGTTTACATGAAGACATTCCCGTTTCCAACGAAATCCTCAAAGCTATCCAAATATCCTCTTGCAGATTTTACAAAAAGTGTGTTTCAGAACTGCTCTATCAAAACAAAGGTTCAACACTGTCAGTTGAGGGCACACATCACAAATAAGTTTCTGAGAATGCTTCTGTCTAGTTTTCATGGGAAGATATTTCCTTTTTCACCATAGGCCTGAAAGCGATCCAAATGTCCACATCCAGATACTACAAAAAGAGTGTTTCAAACCTGCTCTATGAAAGGGAATGCTCAACTCTGTGACTTGAATGCAGACATCACAAAGAAGTTTCTGAGAATGCTGCTGTCTGCTTTTTGTATGTAATCCCGTTTCCAACGAAATCCTCCCAGCTAGCCAAATATCCACTTGCAGATTCCGCAAAAAGAGTGTTTCAAAACTGCTCCTTCAAAACGATGGTTTAGTTCTGTTAGTTGAGTACATACATCACAGATAAGTTTCTGAGAATGCTTCTGTCTAGTTTTTATGGGAGGATATTTCCTTTTTCAACACAAGCCTGAATGCGCTCCGAATGGACACTTCCAGATATGACAAAAGGCGTGTTTCAAACCTGCTCTCTCAAAGGGAATGTTCAACTCTGTGACTTCAATGCAAACATCACAAAGAAGTTTCTGAGAATGCTGCTGTCTGCTTTTTACATGTATTCCCGTTTCCAACGAAATCCTCAAAGCTGCCCTAATATCCACTTGCATATTCCACAAAAAGAGTGTTGCAAAACTGCTCTCTCAAAAGAAAGGTTCAACTCTGTTAGCTGAGTAGATCCATCACATAAAAGTTTCTGACATTGCTTCTATCTAGATTTTCTTGGAAGATATTTCCATTTTCACCGTCGTCCTGAAAGCGCTCCAAATGTCCACTTCCAGGGAATGCAGAAAGAGTGTTTCCAACCTGCTCTATAAAAGGGAATGTTCAACACTGGGACTTCAATCGAAACATCCCAACGAAGTTTCTGAGAATGCTTCTGTCTAGAGTTTATATGAAGCCATTCCCGTTTGCAACGAAATCCTCAAAGCTATCCAAATATCCTCTTGCAGATTTTACAAAAAGAGTGTTTCAAAACTGCTCTATCAAAAGAAAGGTTCAACTCTGTTAGTTGAGGGCACACATCACAAATAAACTTCTGAGAATGCTTCTGTCTAGTTTTTACAGGAAGATATTTCCTTTTTCACCATAGGCCAGAAAGCGCTCCAAATGTCCTCATCCAGATACTACAAAAAGAGTGTTTCCAACCTGCTCTATGAAAGGGAATGCTCAACTCTGTGAATTGAATGCAGACATCACAAAGAAGTTTCTGAGAATGCTGCTGTCTCCTTTGTATATGTAATCCCATTTCCAACGAAATCCTCAAAGCTAGCCAAATATCCACTTGCAGATTCCACGAAAACAGTGTTTCAAAACTGCTCCTTCAAAACGATGGTTCAATCCTGTTAGTTGAGCAAACACATCACAAATAAGTTTCTGAGAATGCTTCCGTCTAGTTTTTATGGGAAGATATTTCCTTTTTCAACATAGGCCTGAAAGCGCTCCAAATGTCCACTTCCAGATACTACAAAAAGAGTGTTTCAAATCTGCTCTATGAATGGGAATGTTCTACTCTGTGACTTGAATGCAACATCCCAAAGAAGTTTCTGAGAATGCTTCTGTCTAGAGTTTATCTGAAGACATACCCGTTTCCAACGAAATCCTCCAAGCTATCCAAATATCCTCTTGCAGATTCTACAAAAAGAGTGTTTCAAAGCTGCTCTTTGCAAAGAAAGGTTCAACTCTGTCAGTAGAGGGGACACATCAAGAACAAGTTTCTGAGAATGCTTCTGTCTAGTTTTTATGGGAAGATATTTCCTTTTTCACGTTAGGCCTGAAAGCACGCCAAATGTTCACTTATAGACACTACAAAAAGAGTGTTTCAAACCTGCTCTGTGAAAGGGAATGTTCAACACTGTGACTTCAATTGAAACATCCCAAAGAAGTTTCTGAGAATGCTTCTGTCTAGAGTTTATCTGAAGACATTCCCGTTTCCCAAGAAATCCTCAAAGCTATCCAAATATCCTCTTGCAGATTCTACAAAAAGAGTGTTTCAAAGCTGCTCTTTGCAAAGAAAGGTTCAACTCTGTCAGTAGAGGGCACACATCACAAACAAGTTTCTGAGAATGCTTCTGTCTAGTTTTTATGGGAAGATATTTCCTTTTTCACCTTAGGCCTGAAAGCAATCCAAATGTTCACTTACAGACACTACAAAAAGTGTGTTTCAAACCTGCTCTGTGAAAGGGAGTGTTCAATTCTGTGACTTGAATGCAAACATCACAAAGTAGTTTCTGACAATGCTGCTGTCTGCTTTTTATACGTATTCCCGTTTCCAACGAAATCCTCCAAGCTGGCCTAATACCCACTTGCATATTCCACAAAAAGAGTGTTTCAAAACTGCTCTCTCAAAAGAAAGGTTCAACTCTGTTTGCTGAGTAGATACATCATGAAAAAAGTTCTGACATTGCTTCTATCTAGTTTTTATTGGAAGATATCTCCTTTTTCACCGTAGACCTGAAAGCGCTCCAAATGTCCACTTCCAGATAGTACAAAAAGAGTGTTTCAAACCTGCTCTATGAAAGGGAATGTTCAACACTGGGACTTCAATTGAAACATCCCAAAGCAGTTTCTGAGAATGCTTCTGTCCAGAGTTTACATGAAGACATTCCCGTTTCCAACGAAATCCTCAAAGCTATCCAAATATCCTCTTGCAGATTTTACAAAAAGTGTGTTTCAGAACTGCTCTATCAAAACAAAGGTTCAACACTGTCAGTTGAGGGCACACATCACAAATAAGTTTCTGAGAATGCTTCTGTCTAGTTTTCATGGGAAGATATTTCCTTTTTCACCATAGGCCTGAAAGCGATCCAAATGTCCACATCCAGATACTACAAAAAGAGTGTTTCAAACCTGCTCTATGAAAGGGAATGTTCAACTCTGTGACTTGAATGCAAACATCACAAAGAAGTTTCTGAGAATGCTGCTCTCTGCTTTTTGTATGTAATCCCGTTTCCAACGAAATCCTCCAAGCTAGCCAAATATCCACTTGCAGATTCCGCAAAAAGAGTGTTTCAAAACTGCTCCTTCAAAACGATGGTTTAGTTCTGTTAGTTGAGTACATACATCACAAATAAGTTTCTGAGATTGCTTCTGTCTAGTTTTTCTGGGAGGATATTTCCTTTTTCAACACAAGCCTGAATGCGCTCCGAATGGACACTTCCAGATATGACAAAAGGCGTGTTTCAAACCTGCTCTCTCAAAGGGAATGTTCTACTCTGTGACTTCAATGCAAACATCACAAAGAAGTTTCTGAGAATGCTGCTGTCTGCTTTTTACATGTATTCCCGTTTCCAACGAAATCCTCAAAGCTGCCCTAATATCCACTTGCATATTCCACAAAAAGAGTGTTGCAAAACTGCTCTCTCAAAAGAAAGGTTCAACTCTGTTAGCTGAGTAGATCCATCACATAAAAGTTTCTGACATTGCTTCTATCTAGATTTTCTTGGAAGATATTTCCATTTTCACCGTCGTCCTGAAAGCGCTCCAAATGTCCACTTCCAGGGAATGCAGAAAGAGTGTTTCCAACCTGCTCTATAAAAGGGAATGTTCAACACTGGGACTTCAATCGAAACATCCCAACGAAGTTTCTGAGAATGCTTCTGTCTAGAGTTTATATGAAGCCATTCCCGTTTGCAACGAAATCCTCAAAGCTATCCAAATATCCTCTTGCAGATTTTACAAAAAGAGTGTTTCAAAACTGCTCTATCAAAAGAAAGGTTCAACTCTGTTAGTTGAGGGCACACATCACAAATAAACTTCTGAGAATGCTTCTGTCTAGTTTTTACGGGAAGATATTTCCTTTTTCACCATACGCCTGAAAGCGCTCCAAATGTCCTCATCCAGATACTACAAAAAGAGTGTTTCCAACGTGCTCTAGGAAAGGGAATGCTCAACTCTGTGAATTGAATGCAGACATCACAAAGAAGTTTCTGAGAATGCTGCTGTCTCCTTTGTATATGTAATCCCGTTTCCAACGAAATCCTCAAAGCTAGCCAAATATCCACTTGCAGATTCCACGAAAACAGTGTTTCAAAACTGCTCCTTCAAAACGATGGTTCAATCCTGTTAGTTGAGCAAACACATCACAATTAAGTTTCTGAGAATGCTTCCGTCTAGTTTTTATGGGAAGATATTTGCTTTTTCAACATAGGCCTGAAAGCGCTCCAAATGTCCACTTCCAGATACTACAAAAAGAGTGTTTCAAATCTGCTGTATGAATGGGAATGTTCTACTCTGTGACTTGAATGCAACATCCCAAAGAAGTTTCTGAGAATGCTTCTGTCTAGAGTTTATCTGAAGACATACCCGTTTCCAACGAAATCCTCCAAGCTATCCAAATATCCTCTTGCAGATTCTACAAAAAGAGTGTTTCAAAGCTGCTCTTTGCAAAGAAAGGTTCAACTCTCTCAGTAGAGGGGACACATCAAGAACAAGTTTCTGAGAATGCTTCTGTCTAGTTTTTATGGGAAGATATTTCCTTTTTCACGTTACGCCTGAAAGCACGCCAAATGTTCACTTATAGACACTACAAAAAGAGTGTTTCAAACCTGCTCTGTGAAAGGGAATGTTCAACACTGTGACTTCAATTGAAACATCCCAAAGAAGTTTCTGAGAATGCTTCTGTCTAGAGTTTATCTGAAGACATTCCCGTTTCCCAAGAAATCCTCAAAGCTATCCAAATATCCTCTTGCAGATTCTACAAAAAGAGTGTTTCAAAACTGCTCTTTGCAAAGAAAGGTTCAACTCTGTCAGTAGAGGGCACACATCACAAACAAGTTTCTGAGAATGCTTCTGTCTAGTTTTTATGGGAAGACATTTCCTTTTTCACCTTAGGCCTGAAAGCAATCCAAATGTTCACTTACAGACACTACAAAAAGAGTGTTTCAAACCTGCTCTGTGAAAGGGAGTGTTCAATTCTGTGACTTGAATGTAAACATCACAAAGTAGTTTCTGACAATGCTGCTGTCTGCTTTTTATACGTATTCCCGTTTCCAACGAAATCCTCCAAGCTGGCCTAATACCCACTTGCATATTCCACAAAAAGAGTGTTTCAAAACTGCTCTCTCAAAAGAAAGGTTCAACTCTGTTTGCTGAGTAGATACATCATGAAAAAAGTTCTGACATTGCTTCTATCTAGTTTTTATTGGAAGATATCTCCTTTTTCACCGTAGACCTGAAAGCGCTCCAAATGTCCACTTCCAGATACTACAAAAAGAGTGTTTCAAACCTGCTCTATGAAAGGGAATGTTCAACACTGGGACTTCAATTGAAACATCCCAAAGCAGTTTCTGAGAATGCTTCTGTCTAGAGTTTACATGAAGACATTCCCGTTTCCAACGAAATCCTCAAAGCTATCCAAATATCCTCTTGCAGATTTTACAAAAAGTGTGTTTCAGAACTGCTCTATCAAAACAAAGGTTCAACACTGTCAGTTGAGGGCACACATCACAAATAAGTTTCTGAGAATGCTTCTGTCTAGTTTTCATGGGAAGATATTTCCTTTTTCACCATAGGCCTGAAAGCGATCCAAATGTCCACATCCAGATACTACAAAAAGAGTGTTTCAAACCTGCTCTATGAAAGGGAATGTTCAACTCTGTGACTTGAATGCAAACATCACAAAGAAGTTTCTGAGAATGCTGCTCTCTGCTTTTTGTATGTAATCCCGTTTCCAACGAAATCCTCCCAGCTAGCCAAATATCCACTTGCAGATTCCACAAAAAGAGTGTTTCAAAACTGCTCCTTCAAAACGATGGTTTAGTTCTGTTAGTTGAGTACATACATCACAGATAAGTTTCTGAGAATGCTTCTGTCTAGTTTTTATGGGAGGATATTTCCTTTTTCAACACAAGCCTGAATGCGCTCCGAATGGACACTTCCAGATATGACAAAAGGCGTGTTTCAAACCTGCTCTCTCAAAGGGAATGTTCAACTCTGTGACTTCAATGCAAACATCACAAAGAAGTTTCTGAGAATGCTTGCTGTCTGCTTTTTACATGTATTCCCGTTTCCAACGAAATCCTCAAAGCTGCCCTAATATCCACTTGCATATTCCACAAAAAGAGTGTTGCAAAACTGCTCTCTCAAAAGAAAGGTTCAACTCTGTTAGCTGAGTAGATCCATCACATAAAAGTTTCTGACGTTGCTTCTATCTAGATTTTCTTGGAAGATATTTCCATTTTCACCGTCGTCCTGAAAGCGCTCCAAATGTCCACTTCCAGGGAATGCAGAAAGAGTGTTTCCAACCTGCTCTATAAAAGGGAATGTTCAACACTGGGACTTCAATCGAAACATCCCAACGAAGTTTCTGAGAATGCTTCTGTCTAGAGTTTATATGAAGCCATTCCCGTTTGCAACGAAATCCTCAAAGCTATCCAAATATCCTCTTGCAGATTTTACAAAAAGAGTGTTTCAAAACTGCTCTATCAAAAGAAAGGTTCAACTCTGTTAGTTGAGGGCACACATCACAAATAAATTTCTGAGAATGCTTCTGTCTAGTTTTTACGGGAAGATATTTCCTTTTTCACCATACGCCTGAAGCGCTCCAAATGTCCTCATCCAGATACTACAAAAAGAGTGTTTCCAACCTGCTCTATGAAAGGGAATGCTCAACTCTGTGAATTGAATGCAGACATCACAAAGAAGTTTCTGAGAATGCTGCTGTCTCCTTTTTATATGTAATCCCGTTTCCAACGAAATCCTCAAAGCTAGCCAAATATCCACTTGCAGATTCCACGAAAACAGTGTTTCAAAACTGCTCCTTCAAAACGATGGTTCAATCCTGTTAGTTGAGCAAACACATCACAAATAAGTTTCTGAGAATGCTTCCGTCTAGTTTTTATGGGAAGATATTTCCTTTTTCAACATAGGCCTGAAAGCGCTCCAAATGTCCACTTCCAGATACTACAAAAAGAGTGTTTCAAATCTGCTCTATGAATGGGAATGTTCTACTCTGTGACTTGAATGCAACATCCCAAAGAAGTTTCTGAGAATGCTTCTGTCTAGAGTATATCTGAAGACATACCCGTTTCCAACGAAATCCTCAAAGCTATCCAAATATCCTCTTGCAGATTCTACAAAAAGTGTGTTTCAAAGCTGCTCTTTGCAAAGAAAGGTTCAACTCTGTCAGTAGAGGGCACACATCACGAACAAGTTTCTGAGAATGCTTCTGTCTGGTTTTTATGGGAAGATATTTCCTTTTTCACGTTACGCCTGAAAGCACGCCAAATGTTCACTTATAGACACTACAAAAAGAGTGTTTCAAACCTGCTCTGTGAAAGGGAATGTTCAACACTGTGACTTCAATTGAAACATCCCAAAGAAGTTTCTGAGAATGCTTCTGTCTAGAGTTTATCTGAAGACATTCCCGTTTCCCAAGAAATCCTCAAAGCTATCCAAATATCCTCTTGCAGATTCTACAAAAAGAGTGTTTCAAAACTGCTCTTTGCAAAGAAAGGTTCAACTCTGTCAGTAGAGGGCACACATCACAAACTAGTTTCTGAGAATGCTTCTGTCTAGTTTTTATGGGAAGATATTTCCTTTTTCACCATAGGCCTGAAAGCAATCCAAATGTTCACTTACAGACACTACAAAAAGAGTGTTTCAAACCTGCTCTGTGAAAGGGAGTGTTCAATTCTGTGACTTGAATGCAAACATCACAAAGTAGTTTACTGACAATGCTGCTGTCTGCTTTTTATACGTATTCCCGTTTCCAACGAAATCCTCCAAGCTGGCCTAATACCCACTTGCATATTCCACAAAAAGAGTGTTTCAAAAGTGCTCTCTCAAAAGAAAGGTTCAACTCTGTTTGCTGAGTAGATACATCATGAAAAAAGTTCTGACATTGCTTCTATCTAGTTTTTATTGGAAGATATCTCCTTTTTCACCGTAGACCTGAAAGCGCTCCAAATGTCCACTTCCAGATACTACAAAAAGAGTGTTTCAAACCTGCTCTATGAAAGGGAATGTTCAACACTGGGACTTCAATTGAAACATCCCAAAGCAGTTTCTGAGAATGCTTCTGTCTAGAGTTTACATGAAGACATTCCCGTTTCCAACGAAATCCTCAAAGCTATCCAAATATCCTCTTGCAGATTTTACAAAAAGTGTGTTTCAGAACTGCTCTATCAAAACAAAGGTTCAACACTGTCAGTTGAGGGCACACATCACAAATAAGTTTCTGAGAATGCTTCTGTCTAGTTTTCATGGGAAGATATTTCCTTTTTCACCATAGGCCTGAAAGCGATCCAAATGTCCACATCCAGATACTACAAAAAGAGTGTTTCAAACCTGCTCTATGAAAGGGAATGTTCAACTCTGCGACTTGAATGCAAACATCACAAAGAAGTTTCTGAGAATGCTGCTGTCTGCTTTTTTATGTAATCCCGTTTCCAACGAAATCCTCCAAGCTAGCCAAATATCCAGTTGCAGATTCCGCAAAAAGAGTGTTTCAAAACTGCTCCTTCAAAACGATGGTTTAGTTCTGTTAGTTGAGTACATACATCACAAATAAGTTTCTGAGAATGCTTCTGTCTAGTTTTTATGGGAGGATATTTCCTTTTTCAACACAAGCCTGAATGCGCTCCGAATGGACACTTCCAGATATGACAAAAGGCGTGTTTCAAACCTGCTCTCTCAAAGGGAATGTTCAACTCTGTGACTTCAATGCAAACATCACAAAGAAGTTTCTGAGAATGCTGCTGTCTGCTTTTTACATGTATTCCCGTTTCCAACGAAATCCTCAAAGCTGCCCTAATATCCACTTGCATATTCCACAAAAAGAGTGTTGCAAAACTGCTCTCTCAAAAGAAAGCTTCAACTCTGTTAGCTGAGTAGATCCATCACATAAAAGTTTCTGACATTGCTTCTATCTAGATTTTCTTGGAAGATATTTCCATTTTCACCGTCGTCCTGAAAGCGCTCCAAATGTCCACTTCCAGGGAATGCAAAAAGAGTGTTTCCAACCTGCTCTATAAAAGGGAATGTTCAACACTGGGACTTCAATCGAAACATCCCAACGAAGTTTCTGAGAATGCTTCTGTCTAGAGTTTATATGAAGCCATTCCCGTTTGCAACGAAATCCTCAAAGCTATCCAAATATCCTCTTGCAGATTTTACAAAAAGAGTGTTTCAAAACTGCTCTATCAAAAGAAAGGTTCAACTCTGTTAGTTGAGGGCACACATCACAAATAAATTTCTGAGAATGCTTCTGTCTAGTTTTTACGGGAAGATATTTCCTTTTTCACCATACGCCTGAAAGCGCTCCAAATGTCCTCATCCAGATACTACAAAAAGAGTGTTTCAAACCTGCTCTATGAAAGGGAATGCTCAACTCTGTGACTTGAATGCAGACATCACAAAGAAGTTTCTGAGAATGCTGCTGTCTCCTTTTTATAGGTAATCCCGTTTCCAACGAAATCCTCAAAGCTAGCCAAATATCCACTTGCAGATTCCACGAAAACAGTGTTTCAAAACTGCTCCTTCAAAACGATGGTTCAATTCTGTTAGTTGAGCAAACACATCAGAAGTAAGTTTCTGAAAATGCTTCCGTCTAGTTTTTATGGGAAGATATTTCCTTTTTCAACATAGGCCTGAAAGCGCTCCAAATGTCCACTTCCAGATACTACAAAAAGAGTGTTTCAAATCTGCTCTATGAATGGGAATGTTCTACTCTGTGACTTGAATGCAACATCCCAAAGAAGTTTCTGAGAATGCTTCTGTCTAGAGTTTATCTGAAGACATACCCGTTTCCAACGAAATCCTCAAAGCTTTCCAAATATCCTCTTGCAGATTCTACAAAAAGTGTGTTTCAAAGCTGCTCTTTGCAAAGAAAGGTTCAACTCTGTCAGTAGAGGGCACACATCACGAACAAGTTTCTGAGAATGCTTCTGTCTAGTTTTTATGGGAAGATATTTCCTTTTTCACGTTACGCCTGAAAGCACGCCAAATGTTCACTTATAGACACTACAAAAAGAGTGTTTCAAACCTGCTCTGTGAAAGGGAATGTTCAACACTGTGACTTCAATTGAAACATCCCAAAGAAGTTTCTGAGAATGCTTCTGTCTAGAGTTTATCTGAAGACATTCCCGTTTCCCAAGAAATCCTCAAAGCTATCCAAATATCCTCTTGCAGATTCTACAAAAAGAGTGTTTCAAAACTGCTCTTTGCAAAGAAAGGTTCAACTCTGTCAGTAGAGGGCACACATCACAAACAAGTTTCTGAGAATGCTTCTGTCTAGTTTTTATGGGAAGATATTTCCTTTTTCACCTTAGGCCTGAAAGCAATCCAAATGTTCACTTACAGACACTACAAAAAGAGTGTTTCAAACCTGCTCTGTGAAAGGGAGTGTTCAATTCTGTGACTTGAATGCAAACATCACAAAGTAGTTTCTGACAATGCTGCTGTCTGCTTTTTATACGTATTCCCGTTTCCAACGAAATCCTCCAAGCTGGCCTAATACCCACTTGCATATTCCACAGAAAGAGTGTTTCGAAACTGCTCTCTCAAAAGAAAGGTTCAACTCTGTTTGCTGAGTAGATACATCATGAAAAAAGTTCTGACATTGCTTCTATCTAGTTTTTATTGGAAGATATCTCCTTTTTCACCGTAGACCTGAAAGCGCTCTAAATGTCCACTTCCAGATAGTACAAAAAGAGTGTTTCAAACCTGCTCTATGAAAGGGAATGTTCAACACTGGGACTTCAATTGAAACATCCCAAAGCAGTTTCTGAGAATGCTTCTGTCTAGAGTTTACATGAAGACATTCCCGTTTCCAACGAAATCCTCAAAGCTATCCAAATATCCTCTTGCAGATTTTACAAAAAGTGTGTTTCAGAACTGCTCTATCAAAACAAAGGTTCAACACTGTCAGTTGAGGGCACACATCACAAATAAGTTTCTGAGAATGCTTCTGTCTAGTTTTCATGGGAAGATATTTCCTTTTTCACCATAGGCCTGAAAGCGATCCAAATGTCCACATCCAGATACTACAAAAAGAGTGTTTCAAACCTGCTCTATGAAAGGGAATGTTCAACTCTGTGACTTGAATGCAAACATCACAAAGAAGTTTCTGAGAATGCTGCTGTCTGCTTTTTGTATGTAATCCCGTTTCCAACGAAATCCTCCCAGCTAGCCAAATATCCACTTGCAGATTCCGCAAAAAGAGTGTTTCAAAACTGCTCCTTCAAAACGATGGTTTAGTTCTGTTAGTTGAGTACATACATCACAGATAAGTTTCTGAGAATGCTTCTGTCTAGTTTTTATGGGAGGATATTTCCTTTTTCAACACAAGCCTGAATGCGCTCCGAATGGACACTTCCAGATATGACAAAAGGCGTGTTTCAAACCTGCTCTCTCAAAGGGAATGTTCAACTCTGTGACTTCAATGCAAACATCACAAAGAAGTTTCTGAGAATGCTGCTGTCTGCTTTTTACATGTATTCCCGTTTCCAACGAAATCCTCAAAGCTGCCCTAATATCCACTTGCATATTCCACAAAAAGAGTGTTGCAAAACTGCTCTCTCAAAAGAAAGGTTCAACTCTGTTAGCTGAGTAGATCCATCACATAAAAGTTTCTGACGTTGCTTCTATCTAGATTTTATTGGAAGATATTTCCATTTTCACCGTCGTCCTGAAAGCGCTCCAAATGTCCACTTCCAGGGAATGCAGAAAGAGTGTTTCCAACCTGCTCTATAAAAGGGAATGTTCAACACTGGGACTTCAATCGAAACATCCCAACGAAGTTTCTGAGAATGCTTCTGTCTAGAGTTTATATGAAGCCATTCCCGTTTGCAACGAAATCCTCAAAGCTATCCAAATATCCTCTTGCAGATTTTACAAAAAGAGTGTTTCAAAACTGCTCTATCAAAAGAAAGGTTCAACTCTGTTAGTTGAGGGCACACATCACAAATAAATTTCTGAGAATGCTTCTGTCTAGTTTTTACGGGAAGATATTTCCTTTTTCACCATACGCCTGAAAGCGCTCCAAATGTCCTCATCCAGATACTACAAAAAGAGAGTTTCCAACCTGCTCTATGAAAGGGAATGCTCAACTCTGTGACTTGAATGCAGACATCACAAAGAAGTTTCTGAGAATGCTGCTGTCTCCTTTTTATATGTAATCCCGTTTCCAACGAAATCCTCAAAGCTAGCCAAATATCCACTTGCAGATTCCACGAAAACAGTGTTTCAAAACTGCTCCTTCAAAACGATGGTTCAATTCTGTTAGTTGAGCAAACACATCACAAGTAAGTTTCTGAGAATGCTTCCGTCTAGTTTTTATGGGAAGATATTTCCTTTTTCAACATAGGCCTTAAACCGCTCCAAATGTCCACTTCCAGATACTACAAAAAGAGTGTTTCAAATCTGCTCTATGAATGGGAATGTTCTACTCTGTGACTTGAATGCAACATCCCAAAGAAGTTTCTGAGAATGCTTCTGTCTAGAGTTTATCTGAAGACATACCCGTTTCCAACGAAATCCTCAAAGCTATCCAAATATCCTCTTGCAGATTCTACAAAAAGAGTGTTTCAAAGCTGCTCTTTGCAAAGAAAGGTTCAACTCTGTCAGTAGAGGGCACACATCATGAACAAGTTTCTGAGAATGCTTCTGTCTAGTTTTTATGGGAAGAGATTTCCTTTTTCACGTTAGGCCTGAAAGCACGCCAAATGTTCACTTATAGACACTACAAAAAGAGTGTTTCAAACCTGCTCTGTGAAAGGGAATGTTCAACACTGTGACTTCAATTGAAACATCCCAAAGAAGTTTCTGAGAATGCTTCTGTCTAGAGTTTATCTGAAGACATTCCCGTTTCCCAAGAAATCCTCAAAGCTATCCAAATATCCTCTTGCAGATTCTACAAAAAGAGTGTTTCAAAACTGCTCTTTGCAAAGAAAGGTTCAACTCTGTCAGTAGAGGGCACACATCACAAACAAGTTTCTGAGAATGCTTCTGTCTAGTTTTTATGGGAAGATATTTCCTTTTTCACCTTAGGCCTGAAAGCAATCCAAATGTTCACTTACAGACACTACAAAAAGAGTGTTTCAAACCTGCTCTGTGAAAGGGAGTGTTCAATTCTGTGACTTGAATGCAAACATCACAAAGTAGTTTCTGACAATGCTGCTGTCTGCTTTTTATACGTATTCCCGTTTCCAACGAAATCCTCCAAGCTGGCCTAATACCCACTTGCATATTCCACAAAAAGAGTGTTTCAAAACTGCTCTCTCAAAAGAAAGGTTCAACTCTGTTTGCTGAGTAGATACATCATGAAAAAAGTTCTGACATTGCTTCTATCTAGTTTTTATTGGAAGATATCTCCTTTTTCACCGTAGACCTGAAAGCGCTCCAAATGTCCACTTCCAGATAGTACAAAAAGAGTGTTTCAAACCTGCTCTATGAAAGGGAATGTTCAACACTGGGACTTCAATTGAAACATCCCAAAGCAGTTTCTGAGAATGCTTCTGTCTAGAGTTTACATGAAGACATTCCCGTTTCCAACGAAATCCTCAAAGCTATCCAAATATCCTCTTGCAGATTTTACAAAAGGTGTGTTTCAGAACTGCTCTATCAAAACAAAGGTTCAACACTGTCAGTTGAGGGCACACATCACAAATAAGTTTCTGAGAATGCTTCTGTCTAGTTTTCATGGGAAGATATTTCCTTTTTCACCATAGGCCTGAAAGCGATCCAAATGTCCACATCCAGATACTACAAAAAGAGTGTTTCAAACCTGCTCTATGAAAGGGAATGTTCAACTCTGTGACTTGAATGCAAACATCACAAAGAAGTTTCTGAGAATGCTGCTGTCTGCTTTTTGTATGTAATCCCGTTTCCAACGAAATCCTCCCAGCTAGCCAAATATCCACTTGCAGATTCCGCAAAAAGAGTGTTTTAAAACTGCTCCTTCAAAACGATGGTTTAGTTCTGTTAGTTGAGTACATACATCACAGATAAGTTTCTGAGAATGCTTCTGTCTAGTTTTTATGGGAGGATATTTCCTTTTTCAACACAAGCCTGAATGCGCTCCGAATGGACACTTCCAGATATGACAAAAGGCGTGTTTCAAACCTGCTCTCTCAAAGGGAATGTTCAACTCTGTGACTTCAATGCAAACATCACAAAGAAGTTTCTGAGAATGCTGCTGTCTGCTTTTTACATGTATTCCCGTTTCCAACGAAATCCTCAAAGCTGCCCTAATATCCACTTGCATATTCCACAAAAAGAGTGTGGCAAAACTGCTCTCTCAAAAGAAAGCTTCAACTCTGTTAGCTGAGTAGATCCATCACATAAAAGTTTCTGACATTGCTTCTATCTAGATTTTCTTGGAAGATATTTCCATTTTCACCGTCGTCCTGAAAGCGCTCCAAATGTCCACTTCCAGGGAATGCAGAAAGAGTGTTTCCAACCTGCTCTATAAAAGGGAATGTTCAACACTGGGACTTCAATCGAAACATCCCAACGAAGTTTCTGAGAATGCTTCTGTCTAGAGTTTATATGAAGCCATTCCCGTTTGCAACGAAATCCTCAAAGCTATCCAAATATCCTCTTGCAGATTTTACAAAAAGAGTGTTTCAAAACTGCTCTATCAAAAGAAAGGTTCAACTCTGTTAGTTGAGGGCACACATCACAAATAAATTTCTGAGAATGCTTCTGTCTAGTTTTCATGGGAAGATATTTCCTTTTTCACCATAGGCCTGAAAGCGATCCAAATGTCCACATCCACATACTACAAAAAGAGTGTTTCAAACCTGCTCTATGAAAGGGAATGTTCAACTCTGTGACTTGAATGCAAACATCACAAAGAAGTTTCTGAGAATGCTGCTCTCTGCTTTTTGTATGTAATCCCGTTTCCAACGAAATCCTCCAAGCTAGCCAAATATCCACTTGCATATTCCGCAAAAAGAGTGTTTCAAAACTGCTCCTTCAAAACGATGGTTTAGTTCTGTTAGTTGAGTACATACATCACAGATAAGTTTCTGAGAATGCTTCTGTCTAGTTTTTATGGGAGGATATTTCCTTTTTCAACACAAGCCTGAATGCGCTCCGAATGGACACTTCCAGATATGACAAAAGGCGTGTTTCAAACCTGCTCTCTCAAAGGGAATGTTCAACTCTGTGACTTCAATGCAAACATCACAAAGAAGTTTCTGAGAATGCTGCTGTCTGCTTTTTACATGTATTCCCGTTTCCAACGAAATCCTCAAAGCTGCCCTAATATCCACTTGCATATTCCACAAAAAGAGTGTTGCAAAACTGCTCTCTCAAAAGAAAGCTTCAACTCTGTTAGCTGAGTAGATCCATCACAGAAAATTTTCTGACATTGCTTCTATCTAGATTTTCTTGGAAGATATTTCCATTTTCACCGTCGTCCTGAAAGCGCTCCAAATGTCCACTTCCAGGGAATGCAGAAAGAGTGTTTCCAACCTGCTCTATAAAAGGGAATGTTCAACACTGGGACTTCAATCGAAACATCCCAACGAAGTTTCTGAGAATGCTTCTGTCTAGAGTTTATATGAAGCCATTCCCGTTTGCAACGAAATCCTCAAAGCTATCCAAATATCCTCTTGCAGATTTTACAAAAAGAGTGTTTCAAAACTGCTCTATCAAAAGAAAGGTTCAACTCTGTTAGTTGAGGGCACACATCACAAACAAACTTCTGAGAATGCTTCTGTCTAGTTTTTACGGGAAGATATTTCCTTTTTCACCATAGGCCAGAAAGCGCTCCAAATGTCCTCATCCAGATACTACAAAAAGAGTGTTTCCAACCTGCTCTATGAAAGGGAATGCTCAACTCTGTGAATTGAATGCAGACATCACAAAGAAGTTTCTGAGAATGCTGCTGTCTCCTTTTTATATGTAATCCCGTTTCCAACGAAATCCTCAAAGCTAGCCAAATATCCACTTGCAGATTCCACGAAAACAGTGTTTCAAAACTGCTCCTTCAAAACGATGGTTCAATCCTGTTAGTTGAGCAAACACATCACAAATAAGTTTCTGAGAATGCTTCCGTCTAGTTTTTATGGGAAGATATTTCCTTTTTCAACATAGGCCTGAAAGCGCTCCAAATGTCCACTTCCAGATACTACAAAAAGAGTGTTTCAAATCTGCTCTATGAATGGGAATGTTCTACTCTGTGACTTGAATGCAACATCCCAAAGAAGTTTCTGAGAATGCTTCTGTCTAGTAGTTTATCTGAAGACATACCCGTTTCCAACGAAATCCTCAAAGCTATCCAAATATCCTCTTGCAGATTCTACAAAAAGTGTGTTTCAAAGCTGCTCTTTGCAAAGAAAGGTTCAACTCTGTCAGTAGAGGGCACACATCACGAACAAGTTTCTGAGAATGCTTCTGTCTAGTTTTTATGGGAAGATATTTCCTTTTTCACGTTAGGCCTGAAAGCACGCCAAATGTTCACTTATAGACACTACAAAAAGAGTGTTTCAAACCTGCTCTGTGAAAGGGAATGTTCAACACTGTGACTTCAATTGAAACATCCCAAAGAAGTTTCTGAGAATGCTTCTGTCTAGAGTTTATCTGAAGACATTCCCGTTTCCCAAGAAATCCTCAAAGCTATCCAAATATCCTCTTGCAGATTCTACAAAAAGAGTGTTTCAAAACTGCTCTTTGCAAAGAAAGGTTCAACTCTGTCAGTAGAGGGCACACATCACAAACAAGTTTCTGAGAATGCTTCTGTCTAGTTTTTATGGGAAGATATTTCCTTTTTCACCTTAGGCCTGAAAGCAATCCAAATGTTCACTTACAGACACTACAAAAAGTGTGTTTCAAACCTGCTCTGTGAAAGGGAGTGTTCAATTCTGTGACTTGAATGCAAACATCACAAAGTAGTTTCTGACAATGCTGCTGTCTGCTTTTTATACGTATTCCCGTTTCCAACGAAATCCTCCAAGCTGGCCTAATACCCACTTGCATATTCCACAAAAAGAGTGTTTCAAAACTGCTCTCTCAAAAGAAAGGTTCAACTCTGTTTGCTGAGTAGATACATCATGAAAAAAGTTCTGACATTGCTTCTATCTAGTTTTTATTGGAAGATATCTCCTTTTTCACCGTAGACCTGAAAGCGCTCCAAATGTCCACTTCCAGATAGTACAAAAAGAGTGTTTCAAACCTGCTCTATGAATGGGAATGTTCAACACTGTGACTTCAATTGAAACATCCCAAAGCAGTTTCTGAGAATGCTTCTGTCCAGAGTTTACATGAAGACATTCCCGTTTCCAACGAAATCCTCAAAGCTATCCAAATATCCTCTTGCAGATTTTACAAAAAGTGTGTTTCAGAACTGCTCTATCAAAACAAAGGTTCAACACTGTCAGTTGAGGGCACACATCACAAATAAGTTTCTGAGAATGCTTCTGTCTAGTTTTCATGGGAAGATATTTCCTTTTTCACCATAGGCCTGAAAGCGATCCAAATGTCCACATCCAGATACTACAAAAAGAGTGTTTCCAACCTGCTCTATGAAAGGGAATGTTCAACTCTGTGACTTGAATGCAAAAATCACAAAGAAGTTTCTGAGAATGCTGCTGTCTGCTTTTTGTATGTAATCCCGTTTCCAACGAAATCCTCCCAGCTAGCCAAATATCCACTTGCAGATTGCGCAAAAAGAGTGTTTCAAAACTGCTCCTTCAAAACGATGGTTTAGTTCTGTTAGTTGAGTACATACATCACAGATAAGTTTCTGAGAATGCTTCTGTCTAGTTTTTATGGGAGGATATTTCCTTTTTCAACACAAGCCTGAATGCCCTCCGAATGGACACTTCCAGATATGACAAAAGGCGTGTTTCAAACCTGCTCTCTCAAAGGGAATGTTCAACTCTGTGACTTCAATGCAAACATCACAAAGAAGTTTCTGAGAATGCTGCTGTCTGCTTTTTACATGTATTCCCGTTTCCAACGAAATCCTCAAAGCTGCCCTAATATCCACTTGCATATTCCACAAAAAGAGTGTTGCAAAACTGCTCTCTCAAAAGAAAGGTTCAACTCTGTTAGCTGAGTAGATCCATCACATAAAAGTTTCTGACATTGCTTCTATCTAGATTTTCTTGGAAGATATTTCCATTTTCACCGTCGTCCTGAAAGCGCTCCAAATGTCCACTTCCAGGGAATGCAGAAAGAGTGTTTCCAACCTGCTCTATAAAAGGGAATGTTCAACACTGGGACTTCAATCGAAACATCCCAACGAAGTTTCTGAGAATGTTTCTGTCTAGAGTTTATATGAAGCCATTCCCGTTTGCAACGAAATCCTCAAAGCTATCCAAATATCCTCTTGCAGATTTTACAAAAAGAGTGTTTCAAAACTGCTCTATCAAAAGAAAGGTTCAACTCTGTTAGTTGAGGGCACACATCACAAATAAATTTCTGAGAATGCTTCTGTCTAGTTTTTACGGGAAGATATTTCCTTTTTCACCATAGGCCTGAAAGCGCTCCAAATGTCCTCATCCAGATACTACACAAAGAGTGTTTCCAACCTGCTCTATGAAAGGGAATGCTCAACTCTGTGACTTGAATGCAGACATCACAAAGAAGTTTCTGAGAATGCTGCTGTCTCCTTTTTATATGTAATCCCGTTTCCAACGAAATCCTCAAAGCTAGCCAAATATCCACTTGCAGATTCCACGAAAACAGTGTTTCAAAACTGCTCCTTCAAAACGATGGTTCAATTCTGTTAGTTGAGCAAACACATCACAAGTAAGTTTCTGAGAATGCTTCCGTCTAGTTTTTATGGGAAGATATATCCTTTTTCAACATAGGCCTGAAAGCGCTCCAAATGTCCACTTCCAGATACTACAAAAAGAGTGTTTCAAATCTGCTCTATGAATGGGAATGTTCTACTCTGTGACTTGAATGCAACATCCCAAAGAAGTTTCTGAGAATTCTTTCTGTCTAGAGTTTATCTGAAGACATACCCGTTTCCAACGAAATCCTCAAAGCTATCCAAATATCCTCTTGCAGATTCTACAAAAAGAGTGTTTCAAAGCTGCTCTTTGCAAAGAAAGGTTCAACTCTGTCAGTAGAGGGCACACATCATGAACAAGTTTCTGAGAATGCTTCTGTCTAGTTTTTATGGGAAGATATTTCCTTTTTCACGTTAGGCCTGAAAGCACGCCAAATGTTCACTTATAGACACTACAAAAAGAGTGTTTCAAACCTGCTCTGTGAAAGGGAATGTTCAACACTGTGACTTCAATTGAAACATCCCAAAGAAGTTTCTGAGAATGCTTCTGTCTAGAGTTTATCTGAAGACATTCCCGTTTCCCAAGAAATCCTCAAAGCTATCCAAATATCCTCTTGCAGATTCTACAAAAAGAGTGTTTCAAAACTGCTCTTTGCAAAGAAAGGTTCAACTCTGTCAGTAGAGGGCACACATCACAAACAAGTTTCTGAGAATGCTTCTGTCTAGTTTTTATGGGAAGATATTTCCTTTTTCACCTTAGGCCTGAAAGCAATCCAAATGTTCACTTACAGACACTACAAAAAGCGTGTTTCAAACCTGCTCTGTGAAAGGGAGTGTTCAATTCTGTGACTTGAATGCAAACATCACAAAGTAGTTTCTGACAATGCTGCTGTCTGCTTTTTATACGTATTCCCGTTTCCAACGAAATCCTCCAAGCTGGCCTAATACCCACTTGCATATTCCACAAAAAGAGTGTTTCAAAACTGCTCTCTCAAAAGAAAGGTTCAACTCTGTTTGCTGAGTAGATACATCATGAAAAAAGTTCTGACATTGCTTCTATCTAGTTTTTATTGGAAGATATCTCCTTTTTCACCGTAGACCTGAAAGCGCTCCAAATGTCCACTTCCAGATAGTACAAAAAGAGTGTTTCAAACCTGCTCTATGAAAGGGAATGTTCAACACTGGGACTTCAATTGAAACATCCCAAAGCAGTTTCTGAGAATGCTTCTGTGTAGAGTTTACATGAAGACATTCCCGTTTCCAACGAAATCCTCAAAGCTATCCAAATATCCTCTTGCAGATTTTACAAAAAGTGTGTTTCAGAACTGCTCTATCAAAACAAAGGTTCAACACTGTCAGTTGAGGGCACACATCACAAATAAGTTTCTGAGAATGCTTCTGTCTAGTTTTCATGGGAAGATATTTCCTTTTTCACCATAGGCCTGAAAGCGATCCAAATGTCCACATCCAGATACTACAAAAAGAGTGTTTCAAACCTGCTCTATGAAAGGGAATGTTCAACTCTGTGACTTGAATGCAAACATCACAAAGAAGTTTCTGAGAATGCTGCTGTCTGCTTTTTGTATGTAATCCCGTTTCCAACGAAATCCTCCCAGCTAGCCAAATATCCACTTGCAGATTCCGCAAAAAGAGTGTTTCAAAACTGCTCCTTCAAAACGATGGTTTAGTTCTGTTAGTTGAGTACATACATCACAGATAAGTTTCTGAGAATGCTTCTGTCTAGTTTTTATGGGAGGATATTTCCTTTTTCAACACAAGCCTGAATGCGCTCCGAATGGACACTTCCAGATATGACAAAAGGCGTGTTTCAAACCTGCTCTCTCAAAGGGAATGTTCAACTCTGTGACTTCAATGCAAACATCACAAAGAAGTTTCTGAGAATGCTGCTGTCTGCTTTTTACATGTATTCCCGTTTCCAACGAAATCCTCAAAGCTGCCCTAATATCCACTTGCATATTCCACAAAAAGAGTGTTGCAAAACTGCTCTCTCAAAAGAAAGGTTCAACTCTGTTAGCTGAGTAGATCCATCACATAAAAGTTTCTGACATTGCTTCTATCTAGATTTTCTTGGAAGATATTTCCATTTTCACCGTCGTCCTGAAAGCGCTCCAAATGTCCACTTCCAGGGAATGCAGAAAGAGTGTTTCCAACCTGCTCTATAAAAGGGAATGTTCAACACTGGGACTTCAATCGAAACATCCCAACGAAGTTTCTGAGAATGCTTCTGTCTAGAGTTTATATGAAGCCATTCCCGTTTGCAACGAAATCCTCAAAGCTCTCCAAATATCCTCTTGCAGATTTTACAAAAAGAGTGTTTCAAAACTGCTCTATCAAAAGAAAGGTTCAACTCTGTTAGTTGAGGGCACACATCACAAATAAATTTCTGAGAATGCTTCTGTCTAGTTTTTACGGGAAGATATTTCCTTTATCACCATACGCCTGAACGCGCTCCAAATGTCCTCATCCAGATACTACAAAAAGAGTGTTTCAAACCTGCTCCATGAAAGGGATTGCTCAACTCTGTGACTTGAATGCAGACATCACAAAGAAGTTTCTGAGAATGCTGCTGTCTCCTTTTTATATGTAATCCCGTTTCCAACGAAATCCTCAAAGCTAGCCAAATATCCACTTGCAGATTCCACGAAAACAGTGTTTCAAAACTGCTCCTTCAAAACGATGGTTCAATCCTGTTACTTGAGCAAACACATCACAAATAAGTTTCTGAGAATGCTTCCGTCTAGTTTTTATGGGAAGATATTTCCTTTTTCAACATAGGCCTGAAAGCGCTCCAAATGTCCACTTCCAGATACTACAAAAAGAGTGTTTCAAATCTGCTCTATGAATGGGAATGTTCTACTCTGTGACTTGAATGCAACATCCCAAAGAAGTTTCTGAGAATGCTTCTGTCTAGAGTTTATCTGAAGACATACCCGTTTCCAACGAAATCCTCCAAGCTATCCAAATATCCTCTTGCAGATTCTACAAAAAGAGTGTTTCAAAGCTGCTCTTTGCAAAGAAAGGTTCAACTCTGTCAGTAGAGGGGACACATCAAGAACAAGTTTCTGAGAATGCTTCTGTCTGGTTTTTATGGGAAGATATTTCCTTTTTCACGTTACGCCTGAAAGCACGCCAAATGTTCACTTATAGACACTACAAAAAGAGTGTTTCAAACCTGCTCTGTGAAAGGGAATGTTCAACACTGTGACTTCAATTGAAACATCCCAAAGAAGTTTCTGAGAATGCTTCTGTCTAGAGTTTATCTGAAGACATTCCCGTTTCCCAAGAAATCCTCAAAGCTATCCAAATATCCTCTTGCAGATTCTACAAAAAGAGTGTTTCAAAACTGCTCTTTGCAAAGAAAGGTTCAACTCTGTCAGTAGAGGGCACACATCACAAACAAGTTTCTGAGAATGCTTCTGTCTAGTTTTTATGGGAAGATATTTCCTTTTTCACCTTAGGCCTGAAAGCAATCCATATGTTCACTTACAGACACTACAAAAAGAGTGTTTCAAACCTGCTCTGTGAAAGGGAGTGTTCAATTCTGTGACTTGAATGCAAACATCACAAAGTAGTTTCTGACAATGCTGCTGTCTGCTTTTTATACGTATTCCCGTTTCCAACGAAATCCTCCAAGCTGGCCTAATACCCACTTGCATATTCCACAAAAAGAGTGTTTCAAAACTGCTCTCTCAAAAGAAAGGTTCAACTCTGTTTGCTGAGTAGATACATCATGAAAAAAGTTCTGACATTGCTTCTATCTAGTTTTTATTGGAAGATATCTCCTTTTTCACCGTAGACCTGAAAGCGCTCCAAATGTCCACTTCCAGATAGTACAAAAAGAGTGTTTCAAACCTGCTCTATGAAAGGGAATGTTCAACACTGGGACTTCAATTGAAACATCCCAAAGCAGTTTCTGAGAATGCTTCTGTGTAGAGTTTACATGAAGACATTCCCGTTTCCAACGAAATCCTCAAAGCTATCCAAATATCCTCTTGCAGATTTTACAAAAAGTGTTTTTCAGAACTGCTCTATCAAAACAAAGGTTCAACACTGTCAGTTGAGGGCACACATCACCAATAAGTTTCTGAGAATGCTTCTGTCTAGTTTTCATGGGAAGATATTTCCTTTTTCACCATAGGCCTGAAAGCGATCCAAATGTCCACATCCAGATACTACAAAAAGAGTGTTTCAAACCTGCTCTATGAAAGGGAATGTTCAACTCTGTGACTTGAATGCAAACATCACAAAGAAGTTTCTGAGAATGCTGCTGTCTGCTTTTTGTATGTAATCCCGTTTCCAACGAAATCCTCCCAGCTAGCCAAATATCCACTTGCAGATTCCGCAAAAAGAGTGTTTCAAAACTGCTCCTTCAAAACGATGGTTTAGTTCTGTTAGTTGAGTACATATATCACAGATAAGTTTCTGAGAATGCTTCCGTCCTAGTTTTTATGGGAGGATATTTCCTTTTTCAACACAAGCCTGAATGCGCTCCGAATGGACACTTCCAGATATGACAAAAGGCGTGTTTCAAACCTGCTCTCTCAAAGGGAATGTTCAACTCTGTGACTTCAATGCAAACATCACAAAGAAGTTTCTGAGAATGCTGCTGTCTGCTTTTTACATGTATTCCCGTTTCCAACGAAATCCTCAAAGCTGCCCTAATATCCACTTGCATATTCCACAAAAAGAGTGTTGCAAAACTGCTCTCTCAAAAGAAAGGTTCAACTCTGTTAGCTGAGTAGATCCATCACATAAAAGTTTCTGACATTGCTTCTATCTAGATTTTCTTGGAAGATATTTCCATTTTCACCGTCGTCCTGAAAGCGCTCCAAATGTCCACTTCCAGGGAATGCAGAAAGAGTGTTTCCAACCTGCTCTATAAAAGGGAATGTTCAACACTGGGACTTCAATCGAAACATCCCAACGAAGTTTCTGAGAATGCTTCTGTCTAGAGTTTATATGAAGCCATTCCCGTTCGCAACGAAATCCTCAAAGCTATCCAAATATCCTCTTGCAGATTTTACAAAAAGAGTGTTTCAAAACTGCTCTATCAAAAGAAAGGTTCAACTCTGTTAGTTGAGGGCACACATCACAAATAAACTTCTGAGAATGCTTCTGTCTAGTTTTTACGGGAAGATATTTCCTTTTTCACCATACGCCTGAAAGCGCTCCAAATGTCCTCATCCAGATACTACAAAAAGAGTGTTTCCAACCTGCTCTATGAAAGGGAATGCTCAACTCTGTGAATTGAATGCAGACATCACAAAGAAGTTTCTGAGAATGCTGCTGTCTCCTTTTTATATGTAATCCCGTTTCCAACGAAATCCTCAAAGCTAGCCAAATATCCACTTGCAGATTCCACGAAAACAGTGTTTCAAAACTGCTCCTTCAAAACGATGGTTCAATCCTGTTAGTTGAGCAAACACATCACAAATAAGTTTCTGAGAATGCTTCCGTCTAGTTTTTATGGGAAGATATTTCCTTTTTCAACATAGGCCTGAAAGCGCTCCAAATGTCCACTTCCAGATACTACAAAAAGAGTGTTTCAAATCTGCTCTATGAATGGGAATGTTCTACTCTGTGACTTGAATGCAACATCCCAAAGAAGTTTCTGAGAATGCTTCTGTCTAGAGTTTATCTGAAGACATACCCGTTTCCAACGAAATCCTCCAAGCTATCCAAATATCCTCTTGCAGATTCTACAAAAAGAGTGTTTCAAAGCTGCTCTTTGCAAAGAAAGGTTCAACTCTGTCAGTAGAGGGCACACATCACGAACAAGTTTCTGAGAATGCTTCTGTCTAGTTTTTATGGGAAGATATTTCCTTTTTCACGTTAGGCCTGAAAGCACGCCAAATGTTCACTTATAGACACTACAAAAAGAGTGTTTCAAACCTGCTCTGTGAAAGGGAATGTTCAACACTGTGACTTCAATTGAAACATCCCAAAGAAGTTTCTGAGAATGCTTCTGTCTAGAGTTTATCTGAAGACATTCCCGTTTCCCAAGAAATCCTCAAAGCTATCCAAATATCCTCTTGCAGATTCTACAAAAAGAGTGTTTCAAAACTGCTCTTTGCAAAGAAAGGTTCAACTCTGTCAGTAGAGGGCACACATCACAAACAAGTTTCTGAGAATGCTTCTGTCTAGTTTTTATGGGAAGATATTTCCTTTTTCACCTTAGGCCTGAAAGCAATCCAAATGTTCACTTACAGACACTACAAAAAGAGTGTTTCAAACCTGCTCTGTGAAAGGGAGTGTTCAATTCTGTGACTTGAATGCAAACATCACAAAGTAGTTTCTGACAATGCTGCTGTCTGCTTTTTATACGTATTCCCGTTTCCAACGAAATCCTCCAAGCTGGCCTAATACCCACTTGCATATTCCACAAAAAGAGTGTTTCAAAACTGCTCTCTCAAAAGAAAGGTTCAACTCTGTTTGCTGAGTAGATACATCATGAAAAAAGTTCTGACATTGCTTCTATCTAGTTTTTATTGGAAGATATCTCCTTTTTCACCGTAGACCTGAAAGCGCTCCAAATGTCCACTTCCAGATAGTACAAAAAGAGTGTTTCAAACCTGCTCTATGAATGGGAATGTTCAACACTGGGACTTCAATCGAAACATCCCAACGAAGTTTCTGAGAATGCTTCTGTCTAGAGTTTATATGAAGCCATTCCCGTTTGCAACGAAATCCTCAAAGCTATCCAAATATCCTCTTGCAGATTTTACAAAAAGAGTGTTTCAAAACTGCTCTATCAAAAGAAAGGTTCAACTCTGTTAGTTGAGGGCACACATCAGAAATATACTTCTGAGAATGCTTCTGTCTTGTTTTTACGGGAAGATATTTCCTTTTTCACCATACGCCTGAAAGCGCTCCAAATGTCCTCATCCAGATACTACAAAAAGAGTGTTTCAAACCTGCTCTATGAAAGGGAATGTTCAACACTGGGACTTCAATTGAAACATCCCAAAGCAGTTTCTGAGAATGCTTCTGTCTAGAGTTTACATGAAGACATTCCCGTTTCCAACGAAATCCTCAAAGCTATCCAAATATCCTCTTGCAGATTTTACAAAAAGTGTGTTTCAGAACTGCTCTATCAAAACAAAGGTTCAACACTGTCAGTTGAGGGCACACATCACAAATAAGTTTCTGAGAATGCTGCTGTCTGCTTTTTGTATGTAATCCCGTTTCCAACGAAATCCTCCCAGCTAGCCAAATATCCACTTGCAGATTCCGCAAAAAGAGTGTTTCAAAACTGCTCCTTCAAAACGATGGTTTAGTTCTGTTACTTGAGTACATACATCACAAATAAGTTTCTGAGAATGCTTCTGTCTAGTTTTTATGGGAGGATATTTCCTTTTTCAACACAAGCCTGAATGCGCTCCGAATGGACACTTCCAGATATGACAAAAGGTGTGTTTCAAACCTGCTCTCTCAAAGGGAATGTTCAACTCTGTGACTTCAATGCAAACATCACAAAGAAGTTTCTGAGAATGCTGCTGTCTGCTTTTTACATGTATTCCCGTTTCCAACGAAATCCTCAAAGCTGCCCTAATATCCACTTGCATATTCCACAAAAAGAGTGTTGCAAAACTGCTCTCTCAAAAGAAAGGTTCAACTCTGTTAGCTGAGTAGATCCATCACAGAAAAGTTTCTGACGTTGCTTCTATCTAGATTTTCTTGGAAGATATTTCCATTTTCACCGTCGTCCTGAAAGCGCTCCAAATGTCCACTTCCAGGGAATGCAGAAAGAGTGTTTCCAACCTGCTCTATAAAAGGGAATGTTCAACACTGGGACTTCAATCGAAACATCCCAACGAAGTTTCTGAGAATGCTTCTGTCTAGAGTTTATATGAAGCCATTCCCGTTTGCAACGAAATCCTCAAAGCTATCCAAATATCCTCTTGCAGATTTTACAAAAAGAGTGTTTCAAAACTGCTCTATCAAAAGAAAGGTTCAACTCTGTTAGTTGAGGGCACACATCACAAATAAATTTCTGAGAATGCTTCTGTCTAGTTTTTACGGGAAGATATTTCCTTTTTCACCATAGGCCTGAAAGCGCTCCAAATGTCCTCATCCAGATACTACAAAAAGAGTGTTTCCAACCTGCTCTATGAAAGGGAATGCTCAACTCTGTGACTTGAATGCAGACATCACAAAGAAGTTTCTGAGAATGCTGCTGTCTCCTTTTTATATGTAATCCCGTTTCCAACGAAATCCTCAAAGCTAGCCAAATATCCACTTGCAGATTCCACGAAAACAGTGTTTCAAAACTGCTCCTTCAAAACGATGGTTCAATTCTGTTAGTTGAGCAAACACATCACAAGTAAGTTTCTGAGAATGCTTCCGTCTAGTTTTTATGGGAAGATATTTCCTTTTTCAACATAGGCCTGAAAGCGCTCCAAATGTCCACTTCCAGATACTACAAAAAGAGTGTTTCAAATCTGCTCTATGAATGGGAATGTTCTACTCTGTGACTTGAATGCAACATCCCAAAGAAGTTTCTGAGAATGCTTCTGTCTAGAGTTTATCTGAAGACATACCCGTTTCCAACGAAATCCTCAAAGCTATCCAAATATCCTCTTGCAGATTCTACAAAAAGAGTGTTTCAAAGCTGCTCTTTGCAAAGAAAGGTTCAACTCTGTCAGTAGAGGGCACACATCACGAACAAGTTTCTGAGAATGCTTCTGTCTAGTTTTTATGGGAAGATATTTCCTTTTTCACCTTAGGCCTGAAAGCACGCCAAATGTTCACTTATAGACACTACAAAAAGAGTGTTTCAAACCTGCTCTGTGAAAGGGAGTGTTCAATTCTGTGACTTGAATGCAAACATCACAAAGTAGTTTCTGACAATGCTGCTGTCTGCTTTTTATACGTATTCCCGTTTCCAACGAAATCCTCCAAGCTGGCCTAATACCCACTTGCATATTCCACAAAAAGAGTGTTTCAAAACTGCTCTCTCAAAAGAAAGGTTCAACTCTGTTAGCTGAGTAGATACATCATGAAAAAAGTTCTGACATTGCTTCTATCTAGTTTTTATTGGAAGATATCTCCTTTTTCACCGTAGACCTGAAAGCGCTCCAAATGTCCACTTCCAGATAGTACAAAAAGAGTGTTTCAAACCTGCTCTATGAATGGGAATGTTCAACACTGGGACTTCAATTGAAACATCCCAAAGCAGTTTCTGAGAATGCTTCTGTGTAGAGTTTACATGAAGACATTCCCGTTTCCAACGAAATCCTCAAAGCTATCCAAATATCCTCTTGCAGATTTTACAAAAAGTGTGTTTCAGAACTGCTCTATCAAAACAAAGGTTCAACACTGTCAGTTGAGGGCACACATCACAAATAAGTTTCTGAGAATGCTTCTGTCTAGTTTTCATGGGAAGATATTTCCTTTTTCACCATAGGCCTGAAAGCGATCCAAATGTCCACATCCAGATACTACAAAAAGAGTGTTTCAAACCTGCTCTATGAAAGGGAATGTTCAACTCTGTGACTTGAATGCAAACATCACAAAGAAGTTTCTGAGAATGCTGCTGTCTGCTTTTTGTATGTAATCCCGTTTCCAACGAAATCCTCCCAGCTAGCCAAATATCCACTTGCAGATTCCGCAAAAAGAGTGTTTCAAAACTGCTCCTTCAAAACGATGGTTTAGTTCTGTTAGTTGAGTACATACATCACAGATAAGTTTCTGAGAATGCTTCTGTCTAGTTTTTCTGGGAGGATATTTCCTTTTTCAACACAAGCCTGAATGCGCTCCGAATGGACACTTCCAGATATGACAAAAGGCGTGTTTCAAACCTGCTCTCTCAAAGGGAATGTTCAACTCTGTGACTTCAATACAAACATCACAAAGAAGTTTCTGAGAATGCTGCTGTCTGCTTTTTACATGTATTCCCGTTTCCAACGAAATCCTCAAAGCTGCCCTAATATCCACTTGCATATTCCACAAAAAGAGTGTTGCAAAACTGCTCTCTCAAAAGAAAGGTTCAACTCTGTTAGCTGAGTAGATCCATCACAGAAAAGTTTCTGACATTGCTTCTATCTAGATTTTCTTGGAAGATATTTCCATTTTCACCGTCGTCCTGAAAGCGCTCCAAATGTCCACTTCCAGGGAATGCAGAAAGAGTGTTTCCAACCTGCTCTATAAAAGGGAATGTTCAACACTGGGACTTCAATCGAAACATCCCAACGAAGTTTCTGAGAATGCTTCTGTCTAGAGTTTATATGAAGCCATTCCCGTTTGCAACGAAATCCTCAAAGCTATCCAAATATCCTCTTGCAGATTTTACAAAAAGAGTGTTTCAAAACTGCTCTATCAAAAGAAAGGTTCAACTCTGTTAGTTGAGGGCACACATCACAAATAAATTTCTGAGAATGGTTCTGTCTAGTTTTTACGGGAAGATATTTCCTTTTTCACCATACGCCTGAAAGCGCTCCAAATGTCCTCATCCAGATACTACAAAAAGAGTGTTTCCAACCTGCTCTATGAAAGGGAATGCTCAACTCTGTGACTTGAATGCAGACATCACAAAGAAGTTTCTGAGAATGCTGCTGTCTCCTTTTTATATGTAATCCCGTTTCCAACGAAATCCTCAAAGCTAGCCAAATATCCACTTGCAGATTCCACGAAAACAGTGTTTCAAAACTGCTCCTTCAAAACGATGGTTCAATTCTGTTAGTTGAGCAAACACATCACAAGTAAGTTTCTGAGAATGCTTCCGTCTAGTTTTTATGGGAAGATATTTCCTTTTTCAACATAGGCCTGAAAGCGCTCCAAATGTCCACTGCCAGATACTACAAAAAGATTGTTTCAAATCTGCTCTATGAATGGGTATGTTCTACTCTGTGACTTGAATGCAACATCCCAAAGAAGTTTCTGAGAATGCTTCTGTCTAGAGTTTATCTGAAGACATACCCGTTTCCAACGAAATCCTCAAAGCTATCCAAATATCCTCTTGCAGATTCTACAAAAAGAGTGTTTCAAAGCTGCTCTTTGCAAAGAAAGGTTCAACTCTGTCAGTAGAGGGCACACATCACGAACAAGTTTCTGAGAATGCTTCTGTCTAGTTTTTATGGGAAGATATTTCCTTTTTCACGTTAGGCCTGAAAGCACGCCAAATGTTCACTTATAGACACTACAAAAAGAGTGTTTGAAACCTGCTCTGTGAAAGGGAATGTTCAACACTGTGACTTCAATTGAAACATCCCAAAGAAGTTTCTGAGAATGCTTCTGTCTAGAGTTTATCTGAAGACATTCCCGTTTCCCAAGAAATCCTCAAAGCTATCCAAATATCCTCTTGCAGATTCTACAAAAAGAGTGTTTCAAAACTGCTCTTTGCAAAGAAAGGTTCAACTCTGTCAGTAGAGGGCACACATCACAAACAAGTTTCTGAGAATGCTTCTGTCTAGTTTTTATGGGAAGATATTTCCTTTTTCACCTTAGGCCTGAAAGCAATGCAAATGTTCACTTACAGACACTACAAAAAGAGTGTTTCAAACCTGCTCTGTGAAAGGGAGTGTTCAATTCTGTGACTTGAATGCAAACATCACAAAGTAGTTTCTGACAATGCTGCTGTCTGCTTTTTATACGTATTCCCGTTTCCAACGAAATCCTCCAAGCTGGCCTAATACCCACTTGCATATTCCACAAAGACAGTGTCAAAACTGCTCTCTCAAAAGAAAGGTTCAACTCTGTTTGCTGAGTAGATACATCATGAAAAAAGTTCTGACATTGCTTCTATCTAGTTTTTATTGTAAGATATCTCCTTTTTCACCGTAGACCTGAAAGCGCTCCAAATGTCCACTTCCAGATAGTAGAAAAAGAGTGTTTCAAACCTGCTCTATGAATGGGAATGTTCAACACTGGGAATTCAATTGAAACATCCCAAAGCAGTTTCTGAGAATGCTTCTGTCTAGAGTTTACATGAAGACATTCCCGTTTCCAACGAAATCCTCAAAGCTATCCAAATATCCTCTTGCAGATTTTACAAAAATTGTGTTTCAGAACTGCTCTATCAAAACAAAGGTTCAACACTGTCAGTTGAGTGCACACATCACAAATAAGTTTCTGAGAATGCTTCTGTCTAGTTTTCATGGGAAGATATTTCCTTTTTCACCATAGGCCTGAAAGCGATCCAAATGTCCACATCCAGATACTACAAAAAGAGTGTTTCCAACCTGCTCTATGAAAGGGAATGCTCAACTCTGTGAATTGAATGCAGACATCACAAAGAAGTTTCTGAGAATGCTGCTGTCTCCTTTTTATATGTAATCCCGTTTCCAACGAAATCCTCAAAGCTAGCCAAATATCCACTTGCAGATTCCACGAAAACAGTGTTTCAAAACTGCTCCTTCAAAACGATGGTTCAATCCTGTTAGTTGAGCAAACACATCACAATTAAGTTTCTGAGAATGCTTCCGTCTAGTTTTTATGGGAAGATATTTCCTTTTTCAACATAGGCCTGAAAGCGCTCCAAATGTCCACTTCCAGATACTACAAAAAGAGTGTTTCAAATCTGCTCTATGAATGGAAATGTTCTACTCTGTGACTTGAATGCAACATCCCAAAGAAGTTTCTGAGAATGCTTCTGTCTAGAGTTTATCTGAAGACATACCAGTTTCCAACGAAATCCTCAAAGCTATCCAAATATCCTCTTGCAGATTCTACAAAAAGAGTGTTTCAAAGCTGCTCTTTGCAAGGAAAGGTTCAACTCTGTCAGTAGAGGGCACACATCACAAACAAGTTTCTGAGAATGCTTCTGTCTAGTTTTTATGGGAAGATATTTCCTTTTTCACGTTAGGCCTGAAAGCACGCCAAATGTTCACTTATAGACACTACAAAAAGAGTGTTTCAAACCTGCTCCTGTGAAAGGGAATGTTCAACACTGTGACTTCAATTGAAACATCCCAAAGAAGTTTCTGAGAATGCTTCTGTCTAGAGTTTATCTGAAGACATTCCCGTTTCCCAAGAAATCCTCAAAGCTATCCAAATATCCTCTTGCAGATTCTACAAAAAGAGTGTTTCAAAACTGCTCTTTGCAAAGAAAGGTTCAACTCTGTCAGTAGAGGGCACACATCACAAACAAGTTTCTGAGAATGCTTCTGTCTAGTTTTTATGGGAAGATATTTCCTTTTTCACCTTAGGCCTGAAAGCAATCCATATGTTCACTTACAGACACTACAAAAAGAGTGTTTCAAACCTGCTCTGTGAAAGGGAGTGTTCAATTCTGTGACTTGAATGCAAACATCACAAAGTAGTTTCTGACAATGCTGCTGTCTGCTTTTTATACGTATTCCCGTTTCCAACGAAATCCTCCAAGCTGGCCTAATACCCACTTGCATATTCCACACAAAGAGTGTTTCAAAACTGCTCTCTCAAAAGAAAGGTTCAACTCTGTTAGCTGAGTAGATACATCATGAAAAAAGTTCTGACATTGCTTCTATCTAGTTTTTATTGGAAGATATCTCCTTTTTCACCGTAGACCTGAAAGCGCTCCAAATGTCCACTTCCAGATAGTACAAAAAGAGTGTTTCAAACCTGCTCTATGAATGGGAATGTTCAACACTGGGACTTCAATTGAAACATCCCAAAGCAGTTTCTGAGAATGCTTCTGTGTAGAGTTTACATGAAGACATTCCCGTTTCCAACGAAATCCTCAAAGCTATCCAAATATCCTCTTGCAGATTTTACAAAAAGTGTGTTTCAGAACTGCTCTATCAAAACAAAGGTTCAACACTGTCAGTTGAGGGCACACATCACAAATAAGTTTCTGAGAATGCTTCTGTCTAGTTTTCATGGGAAGATATTTCCTTTTTCACCATAGGCCTGAAAGCGATCCAAATGTCCACATCCAGATACTACAAAAAGAGTGTTTCAAACCTGCTCTATGAAAGGGAATGTTCAACTCTGTGACTTGAATGCAAACATCACAAAGAAGTTTCTGAGAATGCTGCTGTCTGCTTTTTGTATGTAATCCCGTTTCCAACGAAATCCTCCCAGCTAGCCAAATATCCACTTGCAGATTCCGCAAAAAGAGTGTTTCAAAACTGCTCCTTCAAAACGATGGTTTAGTTCTGTTAGTTGAGTACATACATCACAGATAAGTTTCTGAGAATGCTTCTGTCTAGTTTTTATGGGAGGATATTTCCTTTTTCAACACAAGCCTGAATGCGCTCCGAATGGACACTTCCAGATATGACAAAAGGCGTGTTTCAAACCTGCTCTCTCAAAGGGAATGTTCAACTCTGTGACTTCAATGCAAACATCACAAAGAAGTTTCTGAGAATGCTGCTGTCTGCTTTTTACATGTATTCCCGTTTCCAACGAAATCCTCAAAGCTGCCCTAATATCCACTTGCATATTCCACAAAAAGAGTGTTGCAAAACTGCTCTCTCAAAAGAAAGGTTCAACTCTGTTAGCTGAGTAGATCCATCACATAAAAGTTTCTGACGTTGCTTCTATCTAGATTTTCTTGGAAGATATTTCCATTTTCACCGTCGTCCTGAAAGCGCTCCAAATGTCCACTTCCAGGGAATGCAGAAAGAGTGTTTCCAACCTGCTCTATAAAAGGGAATGTTCAACACTGGGACTTCAATCGAAACATCCCAACGAAGTTTCTGAGAATGCTTCTGTCTAGAGTTTATATGAAGCCATTCCCGTTTGCAACGAAATCCTCAAAGCTATCCAAATATCCTGTTGCAGATTTTACAAAAAGAGTGTTTCAAAACTGCTCTATCAAAAGAATGGTCCAACTCTGTTAGTTGAGGGCACACATCACAAATAAACTTCTGAGAATGCTTCTGTCTAGTTTTTACGGGAAGATATTTCCCTTTTCACCATACGCCTGAAAGCGCTCCAAATGTCCTCATCCAGATACTACAAAAAGAGTGTTTCCAACCTGCTCTATGAAAGGGAATGCTCAACTCTGTGAATTGAATGCAGACATCACAAAGAAGTTTCTGAGAATGCTGCTGTCTCCTTTTTATATGTAATCCCGTTTCCAACGAAATCCTCAAAGCTAGCCAAATATCCACTTGCAGATTCCACGAAAACAGTGTTTCAAAACTGCTCCTTCAAAACGATGGTTCAATCCTGTTAGTTGAGCAAACTCATCACAATTAAGTTTCTGAGAATGCTTCCGTCTAGTTTTTATAGGAAGATATTTCCTTTTTCAACATAGGCCTGAAAGCGCTCCAAATGTCCACTTCCAGATAGTACAAAAAGAGTGTTTCAAATCTGCTCTATGAATGGGAATGTTCTACTCTGTGACTTGCATGCAACATCCCAAAGAAATTTCTGAGAATGCTTCTGTCTAGAGTTTATCTGAAGACATACCCGTTTCCAACGAAATCCTCAAAGCTATCCACATATCCTCTTGCAGATTCTACAAAAAGAGTGTTTCAAAGCTGCTCTTTGCAAAGAAAGGTTCAACTCTGTCAGTAGAGGGCACACATCACAAACAAGTTTCTGAGAATGCTTCTGTCTAGTTTTTATGGGAAGATATTTCCTTTTTCACGTTAGGCCTGAAAGCACGCGAAATATTCACTTATACACACTACAAAAAGAGTGTTTCAAACCTGCTCTGTGAAAGGGAATGTTCAACACTGTGACTTCAATTGAAACATCCCAAAGAAGTTTCTGAGAATGCTTCTGTCTAGAGTTTATCTGAAGACATTCCCGTTTCCCAAGAAATCTTCAAAGCTATCCAAATATCCTCTTGCAGATTCTACAAAAAGAGTGTTTCAAAACTGCTCTTTGCAAAGAAAGGTTCAAATCTGTCAGTAGAGGGCACACATCACAAACAAGTTTCTGAGAATGCTTCTGTCTAGTTTTTATGGGAAGATATTTCCTTTTTCACCTTAGGCCTGAAAGCAATCCATATGTTCACTTACAGACACTACAAAAAGAGTGTTTCAAACCTGCTCTGTGAAAGGGAGTGTTCAATTCTGTGACTTGAATGCAAACATCACAAAGTAGTTTCTGACAATGCTGCTGTCTGCTTTTTATACGTATTCCCGTTTCCAACGAAATCCTCCAAGCTGGCCTAATACCCACTTGCATATTCCACAAAAAGAGTGTTTCAAAACTGCTCTCTCAAAAGAAAGGTTCAACTCTGTGTGCTGAGTAGATACATCATGAAAAAAGTTCTGACATTGCTTCTATCTAGTTTTTATTGGAAGATATCTCCTTTTTCACCGTAGACCTGAAAGCGCTCCAAATGTCCACTTCCAGATAGTACAAAAAGAGTGTTTCAAACCTGCTCTATGAATGGGAATGTTCAACACTGGGACTTCAATTGAAACATCCCAAAGCAGTTTCTGAGAATGCTTCTGTGTAGAGTTTACATGAAGACATTCCCGTTTCCAACGAAATCCTCAAAGCTATCCAAATATCCTCTTGCAGATTTTACAAAAAGTGTGTTTCAGAACTGCTCTATCAAAACAAAGGTTCAACACTGTCAGTTGAGGGCACACATCACAAATAAGTTTCTGAGAATGCTTCTGTCTAGTTTTCATGGGAAGATATTTCCTTTTTCACCATAGGCCTGAAAGCGATCCAAATGTCCACATCCAGATACTACAAAAAGAGTGTTTCAAACCTGCTCTATGAAAGGGAATGTTCAACTCTGTGACTTGAATGCAAACATCACAAAGAAGTTTCTGAGAATGCTGCTGTCTGCTTTTTGTATGTAATCCCGTTTCCAACGAAATCCTCCCAGCTAGCCAAATATCCACTTGCAGATTCCGCAAAAAGAGTGTTTCAAAACTGCTCCTTCAAAACGATGGTTTAGTTCTGTTAGTTGAGTACATACATCACAGATAAGTTTCTGAGAATGCTTCTGTCTAGTTTTTATGGGAGGATATTTCCTTTTTCAACACAAGCCTGAATGCGCTCCGAATGGACACTTCCAGATATGACAAAAGGCGTGTTTCAAACCTGCTCTCTCAAAGGGAATGTTCAACTCTGTGACTTCAATGCAAACATCACAAAGAAGTTTCTGAGAATGCTGCTGTCTGCTTTTTACATGTATTCCCGTTTCCAACGAAATCCTCAAAGCTGCCCTAATATCCACTTGCATATTCCACAAAAAGAGTGTTGCAAAACTGCTCTCTCAAAAGAAAGGTTCAACTCTGTTAGCTGAGTAGATCCATCACATAAAAGTTTCTGACATTGCTTCTATCTAGATTTTCTTGGAAGATATTTCCATTTTCACCGTCGTCCTGAAAGCGCTCCAAATGTCCACTTCCAGGGAATGCAGAAAGAGTGTTTCCAACCTGCTCTATAAAAGGGAATGTTCAACACTGGGACTTCAATCGAAACATCCCAACGAAGTTTCTGAGAATGCTTCTGTCTAGAGTTTATATGAAGCCATTCCCGTTTGCAACGAAATCCTCAAAGCTATCCAAATATCCTCTTGCAGATTTTACAAAAAGAGTGTTTCAAAACTGCTCTATCAAAAGAAAGGTTCAACTCTGTTAGTTGAGGGCACACATCACAAATAAACTTCTGAGAATGCTTCTGTCTAGTTTTTACGGGAAGATATTTCCTTTTTCACCATACGCCTGAAAGCGCTCCAAATGTCCTCATCCAGATACTACAAAAAGAGTGTTTCCAACCTGCTCTATGAAAGGGAATGCTCAACTCTGTGAATTGAATGCAGACATCACAAAGAAGTTTCTGAGAATGCTGCTGTCTCCTTTTTATATGTAATCCCGTTTCCAACGAAATCCTCAAAGCTAGCCAAATATCCACTTGCAGATTCCACGAAAACAGTGTTTCAAAACTGCTCCTTCAAAACGATGGTTCAATTCTGTTAGTTGAGCAAACACATCACAAGTAAGTTTCTGAGAATGCTTCCGTCTAGTTTTTATGGGAAGATATTTCCTTTTTCAACATAGGCCTGAAAGCGCTCCAAATGTCCACTTCCAGATACTACAAAAAGAGTGTTTCAAATCTGCTCTATGAATGGGAATGTTCTACTCTGTGACTTGAATGCAACATCCCAAAGAAGTTTCTGAGAATGCTTCTGTCTAGAGTTTATCTGAAGACATACCCGTTTCCAACGAAATCCTCAAAGCTATCCAAATATCCTCTTGCAGATTCTACAAAAAGAGTGTTTCAAAGCTGCTCTTTGCAAAGAAAGGTTCAACTCTGTCAGTAGAGGGCACACATCATGAACAAGTTTCTGAGAATGCTTCTGTCTAGTTTTTATGGGAAGATATTTCCTTTTTCACGTTAGGCCTGAAAGCACGCCAAATGTTCACTTATAGACACTACAAAAAGAGTGTTTCAAACCTGCTCTGTGAAAGGGAATGTTCAACACTGTGACTTCAATTGAAACATCCCAAAGAAGTTTCTGAGAATGCTTCTGTCTAGAGTTTATCTGAAGACATTCCCGTTTCCCAAGAAATCTTCAAAGCTATCCAAATATCCTCTTGCAGATTCTACAAAAAGAGTGTTTCAAAACTGCTCTTTGCAAAGAAAGGTTCAACTCTGTCAGTAGAGGGCACACATCACAAACAAGTTTCTGAGAATGCTTCTGTCTAGTTTTTATGGGAAGATATTTCCTTTTTCACCTTAGGCCTGAAAGCAATCCATATGTTCACTTACAGACACTACAAAAAGAGTGTTTCAAACCTGTTCTGTGAAAGGGAGTGTTCAATTCTGTGACTTGAATGCAAACATCACAAAGTAGTTTCTGACAATGCTGCTGTCTGCTTTTTATACGTATTCCCGTTTCCAACGAAATCCTCCAAGCTGGCCTAATACCCACTTGCATATTCCACAAAAAGAGTGTTTCAAAACTGCTCTCTCAAAAGAAAGGTTCAACTCTGTGTGCTGAGTAGATACATCATGAAAAAAGTTCTGACATTGCTTCTATCTAGTTTTTATTGGAAGATATCTCCTTTTTCACCGTAGACCTGAAAGCGCTCCAAATGTCCACTTCCAGATAGTACAAAAAGAGTGTTTCAAACCTGCTCTATGAATGGGAATGTTCAACACTGGGACTTCAATTGAAACATCCCAAAGCAGTTTCTGAGAATGCTTCTGTGTAGAGTTTACATGAAGACATTCCCGTTTCCAACGAAATCCTCAAAGCTATCCAAATATCCTCTTGCAGATTTTACAAAAAGTGTGTTTCAGAACTGCTCTATCAAAACAAAGGTTCAACACTGTCAGTTGAGGGCACACATCACAAATAAGTTTCTGAGAATGCTGCTGTCTGCTTTTTGTATGTAATCCCGTTTCCAACGAAATCCTCCCAGCTAGCCAAATATCCACTTGCAGATTCCGCAAAAAGAGTGTTTCAAAATTGCTCCTTCAAAACGATGGTTTAGTTCTGTTAGTTGAGTACATACATCACAGATAAGTTTCTGAGAATGCTTCTGTCTAGTTTTTATGGGAGGATATTTCCTTTTTCAACACAAGCCTGAATGCGCTCCGAATGGACACTTCCAGATATGACAAAAGGCGTGTTTCAAACCTGCTCTCTCAAAGGGAATGTTCAACTCTGTGACTTCAATGCAAACATCACAAAGAAGTTTCTGAGAATGCTGCTGTCTGCTTTTTACATGTATTCCCGTTTCCAACGAAATCCTCAAAGCTGCCCTAATATCCACTTGCATATTCCACAAAAAGAGTGTTGCAAAACTGCTCTCTCAAAAGAAAGGTTCAACTCTGTTAGCTGAGTAGATCCATCACATAAAAGTTTCTGACATTGCTTCTATCTAGATTTTCTTGGAAGATATTTCCATTTTCACCGTCGTCCTGAAAGCGCTCCAAATGTCCACTTCCAGGGAATGCAGAAAGAGTGTTTCCAACCTGCTCTATAAAAGGGAATGTTCAACACTGGGACTTCAATCGAAACATCCCAACGAAGTTTCTGAGAATGCTTCTGTCTAGAGTTTATATGAAGCCATTCCCGTTTGCAACGAAATCCTCAAAGCTATCCAAATATCCTCTTGCAGATTTTACAAAAAGAGTGTTTCAAAACTGCTCTATCAAAAGAAAGGTTCAACTCTGTTAGTTGAGGGCACACATCACAAATAAACTTCTGAGAATGCTTCTGTCTAGTTTTTACGGGAAGATATTTCCTTTTTCACCATACGCCTGAAAGCGCTCCAAATGTCCTCATCCAGATACTACAAAAAGAGTGTTTCCAACCTGCTCTATGAAAGGGAATGCTCAACTCTGTGAATTGAATGCAGACATCACAAAGAAGTTTCTCAGAATGCTGCTGTCTCCTTTTTATATGTAATCCCGTTTCCAACGAAATCCTCAAAGCTAGCCAAATATCCACTTGCAGATTCCACGAAAACAGTGTTTCAAAACTGCTCCTTCAAAACGATGGTTCAATCCTGTTAGTTGAGCAAACACATCACAAATAAGTTTCTGAGAATGCTTCCGTCTAGTTTTTATGGGAAGATATTTCCTTTTTCAACATAGGCCTGAAAGCGCTCCAAATGTCCACTTCCAGATACTACAAAAAGAGTGTTTCAAATCTGCTCTATGAATGGGAATGTTCTACTCTGTGACTTGAATGCAACATCCCAAAGAAGTTTCTGAGAATGCTTCTGTCTAGAGTTTATCTGAAGACATACCCGTTTCCAACGAAATCCTCCAAGCTATCCAAATATCCTCTTGCAGATTCTACAAAAAGTGTGTTTCAAAGCTGCTCTTTGCAAAGAAAGGTTCAACTCTGTCAGTAGAGGGCACACATCACGAACAAGTTTCTGAGAATGCTTCTGTCTAGTTTTTATGGGAAGATATTTCCTTTTTCACGTTACGCCTGAAAGCACGCCAAATGTTCACTTATAGACACTACAAAAAGAGTGTTTCAAACCTGCTCTGTGAAAGGGAATGTTCAACACTGTGACTTCAATTGAAACATCCCAAAGAAGTTTCTGAGAATGCTTCTGTCTAGAGTTTATCTGAAGACATTCCCGTTTCCCAAGAAATCCTCAAAGCTATCCAAATATCCTCTTGCAGATTCTACAAAAAGAGTGTTTCAAAACTGCTCTTTGCAAAGAAAGGTTCAACTCTGTCAGTAGAGGGCACACATCACAAACAAGTTTCTGAGAATGCTTCTGTCTAGTTTTTATGGGAAGATATTTCCTTTTTCACCTTAGGCCTGTAAGCAATCCAAATGTTCACTTACAGACACTACAAAAAGAGTGTTTCGAACCTGCTCTGTGAAAGGGAGTGTTCAATTCTGTGACTTGAATGCAAACATCACAAAGTAGTTTCTGACAATGCTGCTGTCTGCTTTTTATACGTATTCCCGTTTCCAACGAAATCCTCCAAGCCGGCCTAATACCCACTTGCATATTCCACAAAAAGAGTGTTTCAAAACTGCTCTCTCAAAAGAAAGGTTCAACTCTGTTTGCTGAGTAGATACATCATGAAAAAAGTTCTGACATTGCTTCTATCTAGTTTTTATTGGAAGATATCTCCTTTTTCACCGTAGACCTGAAAGCGCTCCAAATGTCCACTTCCAGATACTACAAAAAGAGTGTTTCAAACCTGCTCTATGAAAGGGAATGTTCAACACTGGGACTTCAATTGAAACATCCCAAAGCAGTTTCTGAGAATGCTTCTGTCTAGAGTTTACATGAAGACATTCCCGTTTCCAACGAAATCCTCAAAGCTATCCAAATATCCTCTTGCAGATTTTACAAAAAGTGTGTTTCAGAACTGCTCTATCAAAACAAAGGTTCAACACTGTCAGTTGAGGGCACACATCACAAATAAGTTTCTGAGAATGCTTCTGTCTAGTTTTCATGGGAAGATATTTCCTTTTTCACCATAGGCCTGAAAGCGATCCAAATGTCCACATCCAGATACTACAAAAAGAGTGTTTCAAACCTGCTCTATGAAAGGGAATGTTCAACTCTGCGACTTGAATGCAAACATCACAAAGAAGTTTCTGAGAATGCTGCTGTCTGCTTTTTTATGTAATCCCGTTTCCAACGAAATCCTCCAAGCTAGCCAAATATCCAGTTGCAGATTCCGCAAAAAGAGTGTTTCAAAACTGCTCCTTCAAAACGATGGTTTAGTTCTGTTAGTTGAGTACATACATCACAAATAGGTTTCTGAGAATGCTTCTGTCTAGTTTTTATGGGAGGATATTTCCTTTTTCAACACAAGCCTGTATGCGCTCCGAATGGACACTTCCAGATATGACAAAAGGCGTGTTTCAAACCTGCTCTCTCAAAGGGAATGTTCAACTCTGTGACTTCAATGTAAACATCACAAAGAAGTTTCTGAGAATGCTGCTGTCTGCTTTTTACATGTATTCCCGTTTCCAACGAAATCCTCAAAGCTGCCCTAATATCCACTTGCATATTCCACAAAAAGAGTGTTGCAAAACTGCTCTCTCAAAAGAAAGCTTCAACTCTGTTAGCTGAGTAGATCCATCACATAAAAGTTTCTGACATTGCTTCTATCTAGATTTTCTTGGAAGATATTTCCATTTTCACCGTCGTCCTGAAAGCGCTCCAAATGTCCACTTCCAGGGAATGCAGAAAGAGTGTTTCCAACCTGCTCTATAAAAGGGAATGTTCAACACTGGGACTTCAATCGAAACATCCCAACGAAGTTTCTGAGAATGCTTCTGTCTAGAGTTTATATGAAGCCATTCCCGTTTGCAACGAAATCCTCAAAGCTATCCAAATATCCTCTTGCAGATTTTACAAAAAGAGTGTTTCAAAACTGCTCTATCAAAAGAAAGGTTCAACTCTGTTAGTTGAGGGCACACATCACAAATAAACTTCTGAGAATGCTTCTGTCTAGTTTTTACGGGAAGATATTTCCTTTTTCACCATACGCCTGAAAGCGCTCCAAATGTCCTCATCCAGATACTACAAAAAGAGTGTTTCCAACCTGCTCTATGAAAGGGAATGCTCAACTCTGTGAATTGAATGCAGACATCACAAAGAAGTTTCTGAGAATGCTGCTGTCTCCTTTTTATATGTAATCCCGTTTCCAACGAAATCCTCAAAGCTAGCCAAATATCCACTTGCAGATTCCACGAAAACAGTGTTTCAAAACTGCTCCTTCAAAACGATGGTTCAATCCTGTTAGTTGAGCAAACACATCACAAATAAGTTTCTGAGAATGCTTCCGTCTAGTTTTTATGGGAAGATATTTCCTTTTTCAACATAGGCCTGAAAGCGCTCCAAATGTCCACTTCCAGATACTACAAAAAGAGTGTTTCAAATCTGCTCTATGAATGGGAATGTTCTACTCTGTGACTTGAATGCAACATCCCAAAGAAGTTTCTGAGAATGCTTCTGTCTAGAGTTTATCTGAAGACATACCCGTTTCCAACGAAATCCTCAAAGCTATCCACATATCCTCTTGCAGATTCTACAAAAAGAGTGTTTCAAAGCTGCTCTTTGCAAAGAAAGGTTCAACTCTGTCAGTAGAGGGCACACATCACAAACAAGTTTCTGAGAATGCTTCTGTCTAGTTTTTATGGGAAGATATTTCCTTTTTCACCTTAGGCCTGAAAGCACGCCAAATGTTCACTTATAGACACTACAAAAAGAGTGTTTCAAACCTGCTCTGTGAAAGGGAGTGTTCAATTCTGTGACTTGAATGCAAACATCACAAAGTAGTTTCTGACAATGCTGCTGTCTGCTTTTTATACGTATTCCCGTTTCCAACGAAATCCTCCAAGCTGGCCTAATACCCACTTGCATATTCCACAAAAAGAGTGTTTCAAAACTGCTCTCTCAAAAGAAAGGTTCAACTCTGTTTGCTGAGTAGATACATCATGAAAAAAGTTCTGACATTGCTTCTATCTAGTTTTTATTGGAAGATATCTCCTTTTTCACCGTAGACCTGAAAGCGCTCCAAATGTCCACTTCCAGATAGTACAAAAAGAGTGTTTCCAACCTGCTCTATGAATGGGAATGTTCAACACTGGGACTTCAATTGAAACATCCCAAAGCAGTTTCTGAGAATGCTTCTGTGTAGAGTTTACATGAAGACATTCCCGTTTCCAACGAAATCCTCAAAGCTATCCAAATATCCTCTTGCAGATTTTACAAAAAGTGTGTTTCAGAACTGCTCTATCAAAACAAAGGTTCAACACTGTCAGTTGAGGGCACACATCACAAATAAGTTTCTGAGAATGCTTCTGTCTAGTTTTCATGGGAAGATATTTCCTTTTTCACCATAGGCCTGAAAGCGATCCAAATGTCCACATCCAGATACTACAAAAAGAGTGTTTCAAACCTGCTCTATGAAAGGGAATGTTCAACTCTGTGACTTGAATGCAAACATCACAAAGAAGTTTCTGAGAATGCTGCTGTCTGCTTTTTGTATGTAATCCCGTTTCCAACGAAATCCTCCCAGCTAGCCAAATATCCACTTGCAGATTCCGCAAAAAGAGTGTTTCAAAACTGCTCCTTCAAAACGATGGTTTAGTTCTGTTAGTTGAGTACATACATCACAGATAAGTTTCTGAGAATGCTTCCGTCCTAGTTTTTATGGGAGGATATTTCCTTTTTCAACACAAGCCTGAATGCGCTCCGAATGGACACTTCCAGATATGACAAAAGGCGTGTTTCAAACCTGCTCTCTCAAAGGGAATGTTCAACTCTGTGACTTCAATGCAAACATCACAAAGAAGTTTCTGAGAATGCTGCTGTCTGCTTTTTACATGTATTCCCGTTTCCAACGAAATCCTCAAAGCTGCCCTAATATCCACTTGCATATTCCACAAAAAGAGTGTTGCAAAACTGCTCTCTCAAAAGAAAGGTTCAACTCTGTTAGCTGAGTAGATCCATCACATAAAAGTTTCTGACGTTGCTTCTATCTAGATTTTCTTGGAAGATATTTCCATTTTCACCGTCGTCCTGAAAGCGCTCCAAATGTCCACTTCCAGGAAATGCAGAAAGAGTGTTTCCAACCTGCTCTATAAAAGGGAATGTTCAACACTGGGACTTCAATCGAAACATCCCAACGAAGTTTCTGAGAATGCTTCTGTCTAGAGTTTATATGAAGCCATTCCCGTTTGCAATGAAATCCTCAAAGCTATCCAAATATCCTCTTGCAGATTTTACAAAAAGAGTGTTTCAAAACTGCTCTATCAAAAGAAAGGTTCAACTCTGTTAGTTGAGGGCACACATCACAAATAAATTTCTGAGAATGCTTCTGTCTAGTTTTTACGGGAAGATATTTCCTTTTTCACCATACGCCTGAAAGCGCTCCAAATGTCCTCATCCAGATACTACAAAAAGAGTGTTTCCAACGTGCTCTAGGAAAGGGAATGCTCAACTCTGTGAATTGAATGCAGACATCACAAAGAAGTTTCTGAGAATGCTGCTGTCTCCTTTTTATATGTAATCCCGTTTCCAACGAAATCCTCAAAGCTAGCCAAATATCCACTTGCAGATTCCACGAAAACAGTGTTTCAAAACTGCTCCTTCAAAACGATGGTTCAATTCTGTTAGTTGAGCAAACACATCACAAGTAAGTTTCTGAGAATGCTTCCCGTCTAGTTTTTATGGGAAGATATTTCCTTTTTCAACATAGGCCTGAAAGCGCTCCAAATGTCCACTTCCAGATACTACAAAAAGAGTGTTTCAAATCTGCTCTATGCATGGGAATGTTCTACTCTGTGACTTGAATGCAACATCCCAAAGAAGTTTCTGAGAATGTTTCTGTCTAGAGTTTATCTGAAGACATACCCGTTTCCAACGAAATCCTCAAAGCTATCCAAATATCCTCTTGCAGATTCTACAAAAAGAGTGTTTCAAAGCTGCTCTTTGCAAAGAAAGGTTCAACTCTGTCAGTAGAGGGCACACATCATGAACAAGTTTCTGAGAATGCTTCTGTCTAGTTTTTATGGGAAGATATTTCCTTTTTCACGTTAGGCCTGAAAGCACGCCAAATGTTCACTTATAGACACTACAAAAAGAGTGTTTCAAACCTGCTCTGTGAAAGGGAATGTTCAACACTGTGACTTCAATTGAAACATCCCAAAGAAGTTTCTGAGAATGCTTCTGTCTAGAGTTTATCTGAAGACATACCCGTTTCCAACGAAATCCTCAAAGCTATCCACATATCCTCTTGCAGATTCTACAAAAAGAGTGTTTCAAAGCTGCTCTTTGCAAAGAAAGGTTCAACTCTGTCAGTAGAGGGCACACATCACGAACAAGTTTCTGAGAATGCTTCTGTCTAGTTTTTATGGGAAGATATTTCCTTTTTCACGTTAGGCCTGAAAGCACGCCAAATGTTCAATTATAGACACTACAAAAAGAGTGTTTAAAACCTGCTCTGTGAAAGGGAATGTTCAACACTGTGACTTCAATTGAAACATCCCAAAGAAGTTTCTGAGAATGCTTCTGTCTAGAGTTTATCTGAAGACATTCCCGTTTCCCATGAAATCCTCAAAGCTATCCAAATATCCTCTTGCAGATTCTACAAAAAGAGTGTTTCAAAACTGCTCTTTGCAAAGAAAGGTTCAACTCTGTCAGTAGAGGGCACACATCACAAACAAGTTTCTGAGAATGCTTCTGTCTAGTTTTTATGGGAAGATATTTCCTTTTTCACCTTAGGCCTGAAAGCAATCCAAATGTTCACTTACAGACACTACAAAAAGAGTGTTTCAAACCTGCTCTGTGAAAGGGAGTGTTCAATTCTGTGACTTGAATGCAAACATCACAAAGTAGTTTCTGACAATGCTGCTGTCTGCTTTTTATACGTATTCCCGTTTCCAACGAAATCCTCCAAGCTGGCCTAATACCCACTTGCATATTCCACAAAAAGAGTGTTTCAAAACTGCTCTCTCAAAAGAAAGGTTCAACTCTGTTTGCTGAGTAGATACATCATGAAAAAAGTTCTGACATTGCTTCTATCTAGTTTTTATTGGAAGATATCTCCTTTTTCACCGTAGACCTGAAAGCGCTCCAAATGTCCACTTCCAGATAGTACAAAAAGAGTGTTTCAAACCTGCTCTATGAAAGGGAATGTTCAACACTGGGACTTCAATTGAAACATCCCAAAGCAGTTTCTGAGAATGCTTCTGTCTAGAGTTTACATGAAGACATTCCCGTTTCCAACGAAATCCTCAAAGCTATCCAAATATCCTCTTGCAGATTTTACAAAAAGTGTGTTTCAGAACTGCTCTATCAAAACAAAGGTTCAACACTGTCAGTTGAGGGCACACATCACAAATAAGTTTCTGAGAATGCTTCTGTCTAGTTTTCATGGGAAGATATTTCCTTTTTCACCATAGGCCTGAAAGCGATCCAAATGTCCACATCCAGATACTACAAAAAGAGTGTTTCAAACCTGCTCTATGAAAGGGAATGTTCAACTCTGCGACTTGAATGCAAACATCACAAAGAAGTTTCTGAGAATGCTGCTGTCTGCTTTTTGTATGTAATCCCGTTTCCAACGAAATCCTCCAAGCTAGCCAAATATCCAGTTGCAGATTCCGCAAAAAGAGTGTTTCAAAACTGCTCCTTCAAAACGATGGTTTAGTTCTGTTAGTTGAGTACATACATCACAAATAGGTTTCTGAGAATGCTTCTGTCTAGTTTTTATGGGAGGATATTTCCTTTTTCATCGCAAGCCTGTATGCGCTCCGAATGGACACTTCCAGATATGACAAAAGGCGTGTTTCAACCCTGCTCTCTCAAAGGGAATGTTCAACTCTGTGACTTCAATGCAAACATCACAAAGAAGATTCTGAGAATGCTGCTGTCTGCTTTTTACATGTATTCCCGTTTCCAACGAAATCCTCAAAGCTGCCCTAATATCCACTTGCATATTCCACAAAAAGAGTGTTGCAAAACTGCTCTCTCAAAAGAAAGCTTCAACTCTGTTAGCTGAGTAGATCCATCACATAAAAGTTTCTGACATTGCTTCTATCTAGATTTTCTTGGAAGATATTTCCATTTTCACCGTCGTCCTGAAAGCTCTCCAAATGTCCACTTCCAGGGAATGCAGAAAGAGTGTTTCCAACCTGCTCTATAAAAGGGAATGTTCAACACTGGGACTTCAATCGAAACATCCCAACGAAGTTTCTGAGAATGCTTCTGTCTAGAGTTTATATGAAGCCATTCCCGTTTGCAATGAAATCCTCAAAGCTATCCAAATATCCTCTTGCAGATTTTACAAAAAGAGTGTTTCAAAACTGCTCTATCAAAAGAAAGGTTCAACTCTGTTAGTTGAGGGCACACATCACAAATAAATTTCTGAGAATGCTTCTGTCTAGTTTTTACGGGAAGATATTTCCTTTTTCACCATACGCCTGAAAGCGCTCCAAATGTCCTCATGCAGATACTACAAAAAGAGTGTTTCCAACCTGCTCTATGAAAGGGAATGCTCAACTCTGTGACTTGAATGCAGACATCACAAAGAAGTTTCTGAGAATGCTGCTGTCTCCTTTTTATATGTAATCCCGTTTCCAACGAAATCCTCAAAGCTAGCCAAATATCCACTTGCAGATTCCACGAAAACAGTGTTTCAAAACTGCTCCTTCAAAACGATGGTTCAATTCTGTTAGTTGAGCAAACACATCACAAGTAAGTTTCTGAGAATGCTTCTGTCTAGTTTTTATGGGAAGATATTTCCTTTTTCAACATAGGCCTGAAAGCGCTCCAAATGTCCACTTCCAGATACTACAAAAAGAGTGTTTCAAATCTGCTCTATGAATGGGAATGTTCTACTCTGTGACTTGAATGCAACATCCCAAAGAAGTTTCTGAGAATGCTTCTGTCTAGAGTTTATCTGAAGACATACCCGTTTCCAACGAAATCCACAAAGCTATCCAAATATCCTCTTGCAGATTCTACAAAAAGTGTGTTTCAAAGCTGCTCTTTGCAAAGAAAGGTTCAACTCTGTCAGTAGAGGGCACACATCACGAACAAGTTTCTGAGAATGCTTCTGTCTAGTTTTTATGGGAAGATATTTCCTTTTTCACGTTAGGCCTGAAAGCACGCCAAATGTTCACTTATAGACACTACAAAAAGAGTGTTTCAAACCTGCTCTGTGAAAGGGAATGTTCAACACTGTGACTTCAATTGAAACATCCCAAAGAAGTTTCTGAGAATGCTTCTGTCTAGAGTTTATCTGAAGACATTCCCGTTTCCCAAGAAATCCTCAAAGCTATCCAAATATCCTCTTGCAGATTCTACAAAAAGAGTGTTTCAAAACTGCTCTTTGCAAAGAAAGGTTCAACTCTGTCAGTAGAGGGCACACATCACAAACAAGTTTGCTGAGAATGCTTTCTGTCTAGTTTTTATGGGAAGATATTTCCTTTTTCACCTTAGACCTGAAAGCAATCCATATGTTCACTTACAGACACTACAAAAAGAGTGTTTCAAACCTGCTCTGTGAAAGGGAGTGTTCAATTCTGTGACTTGAATGCAAACATCACAAAGTAGTTTCTGACAATGCTGCTGTCTGCTTTTTATACGTATTCCCGTTTCCAACGAAATCCTCCAAGCTGGCCTAATACCCACTTGCATATTCCACAAAAAGAGTGTTTCAAAACTGCTCTCTCAAAAGAAAGGTTCAACTCTGTTTGCTGAGTAGATACATCATGAAAAAAGTTCTGACATTGCTTCTATCTAGTTTTTATTGGAAGATATCTCCTTTTTCACCATAGACCTGAAAGCGCTCCAAATGTCCACTTCCAGATAGTACAAAAAGAGTGTTTCAAACCTGCTCTATGAATGGGAATGTTCAACACTGGGACTTCAATTGAAACATCCCAAAGCAGTTTCTGAGAATGCTTCTGTCTAGAGTTTACATGAAGACATTCCCGTTTCCAACGAAATCCTCAAAGCTATCCAAATATCCTCTTGCAGATTTTACAAAAAGTGTGTTTCAGAACTGCTCTATCAAAACAAAGGTTCAACACTGTCAGTTGAGGGCACACATCACAAATAAGTTTCTGAGAATGCTTCTGTCTAGTTTTCATGGGAAGATATTTCCTTTTTCACCATAGGCCTGAAAGCGATCCAAATGTCCACATCCAGATACTACAAAAAGAGTGTTTCCAACCTGCTCTATGAAAGGGAATGCTCAACTCTGTGAATTGAATGCAGACATCACAAAGAAGTTTCTGAGAATGCTGCTGTCTCCTTTTTATATGTAATCCCGTTTCCAACGAAATCCTCAAAGCTAGCCAAATATCCACTTGCAGATTCCACGAAAACAGTGTTTCAAAACTGCTCCTTCAAAACGATGGTTCAATCCTGTTAGTTGAGCAAACACATCACAAATAAGTTTCTGAGAATGCTTCCGTCTAGTTTTTATGGGAAGATATTTCCTTTTTCAACATAGGCCTGAAAGCGCTCCAAATGTCCACTTCCAGATACTACAAAAAGAGTGTTTCAAATCTGATTTATGAATGGGAATGTTCTACTCTGTGACTTGCATGCAACATCCCAAAGAAGTTTCTGAGAATGCTTCTGTCTAGAGTTTATCAGAAGACATACCCGTTTCCAACGAAATCCTCAAAGCTATCCAAATATCCTCTTGCAGATTCTACAAAAAGTGTGTTACAAAGCTGCTCTTTGCAAAGAAAGGTTCAACTCTGTCAGTAGAGGGCACACATCACGAACAAGTTTCTGAGAATGCTTCTGTCTAGTTTTTATGGGAAGATATTTCCTTTTTCACGTTAGGCCTGAAAGCACGCCAAATGTTCACTTATAGACACTACAAAAAGAGTGTTTGAAACCTGCTCTGTGAAAGGGAATGTTCAACACTGTGACTTCAATTGAAACATCCCAAAGAAGTTTCTGAGAATGCTTCTGTCTAGAGTTTATCTGAAGACATTCCCGTTTCCCAAGAAATCTTCAAAGCTATCCAAATATCCTCTTGCAGATTCTACAAAAAGAGTGTTTCAAAACTGCTCTTTGCAAAGAAAGGTTCAACTCTGTCAGTAGAGGGCACACATCACGAACAAGTTTCTGAGAATGCTTCTGTCTAGTTTTTATGGGAAGATATTTCCTTTTTCACCTTAGGCCTGAAAGCAATCCAAATGTTCACTTACAGACACTACAAAAAGAGTGTTTCAAACCTGCTCTGTGAAAGGGAGTTTTCAGTTCTGTGACTTGAATGCAAACATCACAAAGTAGTTTCTGACAATGCTGCTGTCTGCTTTTTATACGTATTCCCGTTTCCAACGAAATCCTCCAAGCTGGCCTAATACCCACTTTCATATTCCACAAAAAGAGTGTTTCAAAACTGCTCTCTCAAAAGAAAGGTTCAACTCTGTTTGCTGAGTAGATACATCATGAAAAAAGTTCTGACATTGCTTCTATCTAGTTTTTATTGGAAGATATCTCCTTTTTCACCGTAGACCTGAAAGCGCTCCAAATGTCCACTTCCAGATAGTACAAAAAGAGTGTTTCAAACCTGCTCTATGAATGGGAATGTTCAACACTGGGACTTCAATTGAAACATCCCAAAGCAGTTTCTGAGAATGCTTCTGTCTAGAGTTTACATGAAGACATTCCCGTTTCCAACGAAATCCTCAAAGCTATCCAAATATCCTCTTGCAGATTTTACAAAAAGTGTGTTTCAGAACTGCTCTATCAAAACAAAGGTTCAACACTGTCAGTTGAGTGCACACATCACAAATAAGTTTCTGAGAATGCTTCTGTCTAGTTTTCATGGGAAGATATTTCCTTTTTCACCATACGCCTGAAAGCGATCCAAATGTCCACATCCAGATACTACAAAAAGAGTGTTTCCAACCTGCTCTATGAAAGGGAATGCTCAACTCTGTGACTTGAATGCAAACATCACAAAGAAGTTTCTGAGAATGCTGCTGTCTGCTTTTTGTATGTAATCCCGTTTCCAACGAAATCCTCCCAGCTAGCCAAATATCCACTTGCAGATTCCGCAAAAAGAGTGTTTCAAAACTGCTCCTTCAAAACGATGGTTTAGTTCTGTTAGTTGAGTACATACATCACAGATAAGTTTCTGAGAATGCTTCTGTCTAGTTTTTATGGGAGGATATTTCCTTTTTCAACACAAGCCTGAATGCGCTCCGAATGGACACTTCCAGATATGACAAAAGGCGTGTTTCAAACCTGCTCTCTCAAAGGGAATGTTCAACTCTGTGACTTGAATGCAAACATCACAAAGAAGTTTCTGAGAATGCTGCTGTCTGCTTTTTACATGTATTCCCGTTTCCAACGAAATCCTCAAAGCTGCCCTAATATCCACTTGCATATTCCACAAAAAGAGTGTTGCAAAACTGCTCTCTCAAAAGAAAGGTTCAACTCTGTTAGCTGAGTAGATCCATCACAGAAAAGTTTCTGACATTGCTTCTATCCAGATTTTATTGGAAGATATTTCCATTTTCACCGTCGTCCTGAAAGCGCTCCAATTGTCCACTTCCAGGGAATGCAGAAAGAGTGTTTCCAACCTGCTCTATAAAAGGGAATGTTCAACACTGGGACTTCAATCGAAACATCCCGACGAAGTTTCTGAGAATGCTTCTGTCTAGAGTTTATATGAAGCCATTCCCGTTTGCAACAAAATCCTCAAAGCTATCCAAATATCCTCTTGCAGATTTTACAAAATGAGTGTTTCAAAACTGCTCTATCAAAAGAAAGTTTCAACTCTGTTAGTTGAGGGCACACATCACAAATAAACTTCTGAGAATGCTTCTGTCTAGTTTTTATGGGAAGATATTTCCTTTTTCACCTTAGGCCTCAATGCGCTCCAAATGTGCACTTCCAGATACTACAAAAACAGTGTTTCAAACCTGCTCTATGAAAGGGAATGTTCAACTCTGTGACTTGAATGCAAACATCACAGAGATGTTTCTGAGAATGCTGCTGTCTCCTTTTTATATGTAATCCCGTTTCCAACGAAATCCTCAAAGCTAGCCAAATATCCACTTGCAGATTCCACGAAAACAGTGTTTCAAAACTGCTCCTTCAAAACGATGGTTCAATCCTGTTAGTTGAGCAAACACATCACAAATAAGTTTCTGAGAATGCTTCCGTCTAGTTTTTATGGGAAGATATTTCCTTTTTCAACATAGGCCTGAAAGCGCTCCAAATGTCCACTTCCAGATACTACAAAAAGAGTGTTTCAAATCTGCTCTATGAATGGGAATGTTCTACTCTGTGACTTGAATGCAACATCCCAAAGAAGTTTCTGAGAATGCTTCTGTCTAGAGTTTATCTGAAGACATACCCGTTTCCAACGAAATCCTCCAAGCTATCCAAATATCCTCTTGCAGATTCTACAAAAAGAGTGTTTCAAAGCTGCTCTTTGCAAAGAAAGGTTCAACTCTGTCAGTAGAGGGCACACATCATGAACAAGTTTCTGAGAATGCTTCTGTCTAGTTTTTATGGGAAGATATTTCCTTTTTCACGTTAGGCCTGAAAGCACGCGAAATGTTCACTTATAGACACTACAAAAAGAGTGTTTCAAACCTGCTCTGTGAAAGGGAATGTTCAACACTGTGACTTCAATTGAAACATCCCAAAGAAGTTTCTGAGAATGCTTCTGTCTAGAGTTTATCTGAAGACATTCCCGTTTCCCAAGAAATCTTCAAAGCTATCCAAATATCCTCTTGCAGATTCTACAAAAAGAGTGTTTCAAAACTGCTCTTTGCAAAGAAAGGTTCAACTCTGTCAGTAGAGGGCACACATCACAAACAAGTTTCTGAGAATGCTTCTGTCTAGTTTTTATGGGAAGATATTTCCTTTTTCACCTTAGGCCTGAAAGCAATCCATATGTTCACTTACAGACACTACAAAAAGAGTGTTTCAAACCTGCTCTGTGAAAGGGAGTGTTCAATTCTGTGACTTGAATGCAAACATCACAAAGTAGTTTCTGACAATGCTGCTGTCTGCTTTTTATACGTATTCCCGTTTCCAACGAAATCCTCCAAGCTGGCCTAATACCCACTTGCATATTCCACAAAAGGAGTGTTTCAAAACTGCTCTCTCAAAAGAAAGGTTCAACTCTGTTTGCTGAGTAGATACATCATGAAAAAAGTTCTGACATTGCTTTCTATCTAGTTTTTATTGGAAGATATCTCCTTTTTCACCGTAGACCTGAAAGCGCTCCAAATGTCCACTTCCAGATAGTACAAAAAGAGTGTTTCAAACCTGCTCTATGAAAGGGAATGTTCAACACTGGGACTTCAATTGAAACATCCCAAAGCAGTTTCTGAGAATGCTTCTGTCTAGAGTTTACATGAAGACATTCCCGTTTCCAACGAAATCCTCAAAGCTATCCAAATATCCTCTTGCAGATTTTACAAAAAGTGTGTTTCAGAACTGCTCTATCAAAACAAAGGTTCAACACTGTCAGTTGAGGGCACACATCACAAATAAGTTTCTGAGAATGCTTCTGTCTAGTTTTCATGGGAAGATATTTCCTTTTTCACCATAGGCCTGAAAGCGATCCAAATGTCCACATCCAGATACTACAAAAAGAGTGTTTCAAACCTGCTCTATGAAAGGGAATGTTCAACTCTGTGACTTGAATGCAAACATCACAAAGAAGTTTCTGAGAATGCTGCTCTCTGCTTTTTGTATGTAATCCCGTTTCCAACGAAATCCTCCAAGCTAGCCAAGTATCCACTTGCAGATTCCGCAAAAAGAGTGTTTCAAAACTGCTCCTTCAAAACGATGGTTTAGTTCTGTTAGTTGAGTACATACATCACAGATAAGTTTCTGAGAATGCTTCTGTCTAGTTTTTATGGGAGGATATTTCCTTTTTCAACACAAGCCTGAATGCGCTCCGAATGGACACTTCCAGATATGACAAAAGGCGTGTTTCAAACCTGCTCTCTCAAAGGGAATGTTCAACTCTGTGACTTCAATGCAAACATCACAAAGAAGTTTCTGAGAATGCTGCTGTCTGCTTTTTACATGTATTCCCGTTTCCAACGAAATCCTCAAAGCTGCCCTAATATCCACTTGCATATTCCACAAAAAGAGTGTTGCAAAACTGCTCTCTCAAAAGAAAGGTTCAACTCTGTTAGCTGAGTAGATCCATCACATAAAAGTTTCTGACATTGCTTCTATCTAGATTTTCTTGGAAGATATTTCCATTTTCACCGTCGTCCTGAAAGCGCTCCAAATGTCCACTTCCAGGGAATGCAGAAAGAGTGTTTCCAACCTGCTCTATAAAAGGGAATGTTCAACACTGGGACTTCAATCGAAACATCCCAACGAAGTTTCTGAGAATGCTTCTGTCTAGAGTTTATATGAAGCCATTCCCGTTTGCAACGAAATCCTCAAAGCTATCCAAATATCCTCTTGCAGATTTTACAAAAAGAGTGTTTCAAAACTGCTCTATCAAAAGAAAGGTTCAACTCTGTTAGTTGAGGGCACACATCACAAATAAACTTCTGAGAATGCTTCTGTCTAGTTTTTACGGGAAGATATTTCCTTTTTCACCATACGCCTGAAGCGCTCCAAATGTCCTCATCCAGATACTACAAAAAGAGTGTTTCCAACCTGCTCTATGAAAGGGAATGCTCAACTCTGTGAATTGAATGCAGACATCACAAAGAAGTTTCTGAGAATGCTGCTGTCTCCTTTTTATATGTAATCCCGTTTCCAACGAAATCCTCAAAGCTAGCCAAATATCCACTTGCAGATTCCACGAAAACAGTGTTTCAAAACTGCTCCTTCAAAACGATGGTTCAATCCTGTTAGTTGAGCAAACACATCACAAATAAGTTTCTGAGAATGCTTCCGTCTAGTTTTTATGGGAAGATATTTCCTTTTTCAACATAGGCCTGAAAGCGCTCCAAATGTCCACTTCCAGATACTACAAAAAGAGTGTTTCAAATCTGCTCTATGAATGGGAATGTTCTACTCTGTGACTTGAATGCAACATCCCAAAGAAGTTTCTGAGAATGCTTCTGTCTAGAGTTTATCTGAAGACATACCCGTTTCCAACGAAATCCTCCAAGCTATCCAAATATCCTCTTGCAGATTCTACAAAAAGTGTGTTTCAAAGCTGCTCTTTGCAAAGAAAGGTTCAACTCTGTCAGTAGAGGGCACACATCACGAACAAGTTTCTGAGAATGCTTCTGTCTAGTTTTTATGGGAAGATATTTCCTTTTTCACGTTAGGCCTGAAAGCACGCCAAATGTTCACTTATAGACACTACAAAAAGAGTGTTTCAAACCTGCTCTGTGAAAGGGAATGTTCAACACTGTGACTTCAATTGAAACATCCCAAAGAACTTTCTGAGAATGCTTCTGTCTAGAGTTTATCTGAAGACATTCCCGTTTCCCAAGAAATCCTCAAAGCTATCCAAATATCCTCTTGCAGATTCTACAAAAAGAGTGTTTCAAAACTGCTCTTTGCAAAGAAAGGTTCAACTCTGTCAGTAGAGGGCACACATCACAAACAAGTTTCTGAGAATGCTTCTGTCTAGTTTTTATGGGAAGATATTTCCTTTTTCACCTTAGGCCTGAAAGCAATCCAAATGTTCACTTACAGACACTACAAAAAGAGTGTTTCAAACCTGCTCTGTGAAAGGGAGTGTTCAATTCTGTGACTTGAATGCAAACATCACAAAGTAGTTTCTGACAATGCTGCTGTCTGCTTTTTATACGTATTCCCGTTTCCAACGAAATCCTCCAAGCTGGCCTAATACCCACTTGCATATTCCACAAAAAGAGTGTTTCAAAACTGCTCTCTCAAAAGAAAGGTTCAACTCTGTTTGCTGAGTAGATACATCATGAAAAAAGTTCTGACATTGCTTCTATCTAGTTTTTATTGGAAGATATCTCCTTTTTCACCGTAGACCTGAAAGCGCTCCAAATGTCCACTTCCAGATAGTACAAAAAGAGTGTTTCAAACCTGCTCTATGAATGGGAATGTTCAACACTGGGACTTCAATTGAAACATCCCAAAGCTGTTTCTGAGAATGCTTCTGTCTAGAGTTTACATGAAGACACTCCCGTTTCCAACGAAATCCTCAGAGCTATCCAAATATCCTCTTGCAGATTTTACAAAAAGTGTGTTTCAGAACTGCTCTATCAAAACAAAGGTTCAACACTGTCAGTTGAGGGCACACATCACAAATAAGTTTCTGAGAATGCTTCTGTCTAGTTTTCATGGGAAGATATTTCCTTTTTCACCATAGGCCTGAAAGCGATCCAAATGTCCACATCCAGATACTACAAAAAGAGTGTTTCAAACCTGCTCTATGAAAGGGAATGTTCAACTCTGTGACTTGAATGCAAACATCACAAAGAAGTTTCTGAGAATGCTGCTGTCTGCTTTTTGTATGTAATCCCGTTTCCAACGAAATCCTCCCAGCTAGCCAAATATCCACTTGCAGATTCCGCAAAAAGAGTGTTTCAAAACTGCTCCTTCAAAACGATGGTTTAGTTCTGTTAGTTGAGTACATACATCACAGATAAGTTTCTGAGAATGCTTCTGTCTAGTTTTTATGGGAGGATATTTCCTTTTTCAACACAAGCCTGAATGCGCTCCGAATGGACACTTCCAGATATGACAAAAGGCGTGTTTCAAACCTGCTCTTTCAAAGGGAATGTTCAACTCTGTGACTTCAATGCAAACATCACAAAGAAGTTTCTGAGAATGCTGCTGTCTGCTTTTTACATGTATTCCCGTTTCCAACGAAATCCTCAAAGCTGCCCTAATATCCACTTGCATATTCCACAAAAAGAGTGTTGCAAAACTGCTCTCTCAAAAGAAAGGTTCAACTCTGTTAGCTGAGTAGATCCATCACAGAAAAGTTTCTGACGTTGCTTCTATCTAGATTTTATTGGAAGATATTTCCATTTTCACCGTCGTCCTGAAAGCGCTCCAAATGTCCACTTCCAGGGAATGCAGAAAGAGTGTTTCCAACCTGCTCTATAAAAGGGAATGTTCAACACTGGGTCTTCAATCGAAACATCCCAACGAAGTTTCTGAGAATGCTTCTGTCTAGAGTTTATATGAAGCCATTCCCGTTTGCAATGAAATCCTCAAAGCTATCCAAATATCCTCTTGCAGATTTTACAAAAAGAGTGTTTCAAAACTGCTCTATCAAAAGAAAGGTTCAACTCTGTTAGTTGAGGGCACACATCACAAATAAATTTCTGAGAATGCTTCTGTCTAGTTTTTACGGGAAGATATTTCCTTTTTCACCATACGCCTGAAAGCGCTCCAAATGTCCTCATCCAGATACTACAAAAAGAGTGTTTCCAACCTGCTCTATGAAAGGGAATGCTCAACTCTGTGACTTGAATGCAGACAGCACAAAGAAGTTTCTGAGAATGCTGCTGTCTCCTTTGTATATGTAATCCCGTTTCCAACGAAATCCTCAAAGCTAGCCAAATATCCACTTGCAGATTCCACGAAAACAGTGTTTCAAAACTGCTCCTTCAAAACGATGGTTCAATTCTGTTAGTTGAGCAAACACATCACAAGTAAGTTTCTGAGAATGCTTCCCGTCTAGTTTTTATGGGAAGATATTTCCTTTTTCAACATAGGCCTGAAAGCGCTCCAAATGTCCACTTCCAGATACTACAAAAAGAGTGTTTCAAATCTGCTCTATGCATGGGAATGTTCTACTCTGTGACTTGAATGCAACATCCCAAAGAAGTTTCTGAGAATGTTTCTGTCTAGAGTTTATCTGAAGACATACCCGTTTCCAACGAAATCCTCAAAGCTATCCAAATATCCTCTTGCAGATTCTACAAAAAGAGTGTTTCAAAGCTGCTCTTTGCAAAGAAAGGTTCAACTCTGTCAGTAGAGGGCACACATCACGAACAAGTTTCTGAGAATGCTTCTGTCTAGTTTTTATGGGAAGATATTTCCTTTTTCACCTTAGGCCTGAAAGCACGCCAAATGTTCACTTATAGACACTACAAAAAGAGTGTTTCAAACCTGCTCTGTGAAAGGGAATGTTCAACACTGTGACTTCAATTGAAACATCCCAAAGAAGTTTCTGAGAATGCTTCTGTCTAGAGTTTATCTGAAGACATTCCCGTTTCCCAAGAAATCCTCAAAGCTATCCAAATATCCTCTTGCAGATTCTACAAAAAGAGTGTTTCAAAACTGCTCTTTGCAAAGAAAGGTTCAACTCTGTCAGTAGAGGGCACACATCACAAACAAGTTTCTGAGAATGCTTCTGTCTAGTTTTTATGGGAAGATATTTCCTTTTTCACCTTACGCCTGAAAGCAATCCAAATGTTCACTTACAGACACTACAAAAAGAGTGTTTCAAACCTGCTCTGTGAAAGGGAGTGTTCAATTCTGTGACTTGAATGCAAACATCACAAAGTAGTTTCTGACAATGCTGCTGTCTGCTTTTTATACGTATTCCCGTTTCCAACGAAATCCTCCAAGCTGGCCTAATACCCACTTGCATATTCCACAAAAAGAGTGTTTCAAAACTGCTCTCTCAAAAGAAAGGTTCAACTCTGTTTGCTGAGTAGATACATCATGAAAAAAGTTCTGACATTGCTTCTATCTAGTTTTTATTGGAAGATATCTCCTTTTTCACCGTAGACCTGAAAGCGCTCCAAATGTCCACTTCCAGATAGTACAAAAAGAGTGTTTCAAACCTGCTCTATGAATGGGAATGTTCAACACTGGGACTTCAATTGAAACATCCCAAAGCAGTTTCTGAGAATGCTTCTGTCTAGAGTTTACATGAAGACATTCCCGTTTCCAACGAAATCCTCAAAGCTATCCAAATATCCTCTTGCAGATTTTACAAAAAGTGTGTTTCAGAACTGCTCTATCAAAACAAAGGTTCAACACTGTCAGTTGAGGGCACACATCACAAATAAGTTTCTGAGAATGCTGCTGTCTGCTTTTTGTATGTAATCCCGTTTCCAACGAAATCCTCCCAGCTAGCCAAATATCCACTTGCAGATTCCGCAAAAAGAGTGTTTCAAAACTGCCCTTCAAAACGATGGTTTAGTTCTGTTAGTTGAGTACATACATCACAGATAAGTTTCTGAGAATGCTTCTGTCTAGTTTTTATGGGAGGATATTTCCTTTTTCAACACAAGCCTGAATGCGCTCCGAATGGACACTTCCAGATATGACAAAAGGCGTGTTTCAAACCTGCTCTCTGAAAGGGAATGTTCAACTCTGTGACTTCAATGCAAACATCACAAAGAAGTTTCTGAGAATGCTGCTGTCTGCTTTTTACATGTATTCCCGTTTCCAACGAAATCCTCAAAGCTGCCCTAATATCCACTTGCATATTCCACAAAAAGAGTGTTGCAAAACTGCTCTCTCAAAAGAAAGGTTCAACTCTGTTAGCTGAGTAGATCCATCACAGAAAAGTTTCTGACGTTGCTTCTATCTAGATTTTATTGGAAGATATTTCCATTTTCACCGTCGTCCTGAAAGCGCTCCAAATGTCCACTTCCAGGGAATGCAAAAAGAGTGTTTCCAACCTGCTCTATAAAAGGGAATGTTCAACACTGGGACTTCAATCGAAACATCCCAACGAAGTTTCTGAGAATGCTTCTGTCTAGAGTTTATATGAAGCCATTCCCGTTTGCAACGAAATCCTCAAAGCTATCCAAATATCCTCTTGCAGATTTTACAAAAAGAGTGTTTCAAAACTGCTCTATCAAAAGAAAGGTTCAACTCTGTTAGTTGAGGGCACACATCACAAATAAATTTCTGAGAATGCTTCTGTCTAGTTTTTACGGGAAGATATTTCCTTTTTCACCATATGCCTGAAAGCGCTCCAAATGTCCTCATCCAGATACTACAAAAAGAGTGTTTCCAACCTGCTCTATGAAAGGGAATGCTCAACTCTGTGAATTGAATGCAGACATCACAAAGAAGTTTCTGAGAATGCTGCTGTCTCCTTTGTATATGTAATCCCGTTTCCAACGAAATCCTCAAAGCTAGCCAAATATCCACTTGCAGATTCCACGAAAACAGTGTTTCAAAACTGCTCCTTCAAAACGATGGTTCAATCCTGTTAGTTGAGCAAACACATCACAAATAAGTTTCTGAGAATGCTTCCGTCTAGTTTTTATGGGAAGATATTTCCTTTTTCAACATAGGCCTGAAAGCGCTCCAAATGTCCACTTCCAGATACTACAAAAAGAGTGTTTCAAATCTGCTCTATGAATGGGAATGTTCTACTCTGTGACTTGAATGCAACATCCCAAAGAAGTTTCTGAGAATGCTTCTGTCTAGGAGTTTATCTGAAGACATACCCGTTTCCAACGAAATCCTCCAAGCTATCCAAATATCCTCTTGCAGATTCTACAAAAAGAGTGTTTCAAAGCTGCTCTTTGCAAAGAAAGGTTCAACTCTGTCAGTAGAGGGGACACATCAAGAACAAGTTTCTGAGAATGCTTCTGTCTAGTTTTTATGGGAAGATATTTCCTTTTTCACGTTACGCCTGAAAGCACGCCAAATGTTCACTTATAGACACTACAAAAAGAGTGTTTCAAACCTGCTCTGTGAAAGGGAATGTTCAACACTGTGACTTCAATTGAAACATCCCAAAGAAGTTTCTGAGAATGCTTCTGTCTAGAGTTTATCTGAAGACATTCCCGTTTCCCAAGAAATCCTCAAAGCTATCCAAATATCCTCTTGCAGATTCTACAAAAAGAGTGTTTCAAAACTGCTCTTTGCAAAGAAAGGTTCAACTCTGTCAGTAGAGGGCACACATCACAAACAAGTTTCTGAGAATGCTTCTGTCTAGTTTTTATGGGAAGATATTTCCTTTTTCACCTTAGGCCTGAAAGCAATCCAAATGTTCACTTACAGACACTACAAAAAGAGTGTTTCAAACCTGCTCTGTGAAAGGGAGTGTTCAATTCTGTGACTTGAATGCAAACATCACAAAGTAGTTTCTGACAATGCTGCTGTCTGCTTTTTATACGTATTCCCGTTTCCAACGAAATCCTCCAAGCTGGCCTAATACCCACTTGCATATTCCACAAAAAGAGTGTTTCAAAACTGCTCTCTCAAAAGAAAGGTTCAACTCTGTTTGCTGAGTAGATACATCATGAAAAAAGTTCTGACATTGCTTCTATCTAGTTTTTATTGGAAGATATCTACTTTTTCACCGTAGACCTGAAAGCGCTCCAAATGTCCACTTCCAGATAGTACAAAAAGAGTGTTTCAAACCTGCTCTATGAATGGGAATGTTCAACACTGGGACTTCAATTGAAACATCCCAAAGCAGTTTCTGAGAATGCTTCTGTCCAGAGTTTACATGAAGACATTCCCGTTTCCAACGAAATCCTCAAAGCTATCCAAATATCCTCTTGCAGATTTTACAAAAAGTGTGTTTCAGAACTGCTCTATCAAAACAAAGGTTCAACACTGTCAGTTGAGGGCACACATCACAAATAAGTTTCTGAGAATGCTTCTGTCTAGTTTTCATGGGAAGATATTTCCTTTTTCACCATAGGCCTGAAAGCGATCCAAATGTCCACATCCAGATACTACAAAAAGAGTGTTTCAAACCTGCTCTATGAAAGGGAATGTTCAACTCTGTGACTTGAATGCAAACATCACAAAGAAGTTTCTGAGAATGCTGCTGTCTGCTTTTTGTATGTAATCCCGTTTCCAACGAAATCCTCCCAGCTAGCCAAATATCCACTTGCAGATTCCGCAAAAAGAGTGTTTCAAAACTGCTCCTTCAAAACGATGGTTTAGTTCGGTTAGTTGAGTACATACATCACAGATAAGTTTCTGAGAATGCTTCTGTCTAGTTTTTATGGGAGGATATTTCCTTTTTCAACACAAGCCTGAATGCGCTCCGAATGGACACTTCCAGATATGACAAAAGGCGTGTTTCAAACCTGCTCTCTCAAAGGGAATGTTCAACTCTGTGACTTCAATGCAAACATCACAAAGAAGTTTCTGAGAATGCTGCTGTCTGCTTTTTACATGTATTCCCGTTTCCAACGAAATCCTCAAAGCTGCCCTAATATCCACTTGCATATTCCACAAAAAGAGTGTTGCAAAACTGCTCTCTCAAAAGAAAGCTTCAACTCTGTTAGCTGAGTAGATCCATCACATAAAAGTTTCTGACATTGCTTCTATCTAGATTTTCTTGGAAGATATTTCCATTTTCACCGTCGTCCTGAAAGCGCTCCAAATGTCCACTTCCAGGGAATGCAGAAAGAGTGTTTCCAACCTGCTCTATAAAAGGGAATGTTCAACACTGGGACTTCAATCGAAACATCCCAACGAAGTTTCTGAGAATGCTTCTGTCTAGAGTTTATATGAAGCCATTCCCGTTTGCAACGAAATCCTCAAAGCTATCCAAATATCCTCTTGCAGATTTTACAAAAAGAGTGTTTCAAAACTGCTCTATCAAAAGAAAGGTTCAACTCTGTTAGTTGAGGGCACACATCACAAATAAACTTCTGAGAATGCTTCTGTCTAGTTTTTACAGGGAAGATATTTCCTTTTTCACCATACGCCTGAAAGCGCTCCAAATGTCCTCATCCAGATACTACAAAAAGAGTGTTTCCAACCTGCTCTATGAAAGGGAATGCTCAACTCTGTGAATTGAATGCAGACATCACAAAGAAGTTTCTGAGAATGCTGCTGTCTCCTTTTTATATGTAATCCCTTTTCCAACGAAATCCTCAAAGCTAGCCAAATATCCACTTGCAGATTCCACGAAAACAGTGTTTCAAAACTGCTCCTTCAAAACGATGGTTCAATCCTGTTAGTTGAGCAAACACATCACAAATAAGTTTCTGAGAATGCTTCCGTCTAGTTTTTATGGGAAGATATTTCCTTTTTCAACATAGGCCTGAAAGCGCTCCAAATGTCCACTTCCAGATACTACAAAAAGAGTGTTTCAAATCTGCTCTATGAATGGGAATGTTCTACTCTGTGACTTGAATGCAACATCCCAAAGAAGTTTCTGAGAATGCTTCTGTCTAGAGTTTATCTGAAGACATACCCGTTTCCAACGAAATCCTCCAAGCTATCCAAATATCCTCTTGCAGATTCTACAAAAAGTGTGTTTCAAAGCTGCTCTTTGCAAAGAAAGGTTCAACTCTGTCAGTAGAGGGCACACATCACGAACAAGTTTCTGAGAATGCTTCTGTCTAGTTTTTATGGGAAGATATTTCGTTTTTCACGTTAGGCCTGAAAGCACGCCAAATGTTCACTTATAGACACTACAAAAAGAGTGTTTCAAACCTGCTCTGTGAAGGGGAATGTTCAACACTGTGACTTCAATTGAAACATCCCAAAGAAGTTTCTGAGAATGCTTCTGTATAGAGTTTATCTGAAGACATTCCCGTTTCCCAAGAAATACTCAAAGCTATGCAAATATCCTCTTGCAGATTCTACAAAAAGAGGGTTTCAAAACTGCTCTTTGCAAAGAAAGGTTCAACTCCGTCAGTAGAGGGCACACATCACAAACAAGTTTCTGAGAATGCTTCTGTCTAGTTTTTATGGGAAGATATTTCCTTTTTCACCTTAGGCCTGAAAGCAATCCAAATGTTCACTTACAGACACTACAAAAAGAGTGTTTCAAACCTGCTCTGTGAAAGGGAGTGTTCAATTCTGTGACTTGAATGCAAACATCACAAAGTAGTTTCTGACAATGCTGCTGTCTGCTTTTTATACGTATTCCCGTTTCCAACGAAATCCTCCAAGCTGGCCTAATACCCACATGCATATTCCACAAAAAGAGTGTTTCAAAAGTGCTCTCTCAAAAGAAAGGTTCAACTCTGTTTGTTGAGTAGATACATCATGAAAAAAGTTCTGACATTGCTTCTATCTAGTTTTTATTGGAAGATATCTCCTTTTTCACCGTTGACCTGAAAGCGCTCCAAATGTCCACTTCCAGATACTACAAAAAGAGTGTTTCAAACCGGCTCTATGAAAGGGAATGTTCAACACTGGGACTTCAATTGAAACATCCCAAAGCAGTTTCTGAGAATGCTTCTGTCTAGAGTTTACATGAAGACATTCCCGTTTCCAACGAAATCCTCAAAGCTATCCAAATATCCTCTTGCAGATTTTACAAAAAGTGTGTTTCAGAACTGCTCTATCAAAACAAAGGTTCAACACTGTCAGTTGAGGGCACACATCACAAATAAGTTTCTGAGAATGCTGCTCTCTGCTTTTTGTATGTAATCCCGTGTCCAACGAAATCCTCCCAGCTAGCCAAATATCCACTTGCAGATTCCGCAAAAAGAGTGTTTCAAAACTGCTCCTTCAAGACGATGGTTTAGTTCTGTTAGTTGAGTACATACATCACAGATAAGTTTCTGAGAATGCTTCTGTCTAGTTTTTATGGGAGGATATTTCCTTTTTCAACACAAGCCTGAATGCACTCCGAATGGACACTTCCAGATATGACAAAAGGCGTGTTTCAAACCTGCTCTCTCAAAGGGAATGTTCAACTCTGTGACTTCAATGCAAACATCACAAAGAAGTTTCTGAGAATGCTGCTGTCTGCTTTTTACATGTATTCCCGTTTCCAACGAAATCCTCAAAGCTGCCCTAATATCCACTTGCATATTCCACAAAAAGAGTGTTGCAAAACTGCTCTCTCAAAAGAAAGGTTCAACTCTGTTAGCTGAGTAGATCCATCACATAAAAGTTTCTGACGTTGCTTCTATCTAGATTTTATTGGAAGATATTTCCATTTTCACCGTCGTCCTGAAAGCGCTCCAAATGTCCACTTCCAGGGAATGCAGAAAGAGTGTTTCCAACCTGCTCTATAAAAGGGAATGTTCAACACTGGGACTTCAATCGAAACATCCCAACGAAGTTTCTGAGAATGCTTCTGTCTAGAGTTTATATGAAGCCATTCCCGTTTGCAACGAAATCCTCAAAGCTATCCAAATATCCTCTTGCAGATTTTACAAAAAGAGTGTTTCAAAACTGCTCTATCAAAAGAAAGGTTCAACTCTGTTAGTTGAGGGCACACATCACAAATAAATTTCTGAGAATGCTTCTGTCTAGTTTTTACGGGAAGATATTTCCTTTTTCACCATACGCCTGAAAGCGCTCCAAATGTCCTCATCCAGATACTACAAAAAGAGTGTTTCCAACCTGCTCTATGAAAGGGAATGCTCAACTCTGTGACTTGAATGCAGACATCACAAAGAAGTTTCTGAGAATGCTGCTGTCTCCTTTTTATATGTAATCCCGTTTCCAACGAAATCCTCAAAGCTAGCCAAATATCCACTTGCAGATTCCACGAAAACAGTGTTTCAAAACTGCTCCTTCAAAACGATGGTTCAATTCTGTTAGTTGAGCAAACACATCACAAGTAAGTTTCTGAGAATGCTTCCGTCTAGTTTTTATGGGAAGATATTTCCTTTTTCAACATAGGCCTGAAACCGCTCCAAATGTCCACTTCCAGATACTACAAAAAGAGTGTTTCAAATCTGCTCTATGAATGGGAATGTTCTACTCTGTGACTTGAATGCAACATCCCAAAGAAGTTTCTGAGAATGCTTCCTGTCTAGAGTTTATCTGAAGACATACCCGTTTCCAACGAAATCCTCAAAGCTATCCAAATATCCTCTTGCAGATTCTACAAAAAGAGTGTTTCAAAGCTGCTCTTTGCAAAGAAAGGTTCAACTCTGTCAGTAGAGGGCACACATCACGAACAAGTTTCTGAGAATGCTTCTGTCTAGTTTTTATGGGAAGATATTTCCTTTTTCACCTTAGGCCTGAAAGCACGCCAAATGTTCACTTATAGACACTACAAAAAGAGTGTTTCAAACCTGCTCTGTGAAAGGGAGTGTTCAATTCTGTGACTTGAATGCAAACATCACAAAGTAGTTTCTGACAATGCTGCTGTCTGCTTTTTATACGTATTCCCGTTTCCAACGAAATCCTCCAAGCTGGCCTAATACCCACTTGCATATTCCACAAAAAGAGTGTTTCAAAACTGCTCTCTCAAAAGAAAGGTTCAACTCTGTTAGCTGAGTAGATACATCATGAAAAAAGTTCTGACATTGCTTCTATCTAGTTTTTATTGGAAGATATCTCCTTTTTCACCGTAGACCTGAAAGCGCTCCAAATGTCCACTTCCAGATAGTACAAAAAGAGTGTTTCAAACCTGCTCTATGAATGGGAATGTTCAACACTGGGACTTCAATTGAAACATCCCAAAGCAGTTTCTGAGAATGCTTCTGTCTAGAGTTTACATGAAGACATTCCCGTTTCCAACGAAATCCTCAAAGCTATCCAAATATCCTCTTGCAGATTTTACAAAAAGTGTGTTTCAGAACTGCTCTATCAAAACAAAGGTTCAACACTTGTCAGTTGAGGGCACACATCACAAATAAGTTTCTGAGAATGCTGCTGTCTGCTTTTTGTATGTAATCCCGTTTCCAACGAAATCCTCCCAGCTAGCCAAATATCCACTTGCAGATTCCGCAAAAAGAGTGTTTCAAAACTGCTCCTTCAAAAGGATGGTTTAGTTCTGTTAGTTGAGTACATACATCACAGATAAGTTTCTGAGAATGCTTCTGTCTAGTTTTTATGGGAGGATATTTCCTTTTTCAACACAAGCCTGAATGCGCTCCGAATGGACACTTCCAGATATGACAAAAGGCGTGTTTCAAACCTGCTCTCTCAAAGGGAATGTTCAACTCTGTGACTTCAATGCAAACATCACAAAGAAGTTTCTGAGAATGCTGCTGTCTGCTTTTTACATGTATTCCCGTTTCCAACGAAATCCTCAAAGCTGCCCTAATATCCACTTGCATATTCCACAAAAAGAGTGTTGCAAAACTGCTCTCTCAAAAGAAAGGTTCAACTCTGTTAGCTGAGTAGATCCATCACAGAAAAGTTTCTGACGTTGCTTCTATCTAGATTTTCTTGGAAGATATTTCCATTTTCACCGTCGTCCTGAAAGCGCTCCAAATGTCCACTTCCAGGGAATGCAGAAAGAGTGTTTCCAACCTGCTCTATAAAAGGGAATGTTCAACACTGGGACTTCAATCGAAACATCCCAACGAAGTTTCTGAGAATGCTTCTGTCTAGAGTTTATATGAAGCCATTCCCGTTTGCAACGAAATCCTCAAAGCTATCCAAATATCCTCTTGCAGATTTTACAAAAAGAGTGTTTCAAAACTGCTCTATCAAAAGAAAGGTTCAACTCGGTTAGTTGAGGGCACACATCACAAATAAATTTCTGAGAATGCTTCTGTCTAGTTTTTACGGGAAGATATTTCCTTTTTCACCATACGCCTGAAAGCGCTCCAAATGTCCTCATCCAGATACTACAAAAAGAGTGTTTCCAACCTGCTCTATGAAAGGGAATGCTCAACTCTGTGACTTGAATGCAGACATCACAAAGAAGTTTCTGAGAATGCTGCTGTCTCCTTTTTATATGTAATCCCGTTTCCAACGAAATCCTCAAAGCTAGCCAAATATCCACTTGCAGATTCCACGAAAACAGTGTTTCAAAACTGCTCCTTCAAAACGATGGTTCAATTCTGTTAGTTGAGCAAACACATCACAAGTAAGTTTCTGAGAATGCTTCCGTCTAGTTTTTATGGGAAGATATTTCCTTTTTCAACATAGGCCTGAAAGCGCTCCAAATGTCCACTTCCAGATACTACAAAAAGAGTGTTTCAAATCTGCTCTATGAATGGGAATGTTCTACTCTGTGACTTGAATGCAACATCCCAAAGAAGTTTCTGAGAATGCTTCTGTCTAGAGTTTATCTGAAGACATACCCGTTTCCAACGAAATCCTCAAAGCTATCCAAATATCCTGTTGCAGATTCTACAAAAAGAGTGTTTCAAAGCTGCTCTTTGCAAAGAAAGGTTCAACTCTATCAGTAGAGGGCACACATCACGAACAAGTTTCTGAGAATGCTTCTGTCTAGTTTTTATGGGAAGATATTTCCTTTTTCACGTTAGGCCTGAAAGCACGCCAAATGTTCACTTATAGACACTACAAAAAGAGTGTTTCAAACCTGCTCTGTGAAAGGGAATGTTCAACACTGTGACTTCAATTGAAATATCCCAAAGAAGTTTCTGAGAATGCTTCTGTCTAGAGTTTATCTGAAGACATTCCCGTTTCCCAAGAAATCCTCAAAGCTATCCAAATATCCTCTTGCAGATTCTACAAAAAGAGTGTTTCAAAACTGGTCTTTGCAAAGAAAGGTTCAACTCTGTCAGTAGAGGGCACACATCACAAACAAGTTTCTGAGAATGCTTCTGTCTAGTTTTTATGGGAAGATATTTCCTTTTTCACCTTAGGCCTGAAAGCAATCCATATGTTCACTTACAGACACTACAAAAAGAGTGTTTCAAACCTGCTCTGTGAAAGGGAGTGTTCAATTCTGTGACTTGAATGCAAACATCACAAAGTAGTTTCTGACAATGCTGCTGTCTGCTTTTTATACGTATTCCCGTTTCCAACGAAATCCTCCAAGCTGGCCTAATACCCACTTGCCTATTCCACACAAAGAGTGTTTCAAAACTGCTCTCTCAAAAGAAAGGTTCAACTCTGTTAGCTGAGTAGATACATCATGAAAAAAGTTCTGACATTGCTTCTATCTAGTTTTTATTGGAAGATATCTCCTTTTTCACCGTAGACCTGAAAGCGCTCCAAATGTCCACTTCCAGATAGTACAAAAAGAGTGTTTCAAACCTGCTCTATGAATGGGAATGTTCAACACTGGGACTTCAATTGAAACATCCCAAAGCAGTTTCTGAGAATGCTTCTGTCTAGAGTTTACATGAAGACATTCCCGTTTCCAACGAAATCCTCAAAGCTATCCAAATATCCTCTTGCAGATTTTACAAAAAGTGTGTTTCAGAACTGCTCTATCAAAACAAAGGTTCAATACTGTCAGTTGAGGGCACACATCACAAATAAGTTTCTGAGAATGCTTCTGTCTAGTTTTCATGGGAAGATATTTCCTTTTTCACCATAGGCCTGAAAGCGATCCAAATGTCCACATCCAGATACTACAAAAAGAGTGTTTCAAACCTGCTCTATGAAAGGGAATGTTCAACTCTGTGACTTGAATGCAAACATCACAAAGAAGTTTCTGAGAATGCTGCTGTCTGCTTTTTGTATGTAATCCCGTTTCCAACGAAATCCTCCCAGCTAGCCAAATATCCACTTGCAGATTCCGCAAAAAGAGTGTTTCAAAACTGCTCCTTCAAAACGATGGTTTAGTTCTGTTAGTTGAGTACATACATCACAGATAAGTTTCTGAGAATGCTTCTGTCTAGTTTTTATGGGAGGATATTTTCCTTTTTCAACACAAGCCTGAATGCGCTCCGAATGGACACTTCCAGATATGACAAAAGGCGTGTTTCAAACCTGCTCTCTCAAAGGGAATGTTCAACTCTGTGACTTCAATGCAAACATCACAAAGAAGTTTCTGAGAATGCTGCTGTCTGCTTTTTACATGTATTCCCGTTTCCAACGAAATCCTCAAAGCTGCCCTAATATCCACTTGCATATTCCACAAAAAGAGTGTTGCAAAACTGCTCTCTCAAAAGAAAGGTTCAACTCTGTTAGCTGAGTAGATCCATCACATAAAAGTTTCTGACATTGCTTCTATCTAGATTTTCTTGGAAGATATTTCCATTTTCACCGTCGTCCTGAAAGCGCTCCAAATGTCCACTTCCAGGGAATGCAGAAAGAGTGTTTCCAACCTGCTCTATAAAAGGGAATGTTCAACACTGGGACTTCAATCGAAACATCCCAACGAAGTTTCTGAGAATGCTTCTGTCTAGAGTTTATATGAAGCCATTCCCGTTTGCAACGAAATCCTCAAAGCTATCCAAATATCCTCTTGCAGATTTTACAAAAAGAGTGTTTCAAAACTGCTCTATCAAAAGAAAGGTTCAACTCTGTTAGTTGAGGGCACACATCACAAATAAATTTCTGAGAATGCTTCTGTCTAGTTTTTACGGGAAGATATTTCCTTTTTCACCATACGCCTGAAAGCGCTCCAAATGTCCTCATCCAGATACTACAAAAAGAGTGTTTCCAACCTGCTCTATGAAAGGGAATGCTCAACTCTGTGAATTGAATGCAGACATCACAAAGAAGTTTCTGAGAATGCTGCTGTCTCCTTTTTATATGTAATCCCGTTTCCAACGAAATCCTCAAAGCTAGCCAAATATCCACTTGCAGATTCCACGAAAACAGTGTTTCAAAACTGCTCCTTCAAAACGATGGTTCAATCCTGTTAGTTGAGCAAACACATCACAAATAAGTTTCTGAGAATGCTTCCGTCTAGTTTTTATGGGAAGATATTTCCTTTTTCAACATAGGCCTGAAAGCGCTCCAAATGTCCACTTCCAGATACTACAAAAAGAGTGTTTCAAATCTGCTCTATGAATGGGAATGTTCTACTCTGTGACTTGAATGCAACATCCCAAAGAAGTTTCTGAGAATGCTTCTGTCTACAGTTTATCTGAAGACATACCCGTTTCCAACGAAATCCTCAAAGCTATCCAAATATCCTCTTGCAGATTCTACAAAAAGAGTGTTTCAAAGCTGCTCTTTGCAAAGAAAGGTTCAACTCTGTCAGTAGAGGGCACACATCATGAACAAGTTTCTGAGAATGCTTCTGTCTAGTTTTTATGGGAAGATATTTCCTTTTTCACGTTAGGCCTGAAAGCACGCCAAATGTTCACTTATAGACACTACAAAAAGAGTGTTTCAAACCTGCTCTGTGAAAGGGAATGTTCAACACTGTGACTTCAATTGAAACATCCCAAAGAAGTTTCTGAGAATGCTTCTGTCTAGAGTTTATCTGAAGACATTCCCGTTTCCCAAGAAATCCTCAAAGCTATCCAAATATCCTCTTGCAGATTCTACAAAAAGAGTGTTTCAAAACTGCTCTTTGCAAAGAAAGGTTCAACTCTGTCAGTAGAGGGCACACATCACAAACAAGTTTCTGAGAATGCTTCTGTCTAGTTTTTATGGGAAGATATTTCCTTTTTCACCTTAGGCCTGAAAGCAATCCAAATGTTCACTTACAGACACTACAAAAAGAGTGTTTCAAACCTGCTCTGTGAAAGGGAGTGTTCAACACTGTGACTTCAATTGAAACATCCCAAAGAAGTTTCTGAGAATGCTGCTGTCTGCTTTTTATACGTATTCCCGTTTCCAACGAAATCCTCCAAGCTGGCCTAATACCCACTTGCATATTCCACAAAAAGAGTGTTTCAAAACTGCTCTCTCAAAAGAAAGGTTCAACTCTGTTTGCTGAGTAGATACATCATGAAAAAAGTTCTGACATTGCTTCTATCTAGTTTTTATTGGAAGATATCTCCTTTTTCACCGTAGACCTGAAAGCGCTCCAAATGTCCACTTCCAGATAGTACAAAAAGAGTGTTTCAAACCTGCTCTATGAAAGGGAATGTTCAACACTGGGACTTCAATTGAAACATCCCAAAGCAGTTTCTGAGAATGCTTCTGTCTAGAGTTTACATGAAGACATTCCCGTTTCCAACGAAATCCTCAAAGCTATCCAAATATCCTCTTGCAGATTTTACAAAAAGTGTGTTTCAGAACTGCTCTATCAAAACAAAGGTTCAACACTGTCAGTTGAGGGCACACATCACAAATAAGTTTCTGAGAATGCTTCTGTCTAGTTTTCATGGGAAGATATTTCCTTTTTCACCATAGGCCTGAAAGCAATCCAAATGTCCACATCCAGATACTACAAAAAGAGTGTTTCAAACCTGCTCTATGAAAGGGAATGTTCAACTCTGTGACTTGAATGCAAACATCACAAAGAAGTTTCTGAGAATGCTGCTGTCTCCTTTTTATATGTAATCCCGTTTCCAACGAAATCCTCAAAGCTAGCCAAATATCCAATTGCAGATTCCACGAAAACAGTGTTTCAAAACTGCTCCTTCAAAACGATGTTTCAATTCTGTTAGTTGAGCAAACACATCACAAGTAAGTTTCTGAGAATGCTTCCGTCTAGTTTTTATGGGAAGATATTTCCTTTTTCAACATAGGCCTGAAAGCGCTCCAAATGTCCACTTCCAGATACTACAAAAAGAGTGTTTCAAATCTGCTCTATGAATGGGAATGTTCTACTCTGTGACTTGAATGCAACATCCCAAAGAAGTTTCTGAGAATGCTTCTGTCTAGAGTTTATCTGAAGACATACCCGTTTCCAACGAAATCCTCAAAGCTATCCAAATATCCTCTGGCAGATTCTACAAAAAGAGTGTTTCAAAGCTGCTCTTTGCAAAGAAAGGTTCAACTCTGTCAGTAGAGGGCACACATCACGAACAAGTTTCTGAGAATGCTTCTGTCTAGTTTTTATGGGAAGATATTTCCTTTTTCACGTTAGGCCTGAAAGCACGCCAAATGTTCACTTATAGACACTACAAAAAGAGTGTTTCAAACCTGCTCTGTGAAAGGGAATGTTCAACACTGTGACTTCAATTGAAACATCCCAAAGAAGTTTCTGAGAATGCTTCTGTCTAGAGTTTATCTGAAGACATTCCCGTTTCCCAAGAAATCCTCAAAGCTATCCAAATATCCTCTTGCAGATTCTACAAAAAGAGTGTTTCAAAACTGCTCTTTGCAAAGAAAGGTTCAACTCTGTCAGTAGAGGGCACACATCACAAACAAGTTTCTGAGAATGCTTCTGTCTAGTTTTTATGGGAAGATATTTCCTTTTTCACCTTAGGCCTGAAAGCAATCCAAATGTTCACTTACAGACACTACAAAAAGAGTGTTTCAAACCTGCTCTGTGAAAGGGAGTGTTCAATTCTGTGACTTGAATGCAAACATCACAAAGTAGTTTCTGACAATGCTGCTGTCTGCTTTTTATACGTATTCCCGTTTCCAACGAAATCCTCCAAGCTGGCCTTATACCCACTTGCATATTCCACAAAAAGAGTGTTTCAAAACTGCTCTCTCAAAAGAAAGGTTCAACTCTGTTTGCTGAGTAGATACATCATGAAAAAAGTTCTGACATTGCTTCTATCTAGTTTTTATTGGAAGATATCTCCTTTTTCACCGTAGACCTGAAAGCGCTCCAAATGTCCACTTCCAGATAGTACAAAAAGAGTGTTTCAAACCTGCTCTATGAAAGGGAATGTTCAACACTGGGACTTCAATTGAAACATCCCAAAGCAGTTTCTGAGAATGCTTCTGTCTAGAGTTTACATGAAGACATTCCCGTTTCCAACGAAATCCTCAAAGCTATCCAAATATCCTATTGCAGATTTTACAAAAAGTGTGTTTCAGAACTGCTCTATCAAAACAAAGGTTCAACACTGTCAGTTGAGGGCACACATCACAAATAAGTTTCTGAGAATGCTTCTGTCTAGTTTTCATGGGAAGATATTTCCTTTTTCACCATAGGCCTGAAAGCGATCCAAATGTCCACATCCAGATACTACAAAAAGAGTGTTTCAAACCTGCTCTATGAAAGGGAATGTTCAACTCTGTGACTTGAATGCAAACATCACAAAGAAGTTTCTGAGAATGCTGCTGTCTGCTTTTTGTATGTAATCCCGTTTCCAACGAAATCCTCCCAGCTAGCCAAATATCCACTTGCAGATTCCGCAAAAAGAGTGTTTCAAAACTGCTCCTTCAAAACGATGGTTTAGTTCTGTTAGTTGAGTACATACATCACAGATAAGTTTCTGAGAATGCTTCTGTCTAGTTTTTATGGGAGGATATTTCCTTTTTCAACACAAGCCTGAATGCGCTCCGAATGGACACTTCCAGATATGACAAAAGGCGTGTTTCAAACCTGCTCTCTCAAAGGGAATGTTCAACTGCTGTGACTTCAATGCAAACATCACAAAGAAGTTTCTGAGAATGCTGCTGTCTGCTTTTTACATGTATTCCCGTTTCCAACGAAATCCTCAAAGCTGCCCTAATATCCACTTGCATATTCCACAAAAAGAGTGTTGCAAAACTGCTCTCTCAAAAGAAAGGTTCAACTCTGTTAGCTGAGTAGATCCATCACATAAAAGTTTCTGACGTTGCTTCTATCTAGATTTTATTGGAAGATATTTCCATTTTCACCGTCGTCCTGAAAGCGCTCCAAATGTCCACTTCCAGGGAATGCAGAAAGAGTGTTTCCAACCTGCTCTATAAAAGGGAATGTTCAACACTGGGACTTCAATCGAAACATCCCAACGAAGTTTCTGAGAATGCTTCTGTCTAGAGTTTATATGAAGCCATTCCCGTTTGCAATGAAATCCTCAAAGCTATCCAAATATCCTCTTGCAGATTTTACAAAAAGAGTGTTTCAAAACTGCTCTATCAAAAGAAAGGTTCAACTCTGTTAGTTGAGGGCACACATCACAAATAAATTTCTGAGAATGCTTCTGTCTAGTTTTTACGGGAAGATATTTCCTTTTTCACCATAGGCCTGAAAGCGCTCCAAATGTCCTCATCCAGATACTACAAAAAGAGTGCTTCCAACCTGCTCTATGAAAGGGAATGCTCAACTCTGTGACTTGAATGCAGACATCACAAAGAAGTTTCTGAGAATGCTGCTGTCTCCTTTTTATATGTAATCCCGTTTCCAACGAAATCCTCAAAGCTAGCCAAATATCCACTTGCAGATTCCACGAAAACAGTGTTTCAAAACTGCTTCTTCAAAACGATGGTTCAATTCTGTTAGTTGAGCAAACACATCACAAGTAAGTTTCTGAGAATGCTTCCGTCTAGTTTTTATGGGAAGATATTTCCTTTTTCAACATAGGCCTGAAAGCGCTCCAAATGTCCACTTCCAGATACTACAAAAAGAGTGTTTCAAATCTGCTCTATGAATGGGAATGTTCTACTCTGTGACTTGAATGCAACATCCCAAAGAAGTTTGCTGAGAATGCTTCTGTCTAGAGTTTATCTGAAGACATACCCGTTTCCAACGAAATCCTCAAAGCTATCCAAATATCCTCTTGCAGATTCTACAAAAAGTGTGTTTCAAAGCTGCTCTTTGCAAAGAAAGGTTCAACTCTGTCAGTAGAGGGGACACATCAAGAACAAGTTTCTGAGAATGCTTCTGTCTAGTTTTTATGGGAAGATATTTCCTTTTTCACGTTAGGCCTGAAAGCACGCCAAATGTTCACTTATAGACACTACAAAAAGAGTGTTTCAAACCTGCTCTGTGAAAGGGAATGTTCAACACTGTGACTTCAATTGAAACATCCCAAAGAAGTTTCTGAGAATGCTTCTGTCTAGAGTTTATCTGAAGACATTCCCGTTTCCCAAGAAATCTTCAAAGCTATCCAAATATCCTCTTGCAGATTCTACAAAAAGAGTGTTTCAAAACTGGTCTTTGCAAAGAAAGGTTCAACTCTGTCAGTAGAGGGCACACATCACAAACAAGTTTCTGAGAATGCTTCTGTCTAGTTTTTATGGGAAGATATTTCCTTTTTCACCTTAGGCCTGAAAGCAATCCATATGTTCACTTACAGACACTACAAAAAGAGTGTTTCAAACCTGCTCTGTGAAAGGGAGTGTTCAATTCTGTGACTTGAATGCAAACATCACAAAGTAGTTTCTGACAATGCTGCTGTCTGCTTTTTATACGTATTCCCGTTTCCAACGAAATCCTCCAAGCTGGCCTAATACCCACTTGCATATTCCACAAAAAGAGTGTTTCAAAACTGCTCTCTCAAAAGAAAGGTTCAACTCTGTTAGCTGAGTAGATACATCATGAAAAAAGTTCTGACATTGCTTCTATCTAGTTTTTATTGGAAGATATCTCCTTTTTCACCGTAGACCTGAAAGCGCTCCAAATGTCCACTTCCAGATATTACAAAAAGAGTGTTTCAAACCTGCTCTATGAATGGGAATGTTCAACACTGGGACTTCAATTGAAACATCCCAAAGCAGTTTCTGAGAATGCTTCTGTGTAGAGTTTACATGAAGACATTCCCGTTTCCAACGAAATCCTCAAAGCTATCCAAATATCCTCTTGCAGATTTTACAAAAAGTGTGTTTCAGAACTGCTCTATCAAAACAAAGGTTCAACACTGTCAGTTGAGGGCACACATCACAAATAAGTTTCTGAGAATGCTTCTGTCTAGTTTTCATGGGAAGATATTTCCTTTTTCACCATAGGCCTGAAAGCGATCCAAATGTCCACATCCAGATACTACAAAAAGAGTGTTTCAAACCTGCTCTATGAAAGGGAATGTTCAACTCTGTGACTTGAATGCAAACATCACAAAGAAGTTTCTGAGAATGCTGCTGTCTGCTTTTTGTATGTAATCCCGTTTCCAACGAAATCCTCCCAGCTAGCCAAATATCCACTTGCAGATTCCGCAAAAAGAGTGTTTCAAAACTGCTCCTTCAAAACGATGGTTTAGTTCTGTTAGTTGAGTACATACATCACAGATAAGTTTCTGAGAATGCTTCTGTCTAGTTTTTATGGGAGGATATTTCCTTTTTCAACACAAGCCTGAATGCGCTCCGAATGGACACTTCCAGATATGACAAAAGGCGTGTTTCAAACCTGCTCTCTCAAAGGGAATGTTCAACTGCTGTGACTTCAATGCAAACATCACAAAGAAGTTTCTGAGAATGCTGCTGTCTGCTTTTTACATGTATTCCCGTTTCCAACGAAATCCTCAAAGCTGCCCTAATATCCACTTGCATATTCCACAAAAAGAGTGTTGCAAAACTGCTCTCTCAAAAGAAAGGTTCAACTCTGTTAGCTGAGTAGATCCATCACATAAAAGTTTCTGACGTTGCTTCTATCTAGATTTTCTTGGAAGATATTTCCATTTTCACCGTCGTCCTGAAAGCGCTCCAAATGTCCACTTCCAGGGAATGCAGAAAGAGTGTTTCCAACCTGCTCTATAAAAGGGAATGTTCAACACTGGGACTTCAATCGAAACATCCCAACGAAGTTTCTGAGAATGCTTCTGTCTAGAGTTTATATGAAGCCATTCCCGTTTGCAACGAAATCCTCAAAGCTATCCAAATATCCTCTTGCAGATTTTACAAAAAGAGTGTTTCAAAACTGCTCTATCAAAAGAAAGGTTCAACTCTGTTAGTTGAGGGCACACATCACAAATAAATTTCTGAGAATGCTTCTGTCTAGTTTTTACGGGAAGATATTTCCTTTTTCACCATAGGCCTGAAAGCGCTCCAAATGTCCTCATCCAGATACTACAAAAAGAGTGTTTCCAACCTGCTCTATGAAAGGGAATGCTCAACTCTGTGAATTGAATGCAGACATCACAAAGAAGTTTCTGAGAATGCTGCTGTCTCCTTTTTATATGTAATCCCGTTTCCAACGAAATCCTCAAAGCTAGCCAAATATCCACTTGCAGATTCCACGAAAACAGTGTTTCAAAACTGCTCCTTCAAAACGATGGTTCAATTCTGTTAGTTGAGCAAACACATCACAAGTAAGTTTCTGAGAATGCTTCCGTCTAGTTTTTATGGGAAGATATTTCCTTTTTCAACATAGGCCTGAAAGCGCTCCAAATGTCCACTTCCAGATACTACAAAAAGAGTGTTTCAAATCTGCTCTATGAATGGGAATGTTCTACTCTGTGACTTGAATGCAACATCCCAAAGAAGTTTCTGAGAATGCTTCTGTCTAGAGTTTATCTGAAGACATACCCGTTTCCAACGAAATCCTCAAAGCTATCCAAATATCCTCTTGCAGATTCTACAAAAAGAGTGTTTCAAAGCTGCTCTTTGCAAAGAAAGGTTCAACTCTGTCAGTAGAGGGCACACATCATGAACAAGTTTCTGAGAATGCTTCTGTCTAGTTTTTATGGGAAGATATTTCCTTTTTCACGTTAGGCCTGAAAGCACGCCAAATGTTCACTTATAGACACTACAAAAAGAGTGTTTCAAACCTGCTCTGTGAAAGGGAATGTTCAACACTGTGACTTCAATTGAAACATCCCAAAGAAGTTTCTGAGAATGCTTCTGTCTAGAGTTTATCTGAAGACATTCCCGTTTCCCAAGAAATCCTCAAAGCTATCCAAATATCCTCTTGCAGATTCTACAAAAAAAGTGTTTCAAAACTGCTCTTTGCAAAGAAAGGTTCAACTCTGTCAGTAGAGGGCACACATCACAAACAAGTTTCTGAGAATGCTTCTGTCTAGTTTTTATGGGAAGATATTTCCTTTTTCACCTTAGGCCTGAAAGCAATCCAAATGTTCACTTACAGACACTACAAAAAGAGTGTTTCAAACCTGCTCTGTGAAAGGGAGTGTTCAATTCTGTGACTTGAATGCAAACATCACAAAGTAGTTTCTGACAATGCTGCTGTCTGCTTTTTATACGTATTCCCGTTTCCAACGAAATCCTCCAAGCTGGCCTAATACCCACTTGCATATTCCACAAAAAGTGTGTTTCAAAACTGCTCTCTCAAAAGAAAGGTTCAACTCTGTTTGCTGAGTAGATACATCATGAAAAAAGTTCTGACATTGCTTCTATCTAGTTTTTATTGGAAGATATCTCCTTTTTCACCGTAGACCTGAAAGCGCTCCAAATGTCCACTTCCAGATAGTACAAAAAGAGTGCTTCAAACCTGCTCTATGAATGGGAATGTTCAACACTGGGACTTCAATTGAAACATCCCAAAGCAGTTTCTGAGAATGCTTCTGTGTAGAGTTTACATGAAGACATTCCCGTTTCCAACGAAATCCTCAAAGCTATCCAAATATCCTCTTGCAGATTTTACAAAAAGTGTGTTTCAGAACTGCTCTATCAAAACAAAGGTTCAACACTGTCAGTTGAGGGCACACATCACAAATAAGTTTCTGAGAATGCTTCTGTCTAGTTTTCATGGGAAGATATTTCCTTTTTCACCATAGGCCTGAAAGCGATCCAAATGTCCACATCCAGATACTACAAAAAGAGTGTTTCAAACCTGCTCTATGAAAGGGAATGTTCAACTCTGTGACTTGAATGCAAACATCACAAAGAAGTTTCTGAGAATGCTGCTGTCTGCTTTTTGTATGTAATCCCGTTTCCAACGAAATCCTCCCAGCTAGCCAAATATCCACTTGCAGATTCCGCAAAAAGAGTGTTTCAAAACTGCTCCTTCAAAACGATGGTTTAGTTCTGTTAGTTGAGTACATACATCACAGATAAGTTTCTGAGAATGCTTCTGTCTAGTTTTTATGGGAGGATATTTCCTTTTTCAACACAAGCCTGAATGCGCTCCGAATGGACACTTCCAGATATGACAAAAGGCGTGTTTCAAACCTGCTCTCTCAAAGGGAATGTTCAACTCTGTGACTTCAATGCAAACATCACAAAGAAGTTTCTGAGAATGGTGCTGTCTGCTTTTTACATGTATTCCCGTTTCCAACGAAATCCTCAAAGCTGCCCTAATATCCACTTGCATATTCCACAAAAAGAGTGTTGCAAAACTGCTCTCTCAAAAGAAAGGTTCAACTCTGTTAGCTGAGTAGATCCATCACATAAAAGTTTCTGACATTGCTTCTATCTAGATTTTATTGGAAGATATTTCCATTTTCACCGTCGTCCTGAAAGCGCTCCAAAGGTCCACTTCCAGGGAATGCAGAAAGAGTGTTTCCAACCTGCTCTATAAAAGGGAATGTTCAACACTGGGACTTCAATCGAAACATCCCAACGAAGTTTCTGAGAATGCTTCTGTCTAGAGTTTATATGAAGCCATTCCCGTTTGCAACGAAATCCTCAAAGCTATCCAAATATCCTCTTGCAGATTTTACAAAAAGAGTGTTTCAAAACTGCTCTATCAAAAGAAAGGTTCAACTCTGTTAGTTGAGGGCACACATCACAAATAAATTTCTGAGAATGCTTCTGTCTAGTTTTTACGGGAAGATATTTCCTTTTTCACCATACGCCTGAAAGCGCTCCAAATGTCCTCATCCAGATACTACAAAAAGAGTGTTTCAAACCTGCTCTATGAAAGGGAATGCTCAACTCTGTGACTTGAATGCAGACATCACAAAGAAGTTTCTGAGAATGCTGCTGTCTCCTTTTTATAGGTAATCCCGTTTCCAACGAAATCCTCAAAGCTAGCCAAATATCCACTTGCAGATTCCACGAAAACAGGGTTTCAAAACTGCTCCTTCAAAACGATGGTTCAATTCTGTTAGTTGAGCAAACACATCAAAAATAAGTTTCTGAGAATGCTTCCGTCTAGTTTTTATGGGAAGATATTTCGTTTCTCAACATAGGCCTGAAAGCGCTCCAAATGTCCACTTCCAGATACTACAAAAAGAGTGTTTCAAATCTGCTCTATGAATGGGAATGTTCTACTCTGTGACTTGAATGCAACATCCCAAAGAAGTTTCTGAGAATGCTTCTGTCTAGAGTTTATGTGAAGACATACCCGTTTCCAACGAAATCCTCAAAGCTATCCAAATATCCTCTTGCAGATTCTACAAAAAGAGTGTTTCAAAGCTGCTCTTTGCAAAGAAAGGTTCAACTCTGTCAGTAGAGGGCACACATCACAAACAAGTTTCTGAGAATGCTTCTGTCTAGTTTTTATGGGAAGAGATTTCCTTTTTCACGTTAGGCCTGAAAGCACGCCAAATGTTCACTTATAGACACTACAAAAAGACTGTTTCAAACCTGCTCTGTGAAAGGGAATGTTCAACACTGTGACTTCAATTGAAACATCCCAAAGAAGTTTCTGAGAATGCTTCTGTCTAGAGTTTATCTGAAGACATTCCCGTTTCCCAAGAAATCCTCAAAGCTATCCAAATATCCTCTTGCAGATTCTACAAAAAGAGTGTTTCAAAACTGCTCTTTGCAAAGAAAGGTTCAACTCTGTCAGTAGAGGGCACACATCACAAACAAGTTTCTGAGAATGCTTCTGTCTAGTTTTTATGGGAAGATATTTCCTTTTTCACCTTAGGCCTGAAAGCAATCCATATGTTCACTTACAGACACTACAAAAAGAGTGTTTCAAACCTGCTCTGTGAAAGGGAGTGTTCAATTCTGTGACTTGAATGCAAACATCACAAAGTAGTTTCTGACAATGCTGCTGTCTGCTTTTTATACGTATTCCCGTTTCCAACGAAATCCTCCAAGCTGGCCTAATACCCACTTGCATATTCCACAAAAAGAGTGTTTCAAAACTGCTCTCTCAAAAGAAAGGTTCAACTCTGTTTGCTGAGTAGATACATCATGAAAAAAGTTCTGACATTGCTTCTATCTAGTTTTTATTGGAAGATATCTCCTTTTTCACCGTAGACCTGAAAGCGCTCCAAATGTCCACTTCCAGATAGTACAAAAAGAGTGCTTCAAACCTGCTCTATGAATGGGAATGTTCAACACTGGGACTTCAATTGAAACATCCCAAAGCAGTTTCTGAGAATGCTTCTGTGTAGAGTTTACATGAAGACATTCCCGTTTCCAACGAAATCCTCAAAGCTATCCAAATATCCTCTTGCAGATTTTACAAAAAGTGTGTTTCAGAACTGCTCTATCAAAACAAAGGTTCAACACTGTCAGTTGAGGGCACACATCACAAATAAGTTTCTGAGAATGCTTCTGTCTAGTTTTCATGGGAAGATATTTCCTTTTTCACCATAGGCCTGAAAGCGATCCAAATGTCCACATCCAGATACTACAAAAAGAGTGTTTCAAACCTGCTCTATGAAAGGGAATGTTCAACTCTGTGACTTGAATGCAAACATCACAAAGAAGTTTCTGAGAATGCTGCTGTCTGCTTTTTGTATGTAATCCCGTTTCCAACGAAATCCTCCCAGCTAGCCAAATATCCACTTGCAGATTCCGCAAAAAGAGTGTTTCAAAACTGCCCTTCAAAACGATGGTTTAGTTCTGTTAGTTGAGTACATACATCACAGATAAGTTTCTGAGAATGCTTCTGTCTAGTTTTTATGGGAGGATATTTCCTTTTTCAACACAAGCCTGAATGCGCTCCGAATGGACACTTCCAGATATGACAAAAGGCGTGTTTCAAACCTGCTCTCTCAAAGGGGATGTTCAACTCTGTGACTTCAATGCAAACATCACAAAGAAGTTTCTGAGAATGCTGCTGTCTGCTTTTTACATGTATTCCCGTTTCCAACGAAATCCTCAAAGCTGCCCTAATATCCACTTGCATATTCCCCAAAAAGAGTGTTGCAAAACTGCTCTCTCAAAAGAAAGGTTCAACTCTGTTAGCTGAGTAGATCCATCACATAAAAGTTTCTGACGTTGCTTCTATCTAGATTTTCTTGGAAGATATTTCCATTTTCACCGTCGTCCTGAAAGCGCTCCAAATGTCCACTTCCAGGGAATGCAGAAAGAGTGTTTCCAACCTGCTCTATAAAAGGGAATGTTCAACACTGGGACTTCAATCGAAACATCCCAACGAAGTTTCTGAGAATGCTTCTGTCTAGAGTTTATATGAAGCCATTCCCGTTTGCAACGAAATCCTCAAAGCTATCCAAATATCCTCTTGCAGATTTTACAAAAAGAGTGTTTCAAAACTGCTCTATCAAAAGAAAGGTTCAACTCTGTTAGTTGAGGGCACACATCACAAATAAATTTCTGAGAATCTTCTGTCTAGTTTTTACGGGAAGATATTTCCTTTTTCACCATACGCCTGAAAGCGCTCCAAATGTCCTCATCCAGATACTACAAAAAGAGTGTTTCCAACGTGCTCTAGGAAAGGGAATGCTCAACTCTGTGAATTGAATGCAGACATCACAAAGAAGTTTCTGAGAATGCTGCTGTCTCCTTTTTATATGTAATCCCGTTTCCAACGAAATCCTCAAAGCTAGCCAAATATCCACTTGCAGATTCCACGAAAACAGTGTTTCAAAACTGCTCCTTCAAAACGATGGTTCAATTCTGTTAGTTGAGCAAACACATCACAAGTAAGTTTCTGAGAATGCTTCCGTCTAGTTTTTATGGGAAGATATTTCCTTTTTCAACATAGGCCTGAAAGCGCTCCAAATGTCCACTTCCAGATACTACAAAAAGAGTGTTTCAAATCTGCTCTATGAATGGGAATGTTCTACTCTGTGACTTGAATGCAACATCCCAAAGAAGTTTCTGAGAATGCTTCTGTCTAGAGTTTATCTGAAGACATACCCGTTTCCAACGAAATCCTCAAAGCTATCCAAATATCCTCTTGCAGATTCTACAAAAAGAGTGTTTCAAAGCTGCTCTTTGCAAAGAAAGGTTCAACTCTGTCAGTAGAGGGCACACATCACGAACAAGTTTCTGAGAATGCTTCTGTCTAGTTTTTATGGGAAGATATTTCCTTTTTCACGTTAGGCCTGAAAGCACGCCAAATGTTCACTTATAGACACTACAAAAAGAGTGTTTCAAACCTGCTCTGTGAAAGGGAATGTTCAACACTGTGACTTCAATTGAAACATCCCAAAGAAGTTTCTGAGAATGCTTCTGTCTAGAGTTTATCTGAAGACATTCCCGTTTCCCAAGAAATCCTCAAAGCTATCCAAACATCCTCTTGCAGATTCTACAAAAAGAGTGTTTCAAAACTGCTCTTTGCAAAGAAAGGTTCAACTCTGTCAGTAGAGGGCACACATCACAAACAAGTTTCTGAGAATGCTTCTGTCTAGTTTTTATGGGAAGATATTTCCTTTTTCACCTTAGGCCTGAAAGCAATCCAAATGTTCACTTACAGACACTACAAAAAGAGTGTTTCAAACCTGCTCTGTGAAAGGGAGTGTTCAATTCTGTGACTTGAATGCAAACATCACAAAGTAGTTTCTGACAATGCTGCTGTCTGCTTTTTATACGTATTCCCGTTTCCAACGAAATCCTCCAAGCTGGCCTAATACCCACTTGCATATTCCACAAAAAGAGTGTTTCAAAACTGCTCTCTCAAAAGAAAGGTTCAACTCTGTTTGCTGAGTAGATACATCATGAAAAAAGTTCTGACATTGCTTCTATCTAGTTTTTATTGGAAGATATCTCCTTTTTCACCGTAGACCTGAAAGCGCTCCAAATGTCCACTTCCAGATAGTACAAAAAGAGTGTTTCAAACCTGCTCTATGAATGGGAATGTTCAACACTGGGACTTCAATTGAAACATCCCAAAGCAGTTTCTGAGAATGCTTCTGTCTAGAGTTTACATGAAGACATTCCCGTTTCCAACGAAATCCTCAAAGCTATCCAAATATCCTCTTGCAGATTTTACAAAAAGTGTGTTTCAGAACTGCTCTATCAAAACAAAGGTTCAACACTGTCAGTTGAGGGCACACATCACAAATAAGTTTCTGAGAATGCTTCTGTCTAGTTTTCATGGGAAGATATTTCCTTTTTCACCATAGGCCTGAAAGCGATCCAAATGTCCACATCCAGATACTACAAAAAGAGTGTTTCCAACCTGCTCTATGAAAGGGAATGCTCAACTCTGTGAATTGAATGCAGACATCACAAAGAAGTTTCTCAGAATGCTGCTGTCTCCTTTTTATATGTAATCCCGTTTCCAACGAAATCCTCAAAGCTAGCCAAATATCCACTTGCAGATTCCACGAAAACAGTGTTTCAAAACTGCTCCTTCAAAACGATGGTTCAATCCTGTTAGTTGAGCAAACACATCACAAATAAGTTTCTGAGAATGCTTCCGTCTAGTTTTTATGGGAAGATATTTCCTTTTTCAACATAGGCCTGAAAGCGCTCCAAATGTCCACTTCCAGATACTACAAAAAGAGTGTTTCAAATCTGCTCTATGAATGGGAATGTTCTACTCTGTGACTTGAATGCAACATCCCAAAGAAGTTTCTGAGAATGCTTCTGTCTAGAGTTTATCTGAAGACATTCCCGTTTCCCAAGAAATCCTCAAAGCTATCCAAATATCCTCTTGCAGATTCTACAAAAAGAGTGTTTCAAAGCTGCTCTTTGCAAAGAAAGGTTCAACTCTGTCAGTAGAGGGCACACATCACAAACAAGTTTCTGAGAATGCTTCTGTCTAGTTTTTATGGGAAGATATTTCCTTTTTCACCTTAGGCCTGAAAGCAATCCAAATGTTCACTTACAGACACTACAAAAAGAGTGTTTCAAACCTGCTCTGTGAAAGGGAGTGTTCAATTCTGTGACTTGAATGCAAACATCACAAAGTAGTTTCTGACAATGCTGCTGTCTGCTTTTTATACGTATTCCCGTTTCCAACGAAATCCTCCAAGCTGGCCTAATACCCACTTGCATATTCCACAAAAAGAGTGTTTCAAAACTGCTCTCTCAAAAGAAAGGTTCAACTCTGTTTGCTGAGTAGATACATCATGAAAAAAGTTCTGACATTGCTTCTATCTAGTTTTTATTGGAAGATATCTCCTTTTTCACCGTAGACCTGAAAGCGCTCCAAATGTCCACTTCCAGATAGTACAAAAAGAGTGTTTCAAACCTGCTCTATGAAAGGGAATGTTCAACACTGGGACTTCAATTGAAACATCCCAAAGCAGTTTCTGAGAATGCTTCTGTCTAGAGTTTACATGAAGACATTCCCGTTTCCAACGAAATCCTCAAAGCTATCCAAATATCCTCTTGCAGATTTTACAAAAAGTGTGTTTCAGAACTGCTCTATCAAAACAAAGGTTCAACACTGTCAGTTGAGGGCACACATCACAAATAAGTTTCTGAGAATGCTTCTGTCTAGTTTTTACGGGAAGATATTTCCTTTTTCACCATAGGCCTGAAAGCGCTCCAAATGTCCTCATCCAGATACTACAAAAAGAGTGTTTCCAACCTGCTCTATGAAAGAGAATGCTCAACTCTGTGACTTGAATGCAGACATCACAAAGAAGTTTCTGAGAATGCTGCTGTCTCCTTTTTATATGTAATCCCGTTTCCAACGAAATCCTCAAAGCTAGCCAAATATCCACTTGCAGATTCCACGAAAACAGTGTTTCAAAACTGCTCCTTCAAAACGATGGTTCAATTCTGTTAGTTGAGCCAACACATCACAAGTAAGTTTCTGAGAATGCTTCCGTCTAGTTTTTATGGGAAGATATTTCCTTTTTCAACATAGGCCTGAAAGCGCTCCAAATGTCCACTTCCAGATACTACAAAAAGAGTGTTTCAAATCTGCTCTATGAATGGGAATGTTCTACTCTGTGACTTGAATGCAACATCCCAAAGAAGTTTCTGAGAATGCTTCTGTCTACAGTTTATCTGAAGACATACCCGTTTCCAACGAAATCCTCAAAGCTATCCAAATATCCTCTTGCAGATTCTACAAAAAGAGTGTTTCAAAGCTGCTCTTTGCAAAGAAAGGTTCAACTCTGTCAGTAGAGGGCACACATCATGAACAAGTTTCTGAGAATGCTTCTGTCTAGTTTTTATGGGAAGATATTTCCTTTTTCACGTTAGGCCTGAAAGCACGCCAAATGTTCACTTATAGACACTACAAAAAGAGTGTTTCAAACCTGCTCTGTGAAAGGGAATGTTCAACACTGTGACTTCAATTGAAACATCCCAAAGAAGTTTCTGAGAATGCTTCTGTCTAGAGTTTATCTGAAGACATTCCCGTTTCCAAAGAAATCCTCAAAGCTATCCAAATATCCTCTTGCAGATTCTACAAAAAGAGTGTTTCAAAACTGCTCTTTGCAAAGAAAGGTTCAACTCTGTCAGTAGAGGGCACACATCAAGAACAAGTTTCTGAGAATGCTTCTGTCTAGTTTTTATGGGAAGATATTTCCTTTTTCACGTTACGCCTGAAAGCACGCCAAATGTTCACTTATAGACACTACAAAAAGAGAGTTTCAAACCTGCTCTGTGAAAGGGAGTGTTCAATTCTGTGACTTGAATGCAAACATCACAAAGTAGTTTCTGACAATGCTGCTGTCTGCTTTTTATACGTATTCCCGTTTCCAACGAAATCCTCCAAGCTGGCCTAATACCCACTTGCATATTCCACAAAAGGAGTGTTTCAAAACTGCTCTCTCAAAAGAAAGGTTCAACTCTGTTTGCTGAGTAGATACATCATGAAAAAAGTTCTGACATTGCTTCTATCTAGTTTTTATTGGAAGATATCTCCTTTTTCACCGTAGACCTGAAAGCGCTCCAAATGTCCACTTCCAGATAGTACAAAAAGAGGGTTTCAAACCTGCTCTATGAAAGGGAATGTTCAACACTGGGACTTCAATTGAAACATCCCAAAGCAGTTTCTGAGAATGCTTCTGTGTAGAGTTTACATGAAGACATTCCCGTTTCCAACGAAATCCTCAAAGCTATCCAAATATCCTCTTGCAGATTTTACAAAAAGTGTGTTTCAGAACTGCTCTATCAAAACAAAGGTTCAACACTGTCAGTTGAGGGCACACATCACAAATAAGTTTCTGAGAATGCTTCTGTCTAGTTTTCATGGGAAGATATTTCCTTTTTCACCATAGGCCTGAAAGCGATCCAAATGTCCACATCCAGATACTACAAAAAGAGTGTTTCAAACCTGCTCTATGAAAGGGAATGTTCAACTCTGTGACTTGAATGCAAACATCACAAAGAAGTTTCTGAGAATGCTGCTGTCTGCTTTTTGTATGTAATCCCGTTTCCAACGAAATCCTCCCAGCTAGCCAAATATCCACTTGCAGATTCCGCAAAAAGAGTGTTTCAAAACTGCTCCTTCAAAACGATGGTTTAGTTCTGTTAGTTGAGTACATACATCACAGATAAGTTTCTGAGAATGCTTCCGTCCTAGTTTTTATGGGAGGATATTTCCTTTTTCAACACAAGCCTGAATGCGCTCCGAATGGACACTTCCAGATATGACAAAAGGCGTGTTTCAAACCTGCTCTCTCAAAGGGAATGTTCAACTCTGTGACTTCAATGCAAACATCACAAAGAAGTTTCTGAGAATGCTGCTGTCTGCTTTTTACATGTATTCCCGTTTCCAACGAAATCCTCAAAGCTGCCCTAATATCCACTTGCATATTCCACAAAAAGAGTGTTGCAAAACTGCTCTCTCAAAAGAAAGGTTCAACTCTGTTAGCTGAGTAGATCCATCACAGAAAAGTTTCTGACGTTGCTTCTATCTAGATTTTCTTGGAAGATATTTCCATTTTCACCGTCGTCCTGAAAGCGCTCCAAATGTCCACTTCCAGGGAATGCAGAAAGAGTGTTTCCAACCTGCTCTATAAAAGGGAATGTTCAACACTGGGACTTCAATCGAAACATCCCAACGAAGTTTCTGAGAATGCTTCTGTCTAGAGTTTATATGAAGCCATTCCCGTTTGCAACGAAATCCTCAAAGCTATCCAAATATCCTCTTGCAGATTTTACAAAAAGAGTGTTTCAAAACTGCTCTATCAAAAGAAAGGTTCAACTCTGTTAGTTGAGGGCACACATCACAAATAAATTTCTGAGAATGCTTCTGTCTAGTTTTCATGGGAAGATATTTCCTTTTTCACCATAGGCCTGAAGCGATCCAAATGTCCACATCCAGATACTACAAAAAGAGTGTTTCAAACCTGCTCTATGAAAGGGAATGTTCAACTCTGTGACTTGAATGCAAACATCACAAAGAAGTTTCTGAGAATGCTGCTGTCTGCTTTTTGTATGTAATCCCGTTTCCAACGAAATCCTCCCAGCTAGCCAAATATCCACTTGCAGATTCCGCAAAAAGAGTGTTTCAAAACTGCTCCTTCAAAACGATGGTTTAGTTCTGTTAGTTGAGTACATACATCACAGATAAGTTTCTGAGAATGCTTCTGTCTAGTTTTTATGGGAGGATATTTCCTTTTTCAACACAAGCCTGAATGCGCTCCGAATGGACACTTCCAGATATGACAAAAGGCGTGTTTCAAACCTGCTCTCTCAAAGGGAATGTTCAACTCTGTGACTTCAATGCAAACATCACAAAGAAGTTTCTGAGAATGCTGCTGTCTGCTTTTTACATGTATTCCCGTTTCCAACGAAATCCTCAAAGCTGCCCTAATATCCACTTGCATATTCCACAAAAAGAGTGTTGCAAAACTGCTCTCTCAAAAGAAAGGTTCAACTCTGTTAGCTGAGTAGATCCATCACATAAAAGTTTCTGACATTGCTTCTATCTAGATTTTCTTGGAAGATATTTCCATTTTCACCGTCGTCCTGAAAGCGCTCCAAATGTCCACTTCCAGGGAATGCAGAAAGAGTGTTTCCAACCTGCTCTATAAAAGGGAATGTTCAACACTGGGACTTCAATCGAAACATCCCAACGAAGTTTCTGAGAATGCTTCTGTCTAGAGTTTATATGAAGCCATTCCCGTTTGCAACGAAATCCTCAAAGCTATCCAAATATCCTCTTGCAGATTTTACAAAAAGAGTGTTTCAAAACTGCTCTATCAAAAGAAAGGTTCAACTCTGTTAGTTGAGGGCACACATCACAAATAAACTTCTGAGAATGCTTCTGTCTAGTTTTTACGGGAAGATATTTCCTTTTTCACCATAGGCCTGAAAGCGCTCCAAATGTCCTCATCCAGATACTACAAAAAGAGTGTTTCCAACCTGCTCTATGAAAGGGAATGCTCAACTCTGTGACTTGAATGCAGACATCACAAAGAAGTTTCTGAGAATGCTGCTGTCTCCTTTTTATATGTAATCCCGTTTCCAACGAAATCCTCAAAGCTAGCCAAATATCCACTCGCAGATTCCACGAAAACAGTGTTTCAAAACTGCTCCTTCAAAACGATGGTTCAATTCTGTTAGTTGAGCAAACACATCACAAGTAAGTTTCTGAGAATGCTTCCGTCTAGTTTTTATGGGAAGATATTTCCTTTTTCAACATAGGCCTGAAAGCGCTCCAAATGTCCACTTCCAGATACTACAAAAAGAGTGTTTCAAATCTGCTCTATGAATGGGAATGTTCTACTCTGTGACTTGAATGCAACATCCCAAAGAAGTTTCTGAGAATGCTTCTGTCTAGAGTTTATCTGAAGACATACCCGTTTCCAACGAAATCCTCAAAGCTATCCAAATATCCTCTTGCAGATTCTACAAAAAGAGTGTTTCAAAGCTGCTCTTTGCAAAGAAAGGTTCAACTCTGTCAGTAGAGGGCACACATCATGAACAAGTTTCTGAGAATGCTTCTGTCTAGTTTTTATGGGAAGATATTTCCTTTTTCACGTTAGGCCTGAAAGCACGCCAAATGTTCACTTATAGACACTACAAAAAGAGTGTTTCAAACCTGCTCTGTGAAAGGGAATGTTCAACACTGTGACTTCAATTGAAACATCCCAAAGAAGTTTCTGAGAATGCTTCTGTCTAGAGTTTATCTGAAGACATTCCTGTTTCCCAAGAAATCCTCAAAGCTATCCAAATATCCTCTTGCAGATTCTACAAAAAGAGTGTTTCAAAACTGCTCTTTGCAAAGAAAGGTTCAACTCTGTCAGTAGAGGGCACACATCACAAACAAGTTTCTGAGAATGCTTCTGTCTAGTTTTTATGGGAAGATATTTCCTTTTTCACCTTAGGCCTGAAAGCAATCCAAATGTTCACTTACAGACACTACAAAAAGAGTGTTTCAAACCTGCTCTGTGAAAGGGAGTGTTCAATTCTGTGACTTGAATGCAAACATCACAAAGTAGTTTCTGACAATGCTGCTGTCTGCTTTTTATACGTATTCCCGTTTCCAACGAAATCCTCCAAGCTGGCCTAATACCCACTTGCATATTCCACAAAAATAGTGTTTCAAAACTGCTCCCTCAAAAGAAAGGTTCAACTCTGTTTGCTGAGTAGATACATCATGAAAAAAGTTCTGACATTGCTTCTATCTAGTTTTTATTGGAAGATATCTCCTTTTTCACCGTAGACCTGAAAGCGCTCCAAATGTCCACTTCCAGATAGTACAAAAAGAGGGTTTCAAACCTGCTCTATGAAAGGGAATGTTCAACACTGGGACTTCAATTGAAACATCCCAAAGCAGTTTCTGAGAATGCTTCTGTCTAGAGTTTACATGAAGACATTCCCGTTTCCAACGAAATCCTCAAAGCTATCCAAATATCCTCTTGCAGATTTTACAAAAAGTGTGTTTCAGAACTGCTCTATCAAAACAAAGGTTCAACACTGTCAGTTGAGGGCACACATCACAAATAAGTTTCTGAGAATGCTTCTGTCTAGTTTTCATGGGAAGATATTTCCTTTTTCACCATAGGCCTGAAAGCGATCCAAATGTCCACATCCAGATACTACAAAAAGAGTGTTTCAAACCTGCTCTATGAAAGGGAATGTTCAACTCTGTGACTTGAATGCAAACATCACAAAGAAGTTTCTGAGAATGCTGCTGTCTGCTTTTTGTATGTAATCCCGTTTCCAACGAAATCCTCCCAGCTAGCCAAATATCCACTTGCAGATTCCACAAAAAGAGTGTTTCAAAACTGCTCCTTCAAAACGATGGTTTAGTTCTGTTAGTTGAGTACATACATCACAGATAAGTTTCTGAGAATGCTTCTGTCTAGTTTTTATGGGAGGATATTTCCTTTTTCAACACAAGCCTGAATGCGCTCCGAATGGACACTTCCAGATATGACAAAAGGCGTGTTTCAAACCTGCTCTCTCAAAGGGAATGTTCAACTCTGTGACTTCAATGCAAACATCACAAAGCAGTTTCTGAGAATGCTGCTGTCTGCTTTTTACATGTATTCCCGTTTCCAACGAAATCCTCAAAGCTGCCCTAATATCCACTTGCATATTCCACAAAAAGAGTGTTGCAAAACTGCTCTCTCAAAAGAAAGGTTCAACTCTGTTAGCTGAGTAGATCCATCACAGAAAAGTTTCTGACGTTGCTTCTATCTAGATTTTCTTGGAAGATATTTCCATTTTCACCGTCGTCCTGAAAGCGCTCCAAATGTCCACTTCCAGGGAATGCAGAAAGAGTGTTTCCAACCTGCTCTATAAAAGGGAATGTTCAACACTGGGACTTCAATCGAAACATCCCAACGAAGTTTCTGAGAATGCTTCTGTCTAGAGTTTATATGAAGCCATTCCCGTTTGCAATGAAATCCTCAAAGCTATCCAAATATCCTCTTGCAGATTTTACAAAAAGAGTGTTTCAAAACTGCTCTATCAAAAGAAAGGTTCAACTCTGTTAGTTGAGGGCACACATCACAAATAAATTTCTGAGAATGCTTCTGTCTAGTTTTTACGGGAAGATATTTCCTTTTTCACCATAGGCCTGAAAGCGCTCCAAATGTCCTCATCCAGATACTACAAAAAGAGTGTTTCCAACCTGCTCTATGAAAGGGAATGCTCAACTCTGTGACTTGAATGCAGACATCACAAAGAAGTTTCTGAGAATGCTGCTGTCTCCTTTTTATATGTAATCCCGTTTCCAACGAAATCCTCAAAGCTAGCCAAATATCCACTTGCAGATTCCACGAAAACAGTGTTTCAAAACTGCTCCTTCAAAACGATGGTTCAATTCTGTTAGTTGAGCAAACACATCACAAGTAAGTTTCTGAGAATGCTTCCGTCTAGTTTTTATGGGAAGATATTTCCTGTTTCAACATAGGCCTGAAAGCGCTCCAAATGTCCACTTCCAGATACTACAAAAAGAGTGTTTCAAATCTGCTCTATGAATGGGAATGTTCTACTCTGTGACTTGAATGCAACATCCCAAAGAAGTTTCTGAGAATGCTTCTGTCTAGAGTTTATCTGAAGACATACCCGTTTCCAACGAAATCCTCAAAGCTATCCAAATATCCTCTTGCAGATTCTACAAAAAGAGTGTTTCAAAGCTGCTCTTTGCAAAGAAAGGTTCAACTCTGTCAGTAGAGGGCACACATCACGAACAAGTTTCTGAGAATGCTTCTGTCTAGTTTTTATGGGAAGATATTTCCTTTTTCACCTTAGGCCTGAAAGCACGCCAAATGTTCACTTATAGACACTACAAAAAGAGTGTTTCAAACCTGCTCTGTGAAAGGGAGTGTTCAATTCTGTGACTTGAATGCAAACATCACAAAGTAGTTTCTGACAATGCTGCTGTCTGCTTTTTATACGTATTCCCGTTTCCAACGAAATCCTCCAAGCTGGCCTAATACCCACTTGCATATTCCACAAAAAGAGTGTTTCAAAACTGCTCTCTCAAAAGAAAGGTTCAACTCTGTTAGCTGAGTAGATACATCATGAAAAAAGTTCTGACATTGCTTCTATCTAGTTTTTATTGGAAGATATCTCCTTTTTCACCGTAGACCTGAAAGCGCTCCAAATGTCCACTTCCAGATAGTACAAAAAGAGTGTTTCAAACCTGCTCTATGAATGGGAATGTTCAACACTGGGACTTCAATTGAAACATCCCAAAGCAGTTTCTGAGAATGCTTCTGTGTAGAGTTTACATGAAGACATTCCCGTTTCCAACGAAATCCTCAAAGCTATCCAAATATCCTCTTGCAGATTTTACAAAAAGTGTGTTTCAGAACTGCTCTATCAAAACAAAGGTTCAACACTGTCAGTTGAGGGCACACATCACAAATAAGTTTCTGAGAATGCTTCTGTCTAGTTTTCATGGGAAGATATTTCCTTTTTCACCATAGGCCTGAAAGCGATCCAAATGTCCACATCCAGATACTACAAAAAGAGTGTTTCAAACCTGCTCTATGAAAGGGAATGTTCAACTCTGTGACTTGAATGCAAACATCACAAAGAAGTTTCTGAGAATGCTGCTGTCTGCTTTTTGTATGTAATCCCGTTTCCAACGAAATCCTCCCAGCTAGCCAAATATCCACTTGCAGATTCCGCAAAAAGAGTGTTTCAAAACTGCTCCTTCAAAACGATGGTTTAGTTCTGTTAGTTGAGTACATACATCACAGATAAGTTTCTGAGAATGCTTCTGTCTAGTTTTTATGGGAGGATATTTCCTTTTTCAACACAAGCCTGAATGCGCTCCGAATGGACACTTCCAGATATGACAAAAGGCGTGTTTCAAACCTGCTCTCTCAAAGGGAATGTTCAACTCTGTGACTTCAATGCAAACATCACAAAGAAGTTTCTGAGAATGCTGCTGTCTGCTTTTTACATGTATTCCCGTTTCCAACGAAATCCTCAAAGCTGCCCTAATATCCACTTGCATATTCCACAAAAAGAGTGTTGCAAAACTGCTCTCTCAAAAGAAAGGTTCAACTCTGTTAGCTGAGTAGATCCATCACAGAAAAGTTTCTGACGTTGCTTCTATCTAGATTTTGCTTGGAAGATATTTCCATTTTCACCGTCGTCCTGAAAGCGCTCCAAATGTCCACTTCCAGGGAATGCAGAAAGAGTGTTTCCAACCTGCTCTATAAAAGGGAATGTTCAACACTGGGACTTCAATCGAAACATCCCAACGAAGTTTCTGAGAATGCTTCTGTCTAGAGTTTATATGAAGCCATTCCCGTTTGCAACGAAATCCTCAAAGCTATCCAAATATCCTCTTGCAGATTTTACAAAAAGAGTGTTTCAAAACTGCTCTATCAAAAGAAAGGTTCAACTCTGTTAGTTGAGGGCACACATCACAAATAAACTTCTGAGAATGCTTCTGTCTAGTTTTTACGGGAAGATATTTCCTTTTTCACCATACGCCTGAAAGCGCTCCAAATGTCCTCATCCAGATACTACAAAAAGAGTGTTTCCAACCTGCTCTATGAAAGGGAATGCTCAACTCTGTGAATTGAATGCAGACATCACAAAGAAGTTTCTGAGAATGCTGCTGTCTCCTTTTTATATGTAATCCCGTTTCCAACGAAATCCTCAAAGCTAGCCAAATATCCACTTGCAGATTCCACGAAAACAGTGTTTCAAAACTGCTCCTTCAAAACGATGGTTCAATCCTGTTAGTTGAGCAAACACATCACAAATAAGTTTCTGAGAATGCTTCCGTCTAGTTTTTATGGGAAGATATTTCCTTTTTCAACATAGGCCTGAAAGCGCTCCAAATGTCCACTTCCAGATACTACAAAAGGAGTGTTTCAAATCTGCTCTATGAATGGGAATGTTCTACTCTGTGACTTGAATGCAACAACCCAAAGAAGTTTCTGAGAATGCTTCTGTCTAGAGTTTATCTGAAGACATACCCGTTTCCAACGAAATCCTCCAAGCTATCCAAATATCCTCTTGCAGATTCTACAAAAAGAGTGTTTCAAAGCTGCTCTTTGCAAAGAAAGGTACAACTCTGTCAGTAGAGGGGACACATCAAGAACAAGTTTCTGAGAATGCTTCTGTCTAGTTTTTATGGGAAGATATTTCCTTTTTCACGTTACGCCTGAAAGCACGCCAAATGTTCACTTATAGACACTACAAAAAGAGTGTTTCAAACCTGCTCTGTGAAAGGGAATGTTCAACACTGACTTCAATTGAAACATCCCGAAGAAGTTTCTGAGAATGCTTCTGTCTAGAGTTTATCTGAAGACATTCCCGTTTCCCAAGAAATCCTCAAAGCTATCCAAATATCCTCTTGCAGATTCTACAAAAAGAGTGTTTCAAAACTGCTCTTTGCAAAGAAAGTTTCAACTCTGTCAGTAGAGGGCACACATCACAAACAAGTTTCTGAGAATGCTTCTGTCTAGTTTTTATGGGAAGATATTTCCTTTTTCACCTTAGGCCTGAAAGCAATCCAAATGTTCACTTACAGACACTACAAAAAGAGTGTTTCAAACCTGCCCTGTGAAAGGGAGTGTTCAATTCTGTGACTTGAATGCAAACATCACAAAGTAGTTTCTGACAATGCTGCTGTCTGCTTTTTATACGTATTCCCGTTTCCAACGAAATCCTCCAAGCTGGCCTAATACCCACTTGCATATTCCATAAAAAGAGTGTTTCAAAACTGCTCTCTCAAAAGAAAGGTTCAACTCTGTTTGCTGAGTAGATACATCATGAAAAAAGTTCTGACATTGCTTCTATCTAGTTTTTATTGGAAGATATCTCCTTTTTCACCGTAGACCTGAAAGCGCTCCAAATGTCCACTTCCAGATAGTACAAAAAGAGTGTTTCAAACCTGCTCCTATGAAAGGGAATGTTCAACACTGGGACTTCAATTGAAACATCCCAAAGCAGTTTCTGAGAATGCTTCTGTCTAGAGTTTACATGAAGACATTCCCGTTTCCAACGAAATCCTCAAAGCTATCCAAATATCCTCTTGCAGATTTTACAAAAAGTGTGTTTCAGAACTGCTCTATCAAAACAAAGGTTCAACACTGTCAGTTGAGGGCACACATCACAAATAAGTTTCTGAGAATGCTTCTGTCTAGTTTTCATGGGAAGATATTTCCTTTTTCACCATAGGCCTGAAAGCGATCCAAATGTCCACATCCAGATACTACAAAAAGAGTGTTTCAAACCTGCTCTATGAAAGGGAATGTTCAACTCTGTGACTTGAATGCAAACATCACAAAGAAGTTTTCTGAGAATGCTGCTCTCTGCTTTTTGCATGTAATCCCGTTTCCAACGAAATCCTCCCAGCTAGCCAAATATCCACTTGCAGATTCCGCAAAAAGAGTGTTTCAAAACTGCTCCTTCAAAACGATGGTTTAGTTCTGTTAGTTGAGTACATACATCACAGATAAGTTTCTGAGAATGCTTCTGTCTAGTTTTTATGGGAGGATATTTCCTTTTTCAACACAAGCCTGAATGCGCTCCGAATGGACACTTCCAGATATGACAAAAGGCGTGTTTCAAACCTGCTCTCTCAAAGGGAATGTTCAACTCTGTGACTTCAATGCAAACATCACAAAGAAGTTTCTGAGAATGCTGCTGTCTGCTTTTTACATGTATTCCCGTTTCCAACGAAATCCTCAAAGCTGCCCTAATATCCACTTGCATATTCCACAAAAAGAGTGTTGCAAAACTGCTCTCTCAAAAGAAAGGTTCAACTCTGTTAGCTGAGTAGATCCATCACATAAAAGTTTCTGACATTGCTTCTATCTAGATTTTATTGGAAGATATTTCCATTTTCACCGTCGTCCTGAAAGCGCTCCAAATGTCCACTTCCAGGGAATGCAGAAAGAGTGTTTCCAACCTGCTCTATAAAAGGGAATGTTCAACACTGGGACTTCAATCGAAACATCCCAACGAAGTTTCTGAGAATGCTTCTGTCTAGAGTTTATATGAAGCCATTCCCGTTTGCAACGAAATCCTCAAAGCTATCCAAATATCCTCTTGCAGATTTTACAAAAAGAGTGTTTCAAAACTGCTCTATCAAAAGAAAGGTTCAACTCTGTTAGTTGAGGGCACACATCACAAATAAACTTCTGAGAATGCTTCTGTCTAGTTTTTACGGGAAGATATTTCCTTTTTCACCATACGCCTGAAAGCGCTCCAAATGTCCTCATCCAGATACTACAAAAAGAGTGTTTCCAACCTGCTCTATGAAAGGGAATGCTCAACTCTGTGAATTGAATGCAGACATCACAAAGAAGTTTCTGAGAATGCTGCTGTCTCCTTTTTATATGTAATCCCGTTTCCAACGAAATCCTCAAAGCTAGCCAAATATCCACTTGCAGATTCCACGAAAACAGTGTTTCAAAACTGCTCCTTCAAAACGATGGTTCAATTCTGTTAGTTGAGCAAACACATCACAAGTAAGTTTGCTGAGAATGCTTTCCGTCTAGTTTTTATGGGAAGATATTTCCTTTTTCAACATAGGCCTGAAAGCGCTCCAAATGTCCACTTCCAGATACTACAAAAAGAGTGTTTCAAATCTGCTCTATGAATGGGAATGTTCTACTCTGTGACTTGAATGCAACATCCCAAAGAATTTTCTGAGAATGCTTCTGTCTAGAGTTTATCTGAAGACATACCCGTTTCCAACGAAATCCTCAAAGCTTTCCAAATATCCTCTTGCAGATTCTACAAAAAGTGTGTTTCAAAGCTGCTCTTTGCAAAGAAAGGTTCAACTCTGTCAGTAGAGGGCACACATCACGAACAAGTTTCTGAGAATGCTTCTGTCTAGTTTTTATGGGAAGATATTTCCTTTTTCACCTTAGGCCTGAAAGCAATCCAAATGTTCACTTACAGACACTACAAAAAGAGTGTTTCAAACCTGCTCTATGAATGGGAATGTTCAACACTGGGACTTCAATTGAAACATCCCAAAGCAGTTTCTGAGAATGCTTCTGTCTAGAGTTTACATGAAGACATTCCCGTTTCCAACGAAATCCTCAAAGCTATCCAAATATCCTCTTGCAGATTTTACAAAAAGTGTGTTTCAGAACTGCTCTATCAAAACAAAGGTTCAACACTGTCAGTTGAGGGCACACATCACCAATAAGTTTCTGAGAATGCTTCTGTCTAGTTTTCATGGGAAGATATTTCCTTTTTCACCATAGGCCTGAAAGCGATCCAAATGTCCACATCCAGATACTACAAAAAGAGTGTTTCAAACCTGCTCTATGAAAGGGAATGTTCAACTCTGTGACTTGAATGCAAACATCACAAAGAAGTTTCTGAGAATGCTGCTGTCTGCTTTTTGTATGTAATCCCGTTTCCAACGAAATCCTCCCAGCTAGCCAAATATCCACTTGCAGATTCCGCAAAAAGAGTGTTTCAAAACTGCTCCTTCAAAACGATGGTTTAGTTCTGTTAGTTGAGTACATACATCACAGATAAGTTTCTGAGAATGCTTCTGTCTAGTTTTTATGGGAGGATATTTCCTTTTTCAACACAAGCCTGAATGCGCTCCGAATGGACACTTCCAGATATGACAAAAGGCGTGTTTCAAACCTGCTCTCTCAAAGGGAATGTTCAACTCTGTGACTTCAATGCAAACATCACAAAGAAGTTTCTGAGAATGCTGCTGTCTGCTTTTTACATGTATTCCCGTTTCCAACGAAATCCTCAAAGCTGCCCTAATATCCACTTGCATATTCCACAAAAAGAGTGTTGCAAAACTGCTCTCTCAAAAGAAAGGTTCAACTCTGTTAGCTGAGTAGATCCATCACATAAAAGTTTCTGACATTGCTTCTATCTAGATTTTCTTGGAAGATATTTCCATTTTCACCGTCGTCCTGAAAGCGCTCCAAATGTCCACTTCCAGGGAATGCAGAAAGAGTGTTTCCAACCTGCTCTATAAAAGGGAATGTTCAACACTGGGACTTCAATCGAAACATCCCAACGAAGTTTCTGAGAATGCTTCTGTCTAGAGTTTATATGAAGCCATTCCCGTTTGCAACGAAATCCTCAAAGCTATCCAAATATCCTCTTGCAGATTTTACAAAAAGAGTGTTTCAAAACTGCTCTATCAAAAGAAAGGTTCAACTCTGTTAGTTGAGGGCACACATCACAAATAAACTTCTGAGAATGCTTCTGTCTAGTTTTTACGGGAAGATATTTCCTTTTTCACCATACGCCTGAAAGCGCTCCAAATGTCCTCATCCAGATACTACAAAAAGAGTGTTTCCAACGTGCTCTAGGAAAGGGAATGCTCAACTCTGTGAATTGAATGCAGACATCACAAAGAAGTTTCTGAGAATGCTGCTGTCTCCTTTTTATATGTAATCCCGTTTCCAACGAAATCCTCAAAGCTAGCCAAATATCCACTTGCAGATTCCACGAAAACAGTGTTTCAAAACTGCTCCTTCAAAACGATGGTTCAATCCTGTTAGTTGAGCAAACACATCACAAATAAGTTTCTGAGAATGCTTCCGTCTAGTTTTTATGGGAAGATATATCCTTTTTCAACATAGGCCTGAAAGCGCTCCAAATGTCCACTTCCAGATACTACAAAAAGAGTGTTTCAAATCTGCTCTATGAATGGGAATGTTCTACTCTGTGACTTGAATGCAACATCCCAAAGAAGTTTCTGAGAATTCTTCTGTCTAGAGTTTATCTGAAGACATACCCGTTTCCAACGAAATCCTCAAAGCTATCCAAATATCCTCTTGCAGATTCTACAAAAAGAGTGTTTCAAAGCTGCTCTTTGCAAAGAAAGGTTCAACTCTGTCAGTAGAGGGCACACATCACGAACAAGTTTCTGAGAATGCTTCTGTGCTAGTTTTTATGGGAAGATATTTCCTTTTTCACGTTAGGCCTGAAAGCACGCCAAATGTTCACTTATAGACACTACAAAAAGAGTGTTTCAAACCTGCTCTGTGAAAGGGAATGTTCAACACTGTGACTTCAATTGAAACATCCCAAAGAAGTTTCTGAGAATGCTTCTGTCTAGAGTTTATCTGAAGACATTCCCGTTTCCCAAGAAATCCTCAAAGCTATCCAAATATCCTCTTGCAGATTCTACAAAAAGAGTGTTTCAAAACTGCTCTTTGCAAAGAAAGGTTCAACTCTGTCAGTAGAGGGCACACATCACAAACAAGTTTCTGAGAATGCTTCTGTCTAGTTTTTATGGGAAGATATTTCCTTTTTCACCTTAGGCCTGAAAGCAATCCAAATGTTCACTTCCAGACACTACAAAAAGAGTGTTTCAAACCTGCTCTGTGAAAGGGAGTGTTCAATTCTGTGACTTGAATGCAAACATCACAAAGTAGTTTCTGACAATGCTGCTGTCTGCTTTTTATACGTAATCCCGTTTCCAACGAAATCCTTCAAGCTGGCCTAATACCCACTTGCATATTCCACAAAAAGAGTGTTTCAAAACTGCTCTCTCAAAAGAAAGGTTCAACTCTGTTTGCTGAGTAGATACATCATGAAAAAAGTTCTGACATTGCTTCTATCTAGTTTTTATTGGAAGATATCTCCTTTTTCACCGTAGACCTGAAAGCGCTCCAAATGTCCACTTCCAGATAGTACAAAAAGAGTGTTTCAAACCTGCTCTATGAAAGGGAATGTTCAACACTGGGACTTCAATTGAAACATCCCAAAGCAGTTTCTGAGAATGCTTCTGTCTAGAGTTTACATGAAGACATTCCCGTTTCCAACGAAATCCTCAAAGCTATCCAAATATCCTCTTGCAGATTTTACAAAAAGTGTGTTTCAGAACTGCTCTATCAAAACAAAGGTTCAACACTGTCAGTTGAGGGCACACATCACAAATAAGTTTCTGAGAATGCTTCTGTCTAGTTTTCATGGGAAGATATTTCCTTTTTCACCATAGGCCTGAAAGCGATCCAAATGTCCACATCCAGATACTACAAAAAGAGTGTTTCAAACCTGCTCTATGAAAGGGAATGTTCAACTCTGTGACTTGAATGCAAACATCACAAAGAAGTTTCTGAGAATGCTGCTGTCTGCTTTTTGTATGTAATCCCGTTTCCAACGAAATCCTCCCAGCTAGCCAAATATCCACTTGCAGATTCCGCAAAAAGAGTGTTTCAAAACTGCTCCTTCAAAACGATGGTTTAGTTCTGTTAGTTGAGTACATACATCACAGATAAGTTTCTGAGAATGCTTCTGTCTAGTTTTTATGGGAGGATATTTCCTTTTTCAACACAAGCCTGAATGCGCTCCGAATGGACACTTCCAGATATGACAAAAGGCGTGTTTCAAACCTGCTCTCTCAAAGGGAATGTTCAACTCTGTGACTTCAATGCAAACATCACAAAGAAGTTTCTGAGAATGCTTGCTGTCTGCTTTTTACATGTATTCCCGTTTCCAACGAAATCCTCAAAGCTGCCCTAATATCCACTTGCATATTCCACAAAAAGAGTGTTGCAAAACTGCTCTCTCAAAAGAAAGGTTCAACTCTGTTAGCTGAGTAGATCCATCACATAAAAGTTTCTGACGTTGCTTCTATCTAGATTTTCTTGGAAGATATTTCCATTTTCACCGTCGTCCTGAAAGCGCTCCAAATGTCCACTTCCAGGGAATGCAGAAAGAGTGTTTCCAACCTGCTCTATAAAAGGGAATGTTCAACACTGGGACTTCAATCGAAACATCCCAACGAAGTTTCTGAGAATGCTTCTGTCTAGAGTTTATATGAAGCCATTCCCGTTTGCAACGAAATCCTCAAAGCTATCCAAATATCCTCTTGCAGATTTTACAAAAAGAGTGTTTCAAAACTGCTCTATCAAAAGAAAGGTTCAACTCTGTTAGTTGAGGGCACACATCACAAATAAACTTCTGAGAATGCTTCTGTCTAGTTTTTACGGGAAGATATTTCCTTTTTCACCATACGCCTGAAAGCGCTCCAAATGTCCTCATCCAGATACTACAAAAAGGGTGTTTCCAACCTGCTCTATGAAAGGGAATGCTCAACTCTGTGACTTGAATGCAGACATCACAAAGAAGTTTCTGAGAATGCTGCTGTCTCCTTTTTATATGTAATCCCGTTTCCAACGAAATCCTCAAAGCTAGCCAAATATCCACTTGCAGATTCCACGAAAACAGTGTTTCAAAACTGCTCCTTCAAAACGATGGTTCAATCCTGTTAGTTGAGCAAACACATCACAAATAAGTTTCTGAGAATGCTTCCGTCTAGTTTTTATGGGAAGATATTTCCTTTTTCAACATAGGCCTGAAAGCGCTCCAAATGTCCACTTCCAGATACTACAAAAAGAGTGTTTCAAATCTGCTCTATGAATGGGAATGTTCTACTCTGTGACTTGAATGCAACATCCCAAAGAAGTTTCTGAGAATGCTTCTGTCTAGAGTTTATCTGAAGACATACCCGTTTCCAACGAAATCCTCAAAGCTATCCAAATATCCTCTTGCAGATTCTACAAAAAGAGTGTTTCAAAGCTGCTCTTTGCAAAGAAAGGTTCAACTCTGTCAGTAGAGGGCACACATCATGAACAAGTTTCTGAGAATGCTTCTGTCTAGTTTTTATGGGAAGATATTTCCTTTTTCACGTTAGGCCTGAAAGCACGCCAAATGTTCACTTATAGACACTACAAAAAGAGTGTTTCAAACCTACTCTGTGAAAGGGAATGTTCAACACTGTGACTTCAATTGAAACATCCCAAAGAAGTTTCTGAGAATGCTTCTGTCTAGAGTTTATCTGAAGACATTCCCGTTTCCCAAGAAATCCTCAAAGCTATCCAAATATCCTCTTGCAGATTCTACAAAAAGAGTGTTTCAAAACTGCTCTTTGCAAAGAAAGGTTCAACTCTGTCAGTAGAGGGCACACATCACAAACAAGTTTCTGAGAATGCTTCTGTCTAGTTTTTATGGGCAAGATATTTCCTTTTTCACCTTAGGCCTGAAAGCAATCCATATGTTCACTTACAGACACTACAAAAAGAGTGTTTCAAACCTGCTCTGTGAAAGGGAGTGTTCAATTCTGTGACTTGAATGCAAACATCACAAAGTAGTTTCTGACAATGCTGCTGTCTGCTTTTTATACGTATTCCCGTTTCCAACGAAATCCTCCAAGCTGGCCTAATACCCACTTGCATATTCCACAAAAAGAGTGTTTCAAAACTGCTCTCTCAAAAGAAAGGTTCAACTCTGTGTGCTGAGTAGATACATCATGAAAAAAGTTCTGACATTGCTTCTATCTAGTTTTTATTGGAAGATATCTCCTTTTTCACCGTAGACCTGAAAGCGCTCCAAATGTCCACTTCCAGATAGTACAAAAAGAGTGTTTCAAACCTGCTCTATGAATGGGAATGTTCAACACTGGGACTTCAATTGAAACATCCCAAAGCAGTTTCTGAGAATGCTTCTGTGTAGAGTTTACATGAAGACATTCCCGTTTCCAACGAAATCCTCAAAGCTATCCAAATATCCTCTTGCAGATTTTACAAAAAGTGTGTTTCAGAACTGCTCTATCAAAACAAAGGTTCAACACTGTCAGTTGAGGGCACACATCACAAATAAGTTTCTGAGAATGCTTCTGTCTAGTTTTCATGGGAAGATATTTCCTTTTTCACCATAGGCCTGAAAGCGATCCAAATGTCCACATCCAGATACTACAAAAAGAGTGTTTCAAACCTGCTCTATGAAAGGGAATGTTCAACTCTGTGACTTGAATGCAAACATCACAAAGAAGTTTCTGAGAATGCTGCTGTCTGCTTTTTGTATGTAATCCCGTTTCCAACGAAATCCTCCCAGCTAGCCAAATATCCACTTGCAGATTCCGCAAAAAGAGTGTTTCAAAACTGCTCCTTCAAAACGATGGTTTAGTTCTGTTAGTTGAGTACATACATCACAGACAAGTTTCTGAGAATGCTTCTGTCTAGTTTTTATGGGAGGATATTTCCTTTTTCAACACAAGCCTGAATGCGCTCCGAATGGACACTTCCAGATATGACAAAAGGCGTGTTTCAAACCTGCTCTCTCAAAGGGAATGTTCAACTCTGTGACTTCAATGCAAACATCACAAAGAAGTTTCTGAGAATGCTGCTGTCTGCTTTTTACATGTATTCCCGTTTCCAACGAAATCCTCAAAGCTGCCCTAATATCCACTTGCATATTCCACAAAAAGAGTGTTGCAAAACTGCTCTCTCAAAAGAAAGCTTCAACTCTGTTAGCTGAGTAGATCCATCACAGAAAAGTTTCTGACATTGCTTCTATCTAGATTTTCTTGGAAGATATTTCCATTTTCACCGTCGTCCTGAAAGCGCTCCAAATGTCCACTTCCAGGGAATGCAGAAAGAGTGTTTCCAACCTGCTCTATAAAAGGGAATGTTCAACACTGGGACTTCAATCGAAACATCCCAACGAAGTTTCTGAGAATGCTTCTGTCTAGAGTTTATATGAAGCCATTCCCGTTTGCAACGAAATCCTCAAAGCTATCCAAATATCCTCTTGCAGATTTTACAAAAAGAGTGTTTCAAAACTGCTCTATCAAAAGAAAGGTTCAACTCGGTTAGTTGAGGGCAAACATCACAAATAAATTTCTGAGAATGCTTCTGTCTAGTTTTCATGGGAAGATATTTCCTTTTTCACCATACGCCAGAAAGCGATCCAAATGTCCACATCCAGATACTACAAAAAGAGTGTTTCCAACCTGCTCTATGAAAGGGAATGCTCAACTCTGTGACTTGAATGCAAACATCACAAAGAAGTTTCTGAGAATGCTGCTGTCTGCTTTTTGTATGTAATCCCGTTTCCAACGAAATCCTCCCAGCTAGCCAAATATCCACTTGCAGATTCCGCAAAAAGAGTGTTTCAAAACTGCTCCTTCAAAACGATGGTTTAGTTCTGTTAGTTGAGTACATACATCACAGATAAGTTTCTGAGAATGCTTCTGTCTAGTTTTTATGGGAGGATATTTCCTTTTTCAACACAAGCCTGAATGCGCTCCGAATGGACACTTCCAGATATGACAAAAGGCGTGTTTCAAACCTGCTCTCTCAAAGGGAATGTTCAACTCTGTGACTTCAATGCAAACATCACAAAGAAGTTTCTGAGAATGCTGCTGTCTGCTTTTTACATGTATTCCCGTTTCCAACGAAATCCTCAAAGCTGCCCTAATATCCACTTGCATATTCCACAAAAAGAGTGTTGCAAAACTGCTCTCTCAAAAGAAAGGTTCAACTCTGTTAGCTGAGTAGATCCATCACATAAAAGTTTCTGACATTGCTTCTATCTAGATTTTCTTGGAAGATATTTCCATTTTCACCGTCGTCCTGAAAGCGCTCCAAATGTCCACTTCCAGGGAATGCAGAAAGAGTGTTTCCAACCTGCTCTATAAAAGGGAATGTTCAACACTGGGACTTCAATCGAAACATCCCAACGAAGTTTCTGAGAATGCTTCTGTCTAGAGTTTATATGAAGCCATTCCCGTTTGCAACGAAATCCTCAAAGCTATCCAAATATCCTCTTGCAGATTTTACAAAATGAGTGTTTCAAAACTGCTCTATCAAAAGAAAGTTTCAACTCTGTTAGTTGAGGGCACACATCACAAATAAACTTCTGAGAATGCTTCTGTCTAGTTTTTACGGGAAGATATTTCCTTTTTCACCATACGCCTGAAAGCGCTCCAAATGTCCTCATCCAGATACTACAAAAAGAGTGTTTCCAACCTGCTCTATGAAAGGGAATGCTCAACTCTGTGAATTGAATGCAGACATCACAAAGAAGTTTCTGAGAATGCTGCTGTCTCCTTTGTATATGTAATCCCGTTTCCAACGAAATCCTCAAAGCTAGCCAAATATCCACTTGCAGATTCCACGAAAACAGTGTTTCAAAACTGCTCCTTCAAAACGATGGTTCAATTCTGTTAGTTGAGCAAACACATCACAAGTAAGTTTCTGAGAATGCTTTCCGTCTAGTTTTTATGGGAAGATATTTCCTTTTTCAACATAGGCCTGAAAGAGCTCCAAATGTCCACTTCCAGATACAACAAAAAGAGTGTTTCAAATCTGCTCTATGAATGGGAATGTTCTACTCTGTGACTTGAATGCAACATCCCAAAGAAGTTTCTCAGAATGCTTCTGTCTAGAGTTTATCTGAAGACATACCCGTTTCCAACGAAATCCTCAAACACTATCCAAATATCCTCTTGCAGATTCTACAAAAAGTGTGTTTCAAAGCTGCTCTTTGCAAAGAAAGGTTCAACTCTGTCAGTAGAGGGCACACATCACGAACAAGTTTCTGAGAATGCTTCTGTCTAGTTTTTATGGGAAGATATTTCCTTTTTCACGTTAGGCCTGAAAGCACGCCAAATGTTCACTTATAGACACTACAAAAAGAGTGTTTCAAACCTGCTCTGTGAAAGGGAATGTTCAACACTGTGACTTCAATTGAAACATCCCAAAGAAGTTTCTGAGAATGCTTCTGTCTAGAGTTTATCTGAAGACATTCCCGTTTCCCAAGAAATCTTCAAAGCTATCCAAATATCCTCTTGCAGATTCTACAAAAAGAGTGTTTCAAAACTGCTCTTTGCAAAGAAAGGTTCAACTCTGTCAGTAGAGGGCACACATCACAAACAAGTTTCTGAGAATGCTTTCTGTCTAGTTTTTATGGGAAGATATTTCCTTTTTCACCTTAGGCCTGAAAGCAATCCATATGTTCACTTACAGACACTACAAAAAGAGTGTTTCAAACCTGCTCTGTGAAAGGGAGTGTTCAATTCTGTGACTTGAATGCAAACATCACAAAGTAGTTTCTGACAATGCTGCTGTCTGCTTTTTATACGTATTCCCGTTTCCAACGAAATCCTCCAAGCTGGCCTAATACCCACTTGCATATTCCACAAAAAGAGTGTTTCAAAACTGCTCTCTCAAAAGAAAGGTTCAACTCTGTTAGCTGAGTAGATACATCATGAAAAAAGTTCTGACATTGCTTCTATCTAGTTTTTATTGGAAGATATCTCCTTTTTCACCGTAGACCTGAAAGCGCTCCAAATGTCCACTTCCAGATAGTACAAAAAGAGTGTTTCAAACCTGCTCTATGAATGGGAATGTTCAACACTGGGACTTCAATTGAAACATCCCAAAGCAGTTTCTGAGAATGCTTCTGTGTAGAGTTTACATGAAGACATTCCCGTTTCCAACGAAATCCTCAAAGCTATCCAAATATCCTCTTGCAGATTTTACAAAAAGTGTGTTTCAGAACTGCTCTATCAAAACAAAGGTTCAACACTGTCAGTTGAGGGCACACATCACAAATAAGTTTCTGAGAATGCTTCTGTCTAGTTTTCATGGGAAGATATTTCCTTTTTCACCATAGGCCTGAAAGCGATCCAAATGTCCACATCCAGATACTACAAAAAGAGTGTTTCAAACCTGCTCTATGAAAGGGAATGTTCAACTCTGTGACTTGAATGCAAACATCACAAAGAAGTTTCTGAGAATGCTGCTGTCTGCTTTTTGTATGTAATCCCGTTTCCAACGAAATCCTCCCAGCTAGCCAAATATCCACTTGCAGATTCCGCAAAAAGAGTGTTTCAAAACTGCTCCTTCAAAACGATGGTTTAGTTCTGTTAGTTGAGTACATACATCACAGATAAGTTTCTGAGAATGCTTCTGTCTAGTTTTTATGGGAGGATATTTCCTTTTTCAACACAAGCCTGAATGCGCTCCGAATGGACACTTCCAGATATGACAAAAGGCGTGTTTCAAACCTGCTCTCTCAAAGGGAATGTTCAACTCTGTGACTTCAATGCAAACATCACAAAGAAGTTTCTGAGAATGCTGCTGTCTGCTTTTTACATGTATTCCCGTTTCCAACGAAATCCTCAAAGCTGCCCTAATATCCACTTGCATATTCCACAAAAAGAGTGTTGCAAAACTGCTCTCTCAAAAGAAAGGTTCAACTCTGTTAGCTGAGTAGATCCATCACATAAAAGTTTCTGACATTGCTTCTATCTAGATTTTCTTGGAAGATATTTCCATTTTCACCGTCGTCCTGAAAGCGCTCCAAATGTCCACTTCCAGGGAATGCAGAAAGAGTGTTTCCAACCTGCTCTATAAAAGGGAATGTTCAACACTGGGACTTCAATCGAAACATCCCAACGAAGTTTCTGAGAATGCTTCTGTCTAGAGTTTATATGAAGCCATTCCCGTTTGCAACGAAATCCTCAAAGCTATCCAAATATCCTCTTGCAGATTTTACAAAAAGAGTGTTTCAAAACTGCTCTATCAAAAGAAAGGTTCAACTCTGTTAGTTGAGGGCACACATCACAAATAAACTTCTGAGAATGCTTCTGTCTAGTTTTTACGGGAAGATATTTCCTTTTTCACCATACGCCTGAAAGCGCTCCAAATGTCCTCATCCAGATACTACAAAAAGAGTGTTTCCAACCTTCTCTATGAAAGGGAATGCTCAACTCTGTGACTTGAATGCAGACATCACAAAGAAGTTTCTGAGAATGCTGCTGTCTCCTTTTTATATGTAATCCCGTTTCCAACGAAATCCTCAAAGCTAGCCAAATATCCACTTGCAGATTCCACGAAAACAGTGTTTCAAAACTGCTCCTTCAAAACGATGGTTCAATCCTGTTAGTTGAGCAAACACATCACAAATAAGTTTCTGAGAATGCTTCCGTCTAGTTTTTATGGGAAGATATTTCCTTTTTCAACATAGGCCTGAAAGCGCTCCAAATGTCCACTTCCAGATACTACAAAAAGAGTGTTTCAAATCTGCTCTATGAATGGGAATGTTCTACTCTGTGACTTGAATGCAACATCCCAAAGAAGTTTCTGAGAATGCTTCTGTCTAGAGTTTATCTGAAGACATACCCGTTTCCAACGAAATCCTCCAAGCTATCCAAATATCCTCTTGCAGATTCTACAAAAAGTGTGTTTCAAAGCTGCTCTTTGCAAAGAAAGGTTCAACTCTGTCAGTAGAGGGCACACATCACGAACAAGTTTCTGAGAATGCTTCTGTCTGGTTTTTATGGGAAGATATTTCCTTTTTCACGTTACGCCTGAAAGCACGCCAAATGTTCACTTATAGACACTACAAAAAGAGTGTTTCAAACCTGCTCTGTGAAAGGGAATGTTCAACACTGTGACTTCAATTGAAACATCCCAAAGAAGTTTCTGAGAATGCTTCTGTCTAGAGTTTATCTGAAGACATACCCGTTTCCAACGAAATCCTCCAAGCTATCCAAATATCCTCTTGCAGATTCTACAAAAAGAGTGTTTCAAAGCTGCTCTTTGCAAAGAAAGGTTCAACTCTGTCAGTAGAGGGCACACATCATGAACAAGTTTCTGAGAATGCTTCTGTCTCGTTTTTATGGGAAGATATTTCCTTTTTCACGTTACGCCTGAAAGCACGCCAAATGTTCACTTATAGACACTACAAAAAGAGTGTTTCAAACCTGCTCTGTGAAAGGGAATGTTCAACACTGTGACTTCAATTGAAATATCCCAAAGAAGTTTCTGAGAATGCTTCTGTCTAGAGTTTATCTGAAGACATTCCCGTTTCCCAAGAAATCCTCAAAGCTATCCAAATATCCTCTTGCAGATTCTACAAAAAGAGTGTTTCAAAACTGCTCTTTGCAAAGAAAGGTTCAACTCTGTCAGTAGAGGGCACACATCACAAACAAGTTTCTGAGAATGCTTCTGTCTAGTTTTTATGGGAAGATATTTCCTTTTTCACCTTAGGCCTGAAAGCAATCCATATGTTCACTTACAGACACTACAAAAAGAGTGTTTCAAACCTGCTCTGTGAAAGGGAGTGTTCAATTCTGTGACTTGAATGCAAACATCACAAAGTAGTTTCTGACAATGCTGCTGTCTGCTTTTTATACGTATTCCCGTTTCCAACGAAATCCTCCAAGCTGGCCTAATACCCACTTGCATATTCCACAAAAATAGTGTTTCAAAACTGCTCCCTCAAAAGAAAGGTTCAACTCTGTTTGCTGAGTAGATACATCATGAAAAAAGTTCTGACATTGCTTCTATCTAGTTTTTATTGGAAGATATCTCCTTTTTCACCGTAGACCTGAAAGCGCTCCAAATGTCCACTTCCAGATAGTACAAAAAGAGTGTTTCAAACCTGCTCTATGAATGGGAATGTTCAACACTGGGACTTCAATTGAAACATCCCAAAGCAGTTTCTGAGAATGCTTCTGTCTAGAGTTTACATGAAGACATTCCCGTTTCCAACGAAATCCTCAAAGCTATCCAAATATCCTCTTGCAGATTTTACAAAAAGTGTGTTTCAGAACTGCTCTATCAAAACAAAGGTTCAACACTGTCAGTTGAGGGCACACATCACAAATAAGTTTCTGAGAATGCTTCTGTCTAGTTTTCATGGGAAGATATTTCCTTTTTCACCATAGGCCTGAAAGCGATCCAAATGTCCACATCCAGATACTACAAAAAGAGTGTTTCAAACCTGCTCTATGAAAGGGAATGTTCAACTCTGTGACTTGAATGCAAACATCACAAAGAAGTTTCTGAGAATGCTGCTGTCTGCTTTTTGTATGTAATCCCGTTTCCAACGAAATCCTCCCAGCTAGCCAAATATCCACTTGCAGATTCCGCAAAAAGAGTGTTTCAAAACTGCTCTTTCAAAACGATGGTTTAGTTCTGTTAGTTGAGTACATACATCACAGATAAGTTTCTGAGAATGCTTCTGTCTAGTTTTTATGGGAGGATATTTCCTTTTTCAACACAAGCCTGAATGCGCTCCGAATGGACACTTCCAGATATGACAAAAGGCGTGTTTCAAACCTGCTCTCTCAAAGGGAATGTTCAACTCTGTGACTTCAATGCAAACATCACAAAGAAGTTTCTGAGAATGCTGCTGTCTGCTTTTTACATGTATTCCCGTTTCCAACGAAATCCTCAAAGCTGCCCTAATATCCACTTGCATATTCCACAAAAAGAGTGTTGCAAAACTGCTCTCTCAAAAGAAAGGTTCAACTCTGTTAGCTGAGTAGATCCATCACATAAAAGTTTCTGACATTGCTTCTATCTAGATTTTCTTGGAAGATATTTCCATTTTCACCGTCGTCCTGAAAGCGCTCCAAATGTCCACTTCCAGGGAATGCAGAAAGAGTGTTTCCAACCTGCTCTATAAAAGGGAATGTTCAACACTGGGACTTCAATCGAAACATCCCAACGAAGTTTCTGAGAATGCTTCTGTCTAGAGTTTATATGAAGCCATTCCCGTTTGCAACGAAATCCTCAAAGCTATCCAAATATCCTCTTGCAGATTTTACAAAAAGAGTGTTTCAAAACTGCTCTATCAAAAGAAAGGTTCAACTCTGTTAGTTGAGGGCACACATCACAAATAAACTTCTGAGAATGCTTCTGTCTAGTTTTTACGGGAAGATATTTCCTTTTTCACCATAGGCCTGAAAGCGCTCCAAATGTCCTCATCCAGATACTACAAAAAGAGTGTTTCCAACCTGCTCTATGAAAGGGAATGCTCAACTCTGTGAATTGAATGCAGACATCACAAAGAAGTTTCTGAGAATGCTGCTGTCTCCTTTTTATATGTAATCCCGTTTCCAACGAAATCCTCAAAGCTAGCCAAATATCCACTTGCAGATTCCACGAAAACAGTGTTTCAAAACTGCTCCTTCAAAACGATGGTTCAATCCTGTTAGTTGAGCAAACACATCACAAATAAGTTTCTGAGAATGCTTCCGTCTAGTTTTTATGGGAAGATATTTCCTTTTTCAACATAGGCCTGAAAGCGCTCCAAATGTCCACTTCCAGATACTACAAAAAGAGTGTTTCAAATCTGCTCTATGAATGGGAATGTTCTACTCTGTGACTTGAATGCAACATCCCAAAGAAGTTTCTGAGAATGCTTCTGTCTAGAGTTTATCTGAAGACATACCCGTTTCCAACGAAATCCTCAAAGCTATCCAAATATCCTCTTGCAGATTCTACAAAAAGTGTGTTTCAAAGCTGCTCTTTGCAAAGAAAGGTTCAACTCTGTCAGTAGAGGGGACACATCACGAACAAGTTTCTGAGAATGCTTCTGTCTAGTTTTTATGGGAAGATATTTCCTTTTTCACGTTAGGCCTGAAAGCACGCCAAATGTTCACTTATAGACACTACAAAAAGAGTGTTTCAAACCTGCTCTGTGAAAGGGAATGTTCAACACTGTGACTTCAATTGAAACATCCCAAAGAAGTTTCTGAGAATGCTTCTGTCTAGAGTTTATCTGAAGACATTCCCGTTTCCCAAGAAATCCTCAAAGCTATCCAAATATCCTCTTGCAGATTCTACAAAAAGAGTGTTTCAAAACTGCTCTTTGCAAAGAAAGGTTCAACTCTGTCAGTAGAGGGCACACATCAAGAACAAGTTTCTGAGAATGCTTCTGTCTAGTTTTTATGGGAAGATATTTCCTTTTTCACGTTACGCCTGAAAGCACGCCAAATGTTCACTTACAGACACTACAAAAAGAGAGTTTCAAACCTGCTCTGTGAAAGGGAGTGTTCAATTCTGTGACTTGAATGCAAACATCACAAAGTAGTTTCTGACAATGCTGCTGTCTGCTTTTTATACGTATTCCCGTTTCCAACGAAATCCTCCAAGCTGGCCTAATACCCACTTGCATATTCCACAAAAGGAGTGTTTCAAAACTGCTCTCTCAAAAGAAAGGTTCAACTCTGTTTGCTGAGTAGATACATCATGAAAAAAGTTCTGACATTGCTTCTATCTAGTTTTTATTGGAAGATATCTCCTTTTTCACCGTAGACCTGAAAGCGCTCCAAATGTCCACTTCCAGATAGTACAAAAAGAGTGTTTCAAACCTGCTCTATGAAAGGGAATGTTCAACACTGGGACTTCAATTGAAACATCCCAAAGCAGTTTCTGAGAATGCTTCTGTGTAGAGTTTACATGAAGACATTCCCGTTTCCAACGAAATCCTCAAAGCTATCCAAATATCCTCTTGCAGATTTTACAAAAAGTGTGTTTCAGAACTGCTCTATCAAAACAAAGGTTCAACACTGTCAGTTGAGGGCACACATCACAAATAAGTTTCTGAGAATGCTTCTGTCTAGTTTTCATGGGAAGATATTTCCTTTTTCACCATAGGCCTGAAAGCGATCCAAATGTCCACATCCAGATACTACAAAAAGAGTGTTTCAAACCTGCTCTATGAAAGGGAATGTTCAACTCTGTGACTTGAATGCAAACATCACAAAGAAGTTTCTGAGAATGCTGCTGTCTGCTTTTTGTATGTAATGCCGTTTCCAACGAAATCCTCCCAGCTAGCCAAATATCCACTTGCAGATTCCGCAAAATGAGTGTTTCGAAACTGCTCCTTCAAAACGATGGTTTAGTTCTGTTAGTTGAGTACATACATCACAGATAAGTTTCTGAGAATGCTTCTGTCTAGTTTTTATGGGAGGATATTTCCTTTTTCAACACAACCCTGAATGCGCTCCGAATGGACACTTCCAGATATGACAAAAGGCGTGTTTCAAACCTGCTCTCTCAAAGGGAATGTTCAACTCTGTGACTTCAATGCAAACATCACAAAGAAGTTTCTGAGAATGCTTGCTGTCTGCTTTTTACATGTATTCCCGTTTCCAACGAAATCCTCAAAGCTGCCCTAATATCCACTTGCATATTCCACAAAAAGAGTGTTGCAAAACTGCTCTCTCAAAAGAAAGGTTCAACTCTGTTAGCTGAGTAGATCCATCACATAAAAGTTTCTGACGTTGCTTCTATCTAGATTTTCTTGGAAGATATTTCCATTTTCACCGTCGTCCTGAAAGCGCTCCAAATGTCCACTTCCAGGGAATGCAGAAAGAGTGTTTCCAACCTGCTCTATAAAAGGGAATGTTCAACACTGGGACTTCAATCGAAACATCCCAACGAAGTTTCTGAGAATGCTTCTGTCTAGAGTTTATATGAAGCCATTCCCGTTTGCAACGAAATCCTCAAAGCTATCCAAATATCCTCCTGCAGATTTTACAAAAAGAGTGTTTCAAAACTGCTCTATCAAAAGAAAGGTTCAACTCTGTTAGTTGAGGGCACACATCACAAATAAACTTCTGAGAATGCTTCTGTCTAGTTTTTACGGGAAGATATTTCCTTTTTCACCATACGCCTGAAAGCGCTCCAAATGTCCTCATCCAGATACTACAAAAAGAGTGTTTCCAACCTGCTCTATGAAAGGGAATGCTCAACTCTGTGACTTGAATGCAGACATCACAAAGAAGTTTCTGAGAATGCTGCTGTCTCCTTTTTATATGTAATCCCGTTTCCAACGAAATCCTCAAAGCTAGCCAAATATCCACTTGCAGATTCCACGAAAACAGTGTTTCAAAACTGCTCCTTCAAAACGATGGTTCAATCCTGTTAGTTGAGCAAACACATCACGAGTAAGTTTCTGAGAATGCTTCCGTCTAGTTTTTATGGGAAGATATTTCCTTTTTCAACATAGGCCTGAAAGCGCTCCAAATGTCCACTTCCAGATACTACAAAAAGAGTGTTTCAAATCTGCTCTATGAATGGGAATGTTCTACTCTGTGACTTGAATGCAACATCCCAAAGAAGTTTCTGAGAATGCTTCTGTCTAGAGTTTATCTGAAGACATACCCGTTTCCAACGAAATCCTCAAAGCTATCCAAATATCCTCTTGCAGATTCTACAAAAAGAGTGTTTCAAAGCTGCTCTTTGCAAAGAAAGGTTCAACTCTGTCAGTAGAGGGGACACATCAAGAACAAGTTTCTGAGAATGCTTCTGTCTGGTTTTTATGGGAAGATATTTCCTTTTTCACGTTACGCCTGAAAGCACGCCAAATGTTCACTTATAGACACTACAAAAAGAGTGTTTCAAACCTGCTCTGTGAAAGGGAATGTTCAACACTGTGACTTCAATTGAAACATCCCAAAGAAGTTTCTGAGAATGCTTCTGTCTAGAGTTTATCTGAAGACATTCCCGTTTCCCAAGAAATCCTCAAAGCTATCCAAATATCCTCTTGCAGATTCTACAAAAAGAGTGTTTCAAAACTGCCCTTTGCAAAGAAAGGTTCAACTCTGTCAGTAGAGGGCACACATCACAAACAAGCTTCTGAGAATGCTTCTGTCTAGTTTTTATGGGAAGATATTTCCTTTTTCACCTTAGGCCTGAAAGCAATCCAAATGTACACTTACAGACACTACAAAAAGAGTGTTTCAAACCTGCTCTGTGAAAGGGAGTGTTCAATTCTGTGACTTGAATGCAAACATCACAAAGTAGTTTCTGACAATGCTGCTGTCTGCTTTTTATACGTATTCCCGTTTCCAACGAAATCCTCCAAGCTGGCCTAATACCCACTTGCATATTCCACAAAAAGAGTGTTTCAAAACTGCTCTCTCAAAAGAAAGGTTCAACTCTGTTTGCTGAGTAGATACATCATGAAAAAAGTTCTGACATTGCTTCTATCTAGTTTTTATTGGAAGATATCTCCTTTTTCACCGTAGACCTGAAAGCGCTCCAAATGTCCACTTCCAGATAGTACAAAAAGAGTGTTTCAAACCTGCTCTATGAAAGGGAATGTTCAACACTGGGACTTCAATTGAAACATCCCAAAGCAGTTTCTGAGAATGCTTCTGTCTAGAGTTTACATGAAGACATTCCCGTTTCCAACGAAATCCTCAAAGCTATCCAAATATCCTCTTGCAGATTTTACAAAAAGTGTGTTTCAGAACTGCTCTATCAAAACAAAGGTTCAACACTGTCAGTTGAGGGCACACATCACAAATAAGTTTCTGAGAATGCTTCTGTCTAGTTTTCATGGGAAGATATTTCCTTTTTCACCATAGGCCTGAAAGCGATCCAAATGTCCACATCCAGATACTACAAAAAGAGTGTTTCAAACCTGCTCTATGAAAGGGAATGTTCAACTCTGTGACTTGAATGCAAACATCACAAAGAAGTTTCTGAGAATGCTGCTGTCTGCTTTTTGTATGTAATCCCGTTTCCAACGAAATCCTCCCAGCTAGCCAAATATCCACTTGCAGATTCCGCAAAAAGAGTGTTTCAAAACTGCTCCTTCAAAACGATGGTTTAGTTCTGTTAGTTGAGTACATACATCACAGATAAGTTTCTGAGAATGCTTCTGTCTAGTTTTTATGGGAGGATATTTCCTTTTTCAACACAAGCCTGAATGCGCTCCGAATGGACACTTCCAGATATGACAAAAGGCGTGTTTCAAACCTGCTCTCTCAAAGGGAATGTTCAACTCTGTGACTTCAATGCAAACATCACAAAGAAGTTTCTGAGAATGCTGCTGTCTGCTTTTTACATGTATTCCCGTTTCCAACGAAATCCTCAAAGCTGCCCTAATATCCACTTGCATATTCCACAAAAAGAGTGTTGCAAAACTGCTCTCTCAAAAGAAAGGTTCAACTCTGTTAGCTGAGTAGATCCATCACATAAAAGTTTCTGACATTGCTTCTATCTAGATTTTCTTGGAAGATATTTCCATTTTCACCGTCGTCCTGAAAGCGCTCCAAATGTCCACTTCCAGGGAATGCAGAAAGAGTGTTTCCAACCTGCTCTATAAAAGGGAATGTTCAACACTGGGACTTCAATCGAAACATCCCAACGAAGTTTCTGAGAATGCTTCTGTCTAGAGTTTATATGAAGCCATTCCCGTTTGCAACGAAATCCTCAAAGCTATCCAAATATCCTCTTGCAGATTTTACAAAAAGAGTGTTTCAAAACTGCTCTATCAAAAGAAAGGTTCAACTCTGTTAGTTGAGGGCACACATCACAAATAAATTTCTGAGAATCTTCTGTCTAGTTTTTACGGGAAGATATTTCCTTTTTCACCATACGCCTGAAAGCGCTCCAAATGTCCTCATCCAGATACTACAAAAAGAGTGTTTCCAACCTGCTCTATGAAAGGGAATGCTCAACTCTGTGACTTGAATGCAGACATCACAAAGAAGTTTCTGAGAATGCTGCTGTCTCCTTTTTATATGTAATCCCGTTTCCAACGAAATCCTCAAAGCTAGCCAAATATCCACTTGCAGATTCCACGAAAACAGTGTTTCGAAACTGCTCCTTCAAAACGATGGTTCAATTCTGTTAGTTGAGCAAACACATCACAAGTAAGTTTCTGAGAATGCTTCCGTCTAGTTTTTATGGGAAGATATTTCCTTTTTCAACATAGGCCTGAAAGCGCTCCAAATGTCCACTTCCAGATACTACAAAAAGAGTGTTTCAAATCTGCTCTATGAATGGGAATGTTCTACTCTGTGACTTGAATGCAACATCCCAAAGAAGTTTCTGAGAATGCTTCTGTCTAGAGTTTATCTGAAGACATACCCGTTTCCAACGAAATCCTCAAAGCTATCCAAATATCCTCTTGCAGATTCTACAAAAAGTGTGTTTCAAAGCTGCTCTTTGCAAAGAAAGGTTCAACTCTGTCAGTAGAGGGCACACATCATGAACAAGTTTCTGAGAATGCTTCTGTCTAGTTTTTATGGGAAGATATTTCCTTTTTCACGTTAGGCCTGAAAGCACGCCAAATGTTCACTTATAGACACTACAAAAAGAGTGTTTCAAACCTGCTCTGTGAAAGGGAATGTTCAACACTGTGACTTCAATTGAAACATCCCAAAGAACTTTCTGAGAATGCTTCTGTCTAGAGTTTATCTGAAGACATACCCGTTTCCAACGAAATCCTCCAAGCTATCCACATATCCTCTTGCAGATTCTACAAAAAGAGTGTTTCAAAGCTGCTCTTTGCAAAGAAAGGTTCAACTCTGTCAGTAGAGGGCACACATCACGAACAAGTTTCTGAGAATGCTTCTGTCTAGTTTTTATGGGAAGATATTTCCTTTTTCACGTTAGGCCTGAAAGCACGCCAAATGTTCAATTATAGACACTACAAAAAGAGTGTTTCAAACCTGCTCTGTGAAAGGGAATGTTCAACACTGTGACTTCAATTGAAACATCCCAAAGAAGTTTCTGAGAATGCTTCTGTCTAGAGTTTATCTGAAGACATTCCCGTTTCCCAAGAAATCCTCAAAGCTATCCAAATATCCTCTTGCAGATTCTACAAAAAGTGTTTCAAAACTGCTCTTTGCAAAGAAAGGTTCAACTCTGTCAGTAGAGGGCACACATCACAAACAAGTTTCTGAGAATGCTTCTGTCTAGTTTTTATGGGAAGATATTTCCTTTTTCACCTTAGGCCTGAAAGCAATCCAAATGTTCACTTACAGACACTACAAAAAGAGTGTTTCAAACCTGCTCTGTGAAAGGGAGTGTTCAATTCTGTGACTTGAATGCAAACATCACAAAGTAGTTTCTGACAATGCTGCTGTCTGCTTTTTATACGTATTCCCGTTTCCAACGAAATCCTCCAAGCTGGCCTAATACCCACTTGCATATTCCACAAAAAGAGTGTTTCAAAACTGCTCTCTCAAAAGAAAGGTTCAACTCTGTTTGCTGAGTAGATACATCATGAAAAAAGTTCTGACATTGCTTCTATCTAGTTTTTATTGGAAGATATATCCTTTTTCACCGTAGACCTGAAAGCGCTCCAAATGTCCACTTCCAGATAGTACAAAAAGAGTGTTTCAAACCTGCTCTATTAAAGGGAATGTTCAACACTGGGACTTCAATTGAAACATCCCAAAGCAGTTTCTGAGAATGCTTCTGTGTAGAGTTTACATGAAGACATTCCCGTTTCCAACGAAATCCTCAAAGCTATCCAAATATCCTCTTGCAGATTTTACAAAAAGTGTGTTTCAGAACTGCTCTATCAAAACAAAGGTTCAACACTGTCAGTTGAGGGCACATATCACAAATAAGTTTCTGAGAATGCTGCTGTCTGCTTTTTGTATGTAATCCCGTTTCCAACGAAATCCTCCCAGCTAGCCAAATATCCACTTGCAGATTCCGCAAAAAGAGTGTTTCTAAACTGCCCTTCAAAACGATGGTTTAGTTCTGTTAGTTGAGTACATACATCACAGATAAGTTTCTGAGAATGCTTCTGTCTAGTTTTTATGGGAGGATATTTCCTTTTTCAACACAAGCCTGAATGCGCTCCGAATGGACACTTCCAGATATGACAAAAGGCGTGTTTCAAACCTGCTCTCTCAAAGGGGATGTTCAACTCTGTGACTTCAATGCAAACATCACAAAGAAGTTTCTGAGAATGCTGCTGTCTGCTTTTTACATGTATTCCCGTTTCCAACGAAATCCTCAAAGCTGCCCTAATATCCACTTGCATATTCCCCAAAAAGAGTGTTGCAAAACTGCTCTCTCAAAAGAAAGGTTCAACTCTGTTAGCTGAGTAGATCCATCACATAAAAGTTTCTGACGTTGCTTCTATCTAGATTTTCTTGGAAGATATTTCCATTTTCACCGTTGTCCTGAAAGCGCTCCAAATGTCCACTTCCAGGGAATGCAGAAAGAGTGTTTCCAACCTGCTCTATAAAAGGGAATGTTCAACACTGGGACTTCAATCGAAACATCCCAACGAAGTTTCTGAGAATGCTTCTGTCTAGAGTTTATATGAAGCCATTCCCGTTTGCAACGAAATCCTCAAAGCTATCCAAATATCCTCTTGCAGATTTTACAAAAAGAGTGTTTCAAAACTGCTCTATCAAAAGAAAGGTTCAACTCTGTTAGTTGAGGGCACACATCACAAATAAACTTCTGAGAATGCTTCTGTCTAGTTTTTACGGGAAGATATTTCCTTTTTCACCATAGGCCTGAAAGCGCTCCAAATGTCCTCATCCAGATACTACAAAAAGAGTGTTTCCAACCTGCTCTATGAAAGGGAATGCTCAACTCTGTGAATTGAATGCAGACATCACAAAGAAGTTTCTGAGAATGCTGCTGTCTCCTTTGTATATGTAATCCCGTTTCCAACGAAATCCTCAAAGCTAGCCAAATATCCACTTGCAGATTCCACGAAAACAGTGTTTCAAAACTGCTCCTTCAAAACGATGGTTCAATCCTGTTAGTTGAGCAAACACATCACAAATAAGTTTCTGAGAATGCTTCCGTCTAGTTTTTATGGGAAGATATTTCCTTTTTCAACATAGGCCTGAAAGCGCTCCAAATGTCCACTTCCAGATACTACAAAAAGAGTGTTTCAAATCTGCTCTATGAATGGGAATGTTCTACTCTGTGACTTGAATGCAACATCCCAAAGAAGTTTCTGAGAATGCTTCTGTCTAGAGTTTATCTGAAGACATTCCCGTTTCCAACGAAATCCTCAAAGCTATCCAAATATCCTCTTGCAGATTCTACAAAAAGAGTGTTTCAAAGCTGCTCTTTGCAAAGAAAGGTTCAACTCTGTCAGTAGAGGGCACACATCACGAACAAGTTTCTGAGAATGCTTCTGTCTAGTTTTTATGGGAAGATATTTCCTTTTTCACGTTAGGCCTGAAAGCACGCCAAATGTTCACTTATAGACACTACAAAAAGAGTGTTTCAAACCTGCTCTGTGAAAGGGAATGTTCAACACTGTGACTTCAATTGAAACATCCCAAAGAAGTTTCTGAGAATGCTTCTGTCTAGAGTTTATCTGAAGACATTCCCGTTTCCCAAGAAATCCTCAAAGCTATCCAAATATCCTCTTGCAGATTCTACAAAAAGAGTGTTTCAAAACTGCTCTTTGCAAAGAAAGGTTCAACTCTGTCAGTAGAGGGCACACATCACAAACAAGTTTCTGAGAATGCTTCTGTCTAGTTTTTATGGGAAGATATTTCCTTTTTCACCTTAGGCCTGAAAGCAATCCATATGTTCACTTACAGACACTACAAAAAGAGTGTTTCAAACCTGCTCTGTGAAAGGGAGTGTTCAATTCTGTGACTTGAATGCAAACATCACAAAGTAGTTTCTGACAATGCTGCTGTCTGCTTTTTATACGTATTCCCGTTTCCAACGAAATCCTCCAAGCTGGCCTAATACCCACTTGCATATTCCACAAAAAGAGTGTTTCAAAACTGCTCTCTCAAAAGAAAGGTTCAACTCTGTTTGCTGAGTAGATACATCATGAAAAAAGTTCTGACATTGCTTCTATCTAGTTTTTATTGGAAGATATCTCCTTTTTCACCGTAGACCTGAAAGCGCTCCAAATGTCCACTTCCAGATAGTACAAAAAGAGTGTTTCAAACCTGCTCTATGAATGGGAATGTTCAACACTGGGACTTCAATTGAAACATCCCAAAGCAGTTTCTGAGAATGCTTCTGTCCAGAGTTTACATGAAGACATTCCCGTTTCCAACGAAATCCTCAAAGCTATCCAAATATCCTCTTGCAGATTTTACAAAAAGTGTGTTTCAGAACTGCTCTATCAAAACAAAGGTTCAACACTGTCAGTTGAGGGCACACATCACAAATAAGTTTCTGAGAATGCTGCTCTCTGCTTTTTGTATGTAATCCCGTTTCCAACGAAATCCTCCCAGCTAGCCAAATATCCACTTGCAGATTCCGCAAAAAGAGTGTTTCAAAACTGCTCCTTCAAAACGATGGTTTAGTTCTGTTAGTTGAGTACATACATCACAGATAAGTTTCTGAGAATGCTTCTGTCTAGTTTTTATGGGAGGATATTTCCTTTTTCAACACAAGCCTGAATGCGCTCCGAATGGACACTTCCAGATATGACAAAAGGCGTGTTTCAAACCTGCTCTATGAAAGGGAATGTTCAACTCTGTGACTTGAATGCAAACATCACAAAGAAGTTTCTGAGAATGCTGCTCTCTGCTTTTTGTATGTAATCCCGTTTCCAACGAAATCCTCCCAGCTAGCCAAATATCCACTTGCATATTCCACAAAAAGAGTGTTGCAAAACTGCTCTCTCAAAAGAAAGGTTCAACTCTGTTAGCTGAGTAGATCCATCACATAAAAGTTTCTGACATTGCTTCTATCTAGATTTTCTTGGAAGATATTTCCATTTTCACCGTCGTCCTGAAAGCGCTCCAAATGTCCACTTCCAGGGAATGCAGAAAGAGTGTTTCCAACCTGCTCTATAAAAGGGAATGTTCAACACTGGGACTTCAATCGAAACATCCCAACGAAGTTTCTGAGAATGCTTCTGTCTAGAGTTTATATGAAGCCATTCCCGTTTGCAACGAAATCCTCAAAGCTATCCAAATATCCTCTTGCAGATTTTACAAAAAGAGTGTTTCAAAACTGCTCTATCAAAAGAAAGGTTCAACTCTGTTAGTTGAGGGCACACATCACAAATAAACTTCTGAGAATGCTTCTGTCTAGTTTTTACGGGAAGATATTTCCTTTTTCACCATACGCCTGAAAGCGCTCCAAATGTCCTCATCCAGATACTACAAAAAGAGTGTTTCCAACCTGCTCTATGAAAGGGAATGCCCAACTCTGTGAATTGAATGCAGACATCACAAAGAAGTTTCTGAGAATGCTGCTGTCTCCTTTTTATATGTAATCCCGTTTCCAACGAAATCCTCAAAGCTAGCCAAATATCCACTTGCAGATTCCACGAAAACAGTGTTTCAAAACTGCTCCTTCAAAACGATGGTTCAATCCTGTTAGTTGAGCAAACACATCACAAATAAGTTTCTGAGAATGCTTCCGTCTAGTTTTTATGGGAAGATATTTCCTTTTTCAACATAGGCCTGAAAGCGCTCCAAATGTCCACTTCCAGATACTACAAAAAGAGTGTTTCAAATCTGCTCTATGAATGGGAATGTTCTACTCTGTGACTTGAATGCAACATCCCAAAGAAGTTTCTGAGAATGCTTCTGTCTAGAGTTTATCTGAAGACATACCCGTTTCCAACGAAATCCTCCAAGCTATCCAAATATCCTCTTGCAGATTCTACAAAAAGAGTGTTTCAAAGCTGCTCTTTGCAAAGAAAGGTTCAACTCTCTCAGTAGAGGGGACACATCAAGAACAAGTTTCTGAGAATGCTTCTGTCTAGTTTTTATGGGAAGATATTTCCTTTTTCACGTTACGCCTGAAAGCACGCCAAATGTTCACTTATAGACACTACAAAAAGAGTGTTTCAAACCTGCTCTGTGAAAGGGAATGTTCAACACTGTGACTTCAATTGAAACATCCCAAAGAAGTTTCTGAGAATGCTTCTGTCTAGAGTTTATCTGAAGACATTCCCGTTTCCCAAGAAATCCTCAAAGCTATCCAAATATCCTCTTGCAGATTCTACAAAAAGAGTGTTTCAAAACTGCTCTTTGCAAAGAAAGGTTCAACTCTGTCAGTAGAGGGCACACATCACAAACTAGTTTCTGAGAATGCTTCTGTCTAGTTTTTATGGGAAGATATTTCCTTTTTCACCTTAGGCGTGAAAGCAATCCAAATGTTCACTTACAGACACTACAAAAAGAGTGTTTCAAACCTGCTCTGTGAAAGGGAGTGTTCAATTCTGTGACTTGAATGCAAACATCACAAAGTAGTTTCTGACAATGCTGCTGTCTGCTTTTTATACGTATTCCCGTTTCCAACGAAATCCTCCAAGCTGGCCTAATACCCACTTGCATATTCCACAAAAAGAGTGTTTCAAAACTGCTCTCTCAAAAGAAAGGTTCAACTCTGTTTGCTGAGTAGATACATCATGAAAAAAGTTGCTGACATTGCTTTCTATCTAGTTTTTATTGGAAGATATCTCCTTTTTCACCGTAGACCTGAAAGCGCTCCAAATGTCCACTTCCAGATAGTACAAAAAGAGTGTTTCAAACCTGCTTTATGAATGGGAATGTTCAACACTGGGACTTCAATTGAAACATCCCAAAGCAGTTTCTGAGAATGCTTCTGTGTAGAGTTTACATGAAGACATTCCCGTTTCCAACGAAATCCTCAAAGCTATCCAAATATCCTCTTGCAGATTTTACAAAAAGTGTGTTTCAGAACTGCTCTATCAAAACAAAGGTTCAACACTGTCAGTTGAGGGCACACATCACAAATAAGTTTCTGAGAATGCTTCTGTCTAGTTTTCATGGGAAGATATTTCCTTTTTCACCATAGGCCTGAAAGCGATCCAAATGTCCACATCCAGATACTACAAAAAGAGTGTTTCAAACCTGCTCTATGAAAGGGAATGTTCAACTCTGTGACTTGAATGCAAACATCACAAAGAAGTTTCTGAGAATGCTGCTGTCTGCTTTTTGTATGTAATCCCGTTTCCAACGAAATCCTCCCAGCTAGCCAAATATCCACTTGCAGATTCCGCAAAAAGAGTGTTTCAAAACTGCTCCTTCAAAACGATGGTTTAGTTCTGTTAGTTGAGTACATACATCACAGATAAGTTTCTGAGAATGCTTCTGTCTAGTTTTTATGGGAGGATATTTCCTTTTTCAACACAAGCCTGAATGCGCTCCGAATGGACACTTCCAGATATGACAAAAGGCGTGTTTCAAACCTGCTCTCTCAAAGGGAATGTTCAACTCTGTGACTTCAATGCAAACATCACAAAGAAGTTTCTGAGAATGCTGCTGTCTGCTTTTTACATGTATTCCCGTTTCCAACGAAATCCTCAAAGCTGCCCTAATATCCACTTGCATATTCCACAAAAAGAGTGTTGCAAAACTGCTCTCTCAAAAGAAAGGTTCAACTCTGTTAGCTGAGTAGATCCATCACATAAAAGTTTCTGACGTTGCTTCTATGTAGATTTTATTGGAAGATATTTCCATTTTCACCGTCGTCCTGAAAGCGCTCCAAATGTCCACTTCCAGGGAATGCAGAAAGAGTGTTTCCAACCTGCTCTATAAAAGGGAAAGTTCAACACTGGGACTTCAATCGAAACATCCCAAAGAAGTTTCTGAGAATGCTTCTGTCTAGAGTTTATATGAAGCCATTCCCGTTTGCAACGAAATCCTCAAAGCTATCCAAATATCCTCTTGCAGATTTTACAAAAAGAGTGTTTCAAAACTGCTCTATCAAAAGAAAGGTTCAACTCTGTTAGTTGAGGGCACACATCACAAATAAATTTCTGAGAATGCTTCTGTCTAGTTTTTACGGGAAGATATTTCCTTTTTCACCATAGGCCTGAAAGCGCTCCAAATGTCCTCATCCAGATACTACAAAAAGAGTGTTTCCAACCTGCTCTATGAAAGGGAATGCTCAACTCTGTGAATTGAATGCAGACATCACAAAGAAGTTTCTGAGAATGCTGCTGTCTCCTTTTTATATGTAATCCCGTTTCCAACGAAATCCTCAAGCTAGCCAAATATCCACTTGCAGATTCCACGAAAACAGTGTTTCAAAACTGCTCCTTCAAAACGATGGTTCAATCCTGTTAGTTGAGCAAACACATCACAAATAAGTTTCTGAGAATGCTTCCGTCTAGTTTTTATGGGAAGATATTTCCTTTTTCAACATAGGCCTGAAAGCGCTCCAAATGTCCACTTCCAGATACTACAAAAAGAGTGTTTCAAATCTGCTCTATGAATGGGAATGTTCTACTCTGTGACTTGAATGCAACATCCCAAAGAAGTTTCTGAGAATGCTTCTGTCTAGAGTTTATCTGAAGACATTCCCGTTTCCCAAGAAATCCTCAAAGCTATCCAAATATCCTCTTGCAGATTCTACAAAAAGAGTGTTTCAAAGCTGCTCTTTGCAAAGAAAGGTTCAACTCTGTCAGTAGAGGGCACACATCACAAACAAGTTTCTGAGAATGCTTCTGTCTAGTTTTTATGGGAAGATATTTCCTTTTTCACCTTAGGCCTGAAAGCACGCCAAATGTTCACTTATAGACACTACAAAAAGAGTGTTTCAAACCTGCTCTGTGAAAGGGAGTGTTCAATTCTGTGACTTGAATGCAAACATCACAAAGTAGTTTCTGACAATGCTGCTGTCTGCTTTTTATACGTATTCCCGTTTCCAACGAAATCCTCCAAGCTGGCCTAATACCCACTTGCATATTCCACAAAAAGAGTGTTTCAAAACTGCTCTCTCAAAAGAAAGGTTCAACTCGGTTAGCTGAGTAGATACATCATGAAAAAAGTTCTGACATTGCTTCTATCTAGTTTTTATTGGAAGATATCTCCTTTTTCACCGTAGACCTGAAAGCGCTCCAAATGTCCACTTCCAGATAGTACAAAAAGAGTGTTTCAAACCTGCTCTATGAATGGGAATGTTCAACACTGGGACTTCAATTGAAACATCCCAAAGCAGTTTCTGAGAATGCTTCTGTGTAGAGTTTACATGAAGACATTCCCGTTTCCAACGAAATCCTCAAAGCTATCCAAATATCCTCTTGCAGATTTTACAAAAAGTGTGTTTCAGAACTGCTCTATCAAAACAAAGGTTCAACACTGTCAGTTGAGGGCACACATCACAAATAAGTTTCTGAGAATGCTTCTGTCTAGTTTTCATGGGAAGATATTTCCTTTTTCACCATAGGCCTGAAAGCGATCCAAATGTCCACATCCAGATACTACAAAAAGAGTGTTTCAAACCTGCTCTATGAAAGGGAATGTTCAACTCTGTGACTTGAATGCAAACATCACAAAGAAGTTTCTGAGAATGCTGCTGTCTGCTTTTTGTATGTAATCCCGTTTCCAACGAAATCCTCCCAGCTAGCCAAATATCCACTTGCAGATTCCGCAAAAAGAGTGTTTCAAAACTGCTCCTTCAAAACGATGGTTTAGTTCTGTTAGTTGAGTACATACATCACAGATAAGTTTCTGAGAATGCTTCTGTCTAGTTTTTATGGGAGGATATTTCCTTTTTCAACACAAGCCTGAATGCGCTCCGAATGGACACTTCCAGATATGACAAAAGGCGTGTTTCAAACCTGCTCTCTCAAAGGGAATGTTCAACTCTGTGACTTCAATGCAAACATCACAAAGAAGTTTCTGAGAATGCTGCTGTCTGCTTTTTACATGTATTCCCGTTTCCAACGAAATCCTCAAAGCTGCCCTAATATCCACTTGCATATTCCACAAAAAGAGTGTTGCAAAACTGCTCTCTCAAAAGAAAGGTTCAACTCTGTTAGCTGAGTAGATCCATCACAGAAAAGTTTCTGACGTTGCTTCTATCTAGATTTTCTTGGAAGATATTTCCATTTTCACCGTCGTCCTGAAAGCGCTCCAAATGTCCACTTCCAGGGAATGCAGAAAGAGTGTTTCCAACCTGCTCTATAAAAGGGAATGTTCAACACTGGGACTTCAATCGAAACATCCCAACGAAGTTTCTGAGAATGCTTCTGTCTAGAGTTTATATGAAGCCATTCCCGTTTGCAAGGAAATCCTCAAAGCTATCCAAATATCCTCTTGCAGATTTTACAAAAAGAGTGTTTCAAAACTGCTCTATCAAAAGAAAGGTTCAACTCTGTTAGTTGAGGGCACACATCACAAATAAATTTCTGAGAATGCTTCTGTCTAGTTTTTACGGGAAGATATTTCCTTTTTCACCATAGGCCTGAAAGCGCTCCAAATGTCCTCATCCAGATACTACACAAAGAGTGTTTCCAACCTGCTCTATGAAAGGGAATGCTCAACTCTGTGACTTGAATGCAGACATCACAAAGAAGTTTCTGAGAATGCTGCTGTCTCCTTTTTATATGTAATCCCGTTTCCAACGAAATCCTCAAAGCTAGCCAAATATCCACTTGCAGATTCCACGAAAACAGTGTTTCAAAACTGCTCCTTCAAAACGATGGTTCAATTCTGTTAGTTGAGCAAACACATCACAAGTAAGTTTCTGAGAATGCTTCCGTCTAGTTTTTATGGGAAGATATTTCCTTTTTCAACATAGGCCTGAAAGCGCTCCAAATGTCCACTTCCAGATACTACAAAAAGAGTGTTTCAAATCTGCTCTATGAATGGGAATGTTCTACTCTGTGACTTGAATGCAACATCCCAAAGAAGTTTCTGAGAATGCTTCTGTCTAGAGTTTATCTGAAGACATACCCGTTTCCAACGAAATCCTCAAAGCTATCCAAATATCCTCTGGCAGATTCTACAAAAAGTGTGTTTCAAAGCTGCTCTTTGCAAAGAAAGGTTCAACTCTGTCAGTAGAGGGCACACATCACGAACAAGTTTCTGAGAATGCTTCTGTCTAGTTTTTATGGGAAGATATTTCCTTTTTCACGTTAGGCCTGAAAGCACGCCAAATGTTCACTTATAGACACTACAAAAAGAGTGTTTCAAACCTGCTCTGTGAAAGGGAATGTTCAACACTGTGACTTCAATTGAAATATCCCAAAGAAGTTTCTGAGAATGCTTCTGTCTAGAGTTTATCTGAAGACATTCCCGTTTCCCAAGAAATCCTCAAAGCTATCCAAATATCCTCTTGCAGATTCTACAAAAAGAGTGTTTCAAAACTGCTCTTTGCAAAGAAAGGTTCAACTCTGTCAGTAGAGGGCACACATCACAAACAAGTTTCTGAGAATGCTTCTGTCTAGTTTTTATGGGAAGATATTTCCTTTTTCACCTTAGGCCTGAAAGCAATCCAAATGTTCACTTACAGACACTACAAAAAGAGTGTTTCAAACCTGCTCTGTGAAAGGGAGTGTTCAATTCTGTGACTTGAATGCAAACATCACAAAGTAGTTTCTGACAATGCTGCTGTCTGCTTTTTATACGTATTCCCGTTTCCAACGAAATCCTCCAAGCTGGCCTAATACCCACTTGCATATTCCACAAAAAGAGTGTTTCAAAACTGCTCTCTCAAAAGAAAGGTTCAACTCTGTTTGCTGAGTAGATACATCATGAAAAAAGTTCTGATATTGCTTCTATCTAGTTTTTATTGGAAGATATCTCCTTTTTCACCGTAGACCTGAAAGCGCTCCAAATGTCCACTTCCAGATAGTACAAAAAGAGTGTTTCAAACCTGCTCTATGAATGGGAATGTTCAACGCTGGGACTTCAATTGAAACATCCCAAAGCAGTTTCTGAGAATGCTTCTGTCTAGAGTTTACATGAAGACATTCCCGTTTCAACGAAATCCTCAAAGCTATCCAAATATCCTCTTGCAGATTTTACAAAAAGTGTGTTTCAGAACTGCTCTATCAAAACAAAGGTTCAACACTGTCAGTTGAGGGCACACATCACAAATAAGTTTCTGAGAATGCTTCTGTCTAGTTTTCATGGGAAGATATTTCCTTTTTCACCATAGGCCTGAAAGCGATCCAAATGTCCACATCCAGATACTACAAAAAGAGTGTTTCAAACCTGCTCTATGAAAGGGAATGTTCAACTCTGTGACTTGAATGCAAACATCACAAAGAAGTTTCTGAGAATGCTGCTGTCTGCTTTTTGTATGTAATCCCGTTTCCAACGAAATCCTCCCAGCTAGCCAAATATCCACTTGCAGATTCCGCAAAAAGAGTGTTTCAAAACTGCTCCTTCAAAACGATGGTTTAGTTCTGTTAGTTGAGTACATACATCACAGATAAGTTTCTGAGAATGCTTCTGTCTAGTTTTTATGGGAGGATATTTTCCTTTTTCAACACAAGCCTGAATGCGCTCCGAATGGACACTTCCAGATATGACAAAAGGCGTGTTTCAAACCTGCTCTCTCAAAGGGAATGTTCAACTCTGTGACTTCAATGCAAACATCACAAAGAAGTTTCTGAGAATGCTGCTGTCTGCTTTTTACATGTATTCCCGTTTCCAACGAAATCCTCAAAGCTGCCCTAATATCCACTTGCATATTCCACAAAAAGAGTGTTGCAAAACTGCTCTCTCAAAAGAAAGGTTCAACTCTGTTAGCTGAGTAGATCCATCACAGAAAAGTTTCTGACATTGCTCTATCCAGATTTTATTGGAAGATATTTCCATTTTCACCGTCGTCCTGAAAGCGCTCCAATTGTCCACTTCCAGGGAATGCAGAAAGAGTGTTTCCAACCTGCTCTATAAAAGGGAATGTTCAACACTGGGACTTCAATCGAAACATCCCGACGAAGTTTCTGAGAATGCTTTCTGTCTAGAGTTTATATGAAGCCATTCCCGTTTGCAATGAAATCCTCCAAGCTATCCAAATATCCTCTTGCAGATTTTACAAAAAGAGTGTTTCAAAACTGCTCTATCAAAAGAAAGGTTCAACTCTGTTAGTTGAGGGCACACATCACAAATAAATTTCTGAGAATGCTTCTGTCTAGTTTTTACGGGAAGATATTTCCTTTTTCACCATACGCCTGAAAGCGCTCCAAATGTCCTCATCCAGATACTACAAAAAGAGTGTTTCCAACCTTCTCTATGAAAGGGAATGCTCAACTCTGTGACTTGAATGCAGACATCACAAAGAAGTTTCTGAGAATGCTGCTGTCTCCTTTTTATATGTAATCCCGTTTCCAACGAAATCCTCAAAGCTAGCCAAATATCCACTTGCAGATTCCACGAAAACAGTGTTTCAAAACTGCTCCTTCAAAACGATGGTTCAATCCTGTTAGTTGAGCAAACACATCACAATTAAGTTTCTGAGAATGCTTCCGTCTAGTTTTTATGGGAAGATATTTCCTTTTTCAACATAGGCCTGAAAGCGCTCCAAATGTCCACTTCCAGATACTACAAAAAGAGTGTTTCAAATCTGCTCTATGAATGGGAATGTTCTACTCTGTGACTTGCATGCAACATCCCAAAGAAGTTTCTGAGAATGCTTCTGTCTAGAGTTTATCTGAAGACATACCCGTTTCCAACGAAATCCTCAAAGCTATCCAAATATCCTCTTGCAGATTCTACAAAAAGTGTGTTTCAAAGCTGCTCTTTGTAAAGAAAGGTTCAACTCTGTCAGTAGAGGGCACACATCACGAACAAGTTTCTGAGAATGCTTCTGTCTAGTTTTTATGGGAAGATATTTCCTTTTTCACCTTAGGCCTGAAAGCAATCCAAATGTTCACTTACAGACACTACAAAAAGAGTGTTTCAAACCTGCTCTGTGAAAGGGAGTGTTCAATTCTGTGACTTGAATGCAAACATCACAAAGTAGTTTCTGACAATGCTGCTGTCTGCTTTTTATACGTATTCCCGTTTCCAACGAAATCCTCCAAGCTGGCCTAATACCCACTTGCATATTCCACAAAAAGAGTGTTTCAAAACTGCTCTCTCAAAAGAAAGGTTCAACTCTGTTTGCTGAGTAGATACATCATGAAAAAAGTTCTGACATTGCTTCTATCTAGTTTTTATTGGAAGATATCTCCTTTTTCACCGTAGACCTGAAAGCGCTCCAAATGTCCACTTCCAGATAGTACAAAAAGAGTGTTTCAAACCTGCTCTATGAATGGGAATGTTCAACACTGGGACTTCAATTGAAACATCCCAAAGCAGTTTCTGAGAATGCTTCTGTGTAGAGTTTACATGAAGACATTCCCGTTTCCAACGAAATCCTCAAAGCTATCCAAATATCCTCTTGCAGATTTTACAAAAAGTGTGTTTCAGAACTGCTCTATCAAAACAAAGGTTCAACACTGTCAGTTGAGGGCACACATCACAAATAAGTTTCTGAGAATGCTTCTGTCTAGTTTTCATGGGAAGATATTTCCTTTTTCACCATAGGCCTGAAAGCGATCCAAATGTCCACATCCAGATACTACAAAAAGAGTGTTTCAAACCTGCTCTATGAAAGGGAATGTTCAACTCTGTGACTTGAATGCAAACATCACAAAGAAGTTTCTGAGAATGCTGCTGTCTGCTTTTTGTATGTAATCCCGTTTCCAACGAAATCCTCCCAGCTAGCCAAATATCCACTTGCAGATTCCGCAAAAAGAGTGTTTCAAAACTGCCCTTCAAAACGATGGTTTAGTTCTGTTAGTTGAGTACATACATCACAGATAAGTTTCTGAGAATGCTTCTGTCTAGTTTTTATGGGAGGATATTTCCTTTTTCAACACAAGCCTGAATGCGCTCCGAATGGACACTTCCAGATATGACAAAAGGCGTGTTTCAAACCTGCTCTCTCAAAGGGAATGTTCAACTCTGTGACTTCAATGCAAACATCACAAAGAAGTTTCTGAGAATGCTGCTGTCTGCTTTTTACATGTATTCCCGTTTCCAACGAAATCCTCAAAGCTGCCCTAATATCCACTTGCATATTCCACAAAAAGAGTGTTGCAAAACTGCTCTCTCAAAAGAAAGGTTCAACTCTGTTAGCTGAGTAGATCCATCACATAAAAGTTTCTGACGTTGCTTCTATCTAGATTTTCTTGGAAGATATTTCCATTTTCACCGTCGTCCTGAAAGCGCTCCAAATGTCCACTTCCAGGGAATGCAGAAAGAGTGTTTCCAACCTGCTCTATAAAAGGGAATGTTCAACACTGGGACTTCAATCGAAACATCCCAACGAAGTTTCTGAGAATGCTTCTGTCTAGAGTTTATATGAAGCCATTCCCGTTTGCAACGAAATCCTCAAAGCTATCCAAATATCCTCTTGCAGATTTTACAAAAAGAGTGTTTCAAAACTGCTCTATCAAAAGAAAGGTTCAACTCTGTTAGTTGAGGGCACACATCACAAATAAATTTCTGAGAATGCTTCTGTCTAGTTTTTACGGGAAGATATTTCCTTTTTCACCATACGCCTGAAAGCGCTCCAAATGTCCTCATCCAGATACTACAAAAAGAGTGTTTCCAACCTGCTCTATGAAAGGGAATGCTCAACTCTGTGACTTGAATGCAGACATCACAAAGAAGTTTCTGAGAATGCGGCTGTCTCCTTTTTATATGTAATCCCGTTTCCAACGAAATCCTCAAAGCTAGCCAAATATCCACTTGCAGATTCCACGAAAACAGTGTTTCAAAACTGCTCCTTCAAAACGATGGTTCAATTCTGTTAGTTGAGCAAACACATCACAAGTAAGTTTCTGAGAATGCTTCCGTCTAGTTTTTATGGGAAGATATTTCCTTTTTCAACATAGGCCTGAAAGCGCTCCAAATGTCCACTTCCAGATACTACAAAAAGAGTGTTTCAAATCTGCTCTATGAATGGGAATGTTCTACTCTGTGACTTGAATGCAACATCCCAAAGAAGTTTCTGAGAATGCTTCTGTCTAGAGTTTATCTGAAGACATACCCGTTTCCAACGAAATCCTCAAAGCTATCCAAATATCCTCTTGCAGATTCTACAAAAAGAGTGTTTCAAAGCTGCTCTTTGCAAAGAAAGGTTCAACTCTGTCAGTAGAGGGCACACATCACGAACAAGTTTCTGAGAATGCTTCTGTCTCGTTTTTATGGGAAGATATTTCCTTTTTCACGTTACGCCTGAAAGCACGCCAAATGTTCACTTATAGACACTACAAAAAGAGTGTTTCAAACCTGCTCTGTGAAAGGGAATGTTCAACACTGTGACTTCAATTGAAATATCCCAAAGAAGTTTCTGAGAATGCTTCTGTCTAGAGTTTATCTGAAGACATTCCCGTTTCCCAAGAAATCCTCAAAGCTATCCAAATATCCTCTTGCAGATTCTACAAAAAGAGTGTTTCAAAACTGCTCTTTGCAAAGAAAGGTTCAACTCTGTCAGTAGAGGGCACACATCACAAACAAGTTTCTGAGAATGCTTCTGTCTAGTTTTTATGGGAAGATATTTCCTTTTTCACATAGGCCTGAAAGCAATCCAAATGTTCACTTACAGACACTACAAAAAGAGTGTTTCAAACCTGCTCTGTGAAAGGGAGTGTTCAATTCTGTGACTTGAATGCAAACATCACAAAGTAGTTTCTGACAATGCTGCTGTCTGCTTTTTATACGTATTCCCGTTTCCAACGAAATCCTCCAAGCTGGCCTAATACCCACTTGCATATTCCACAAAAAGAGTGTTTCAAAACTGCTCTCTCAAAAGAAAGGTTCAACTCTGTTTGCTGAGTAGATACATCATGAAAAAAGTTCTGACATTGCTTCTATCTAGTTTTTATTGGAAGATATCTCCTTTTTCACCGTAGACCTGAAAGCGCTCCAAATGTCCACTTCCAGATAGTACAAAAAGAGTGTTTCAAACCTGCTCTATGAAAGGGAATGTTCAACACTGGGACTTCAATTGAAACATCCCAAAGCAGTTTCTGAGAATGCTTCTGTCTAGAGTTTACATGAAGACATTCCCGTTTCCAACGAAATCCTCAAAGCTATCCAAATATCCTCTTGCAGATTTTACAAAAAGTGTGTTTCAGAACTGCTCTATCAAAACAAAGGTTCAGCACTGTCAGTTGAGGGCACACATCACAAATAAGTTTCTGAGAATGCTTCTGTCTAATTTTCATGGGAAGATATTTCCTTTTTCACCATAGGCCTGAAAGCGATCCAAATGTCCACATCCAGATACTACAAAAAGAGTGTTTCAAACCTGCTCTATGAAAGGGAATGTTCAACTCTGTGACTTGAATGCAAACATCACAAAGAAGTTTCTGAGAATGCTGCTGTCTCCTTTTTATATGTAATCCCGTTTCCAACGAAATCCTCAAAGCTAGCCAAATATCGACTTGCAGATTCCACGAAAACAGTGTTTCAAAACTGCTCCTTCAAAACGATGGTTCAATTCTGTTAGTTGAGCAAACACATCACAAGTAAGTTTCTGAGAATGCTTCCGTCTAGTTTTTATGGGAAGATATTTCCTTTTTCAACATAGGCCTGAAAGCGCTCCAAATGTCCACTTCCAGATACTACAAAAAGAGTGTTTCAAATCTGCTCTATGAATGGGAATGTTCTACTCTGTGACTTGAATGCAACATCCCAAAGAAGTTTCTGAGAATGCTTCTGTCTAGAGTTTATCTGAAGACATACCCGTTTCCAACGAAATCCTCAAAGCTATCCAAATATCCTCTTGCAGATTCTACAAAAAGAGTGTTTCAAAGCTGCTCTTTGCAAAGAAAGGTTCAACTCTGTCAGTAGAGGGCACACATCATGAACAAGTTTCTGAGAATGCTTCTGTCTAGTTTTTATGGGAAGATATTTCCTTTTTCACGTTAGGCCTGAAAGCACGCCAAATGTTCACTTATAGACACTACAAAAAGAGTGTTTCAAACCTGCTCTGTGAAAGGGAATGTTCAACACTGTGACTTCAATTGAAACATCCCAAAGAAGTTTCTGAGAATGCTTCTGTCTAGAGTTTATCTGAAGACATTCCCGTTTCCCAAGAAATCTTCAAAGCTATCCAAATATCCTCTTGCAGATTCTACAAAAAGAGTGTTTCAAAACTGCTCTTTGCAAAGAAAGGTTCAACTCTGTCAGTAGAGGGCACACATCACAAACAAGTTTCTGAGAATGCTTCTGTCTAGTTTTTATGGGAAGATATTTCCTTTTTCACCTTAGGCCTGAAAGCAATCCATATGTTCACTTACAGACACTACAAAAAGAGTGTTTCAAACCTGCTCTGTGAAAGGGAGTGTTCAATTCTGTGACTTGAATGCAAACATCACAAAGTAGTTTCTGACAATGCTGCTGTCTGCTTTTTATACGTATTCCCGTTTCCAACGAAATCCTCCAAGCTGGCCTAATACCCACTTGCATATTCCACAAAAAGAGTGTTTCAAAACTGCTCTCTCAAAAGAAAGGTTCAACTCTGTGTGCTGAGTAGATACATCATGAAAAAAGTTCTGACATTGCTTCTATCTAGTTTTTATTGGAAGATATCTCCTTTTTCACCGTAGACCTGAAAGCGCTCCAAATGTCCACTTCCAGATAGTACAAAAAGAGTGTTTCAAACCTGCTCTATGAATGGGAATGTTCAACACTGGGACTTCAATTGAAACATCCCAAAGCAGTTTCTGAGAATGCTTCTGTGTAGAGTTTACATGAAGACATTCCCGTTTCCAACGAAATCCTCAAAGCTATCCAAATATCCTCTTGCAGATTTTACAAAAAGTGTGTTTCAGAACTGCTCTATCAAAACAAAGGTTCAACACTGTCAGTTGAGGGCACACATCACAAATAAGTTTCTGAGAATGCTTCTGTCTAGTTTTCATGGGAAGATATTTCCTTTTTCACCATAGGCCTGAAAGCGATCCAAATGTCCACATCCAGATACTACAAAAAGAGTGTTTCAAACCTGCTCTATGAAAGGGAATGTTCAACTCTGTGACTTGAATGCAAACATCACAAAGAAGTTTCTGAGAATGCTGCTGTCTGCTTTTTGTATGTAATCCCGTTTCCAACGAAATCCTCCCAGCTAGCCAAATATCCACTTGCAGATTCCGCAAAAAGAGTGTTTCAAAACTGCTCCTTCAAAACGATGGTTTAGTTCTGTTAGTTGAGTACATACATCATAGATAAGTTTCTGAGAATGCTTCTGTCTAGTTTTTATGGGAGGATATTTCCTTTTTCAACACAAGCCTGAATGCGCTCCGAATGGACACTTCCAGATATGACAAAAGGCGTGTTTCAAACCTGCTCTCTCAAAGGGAATGTTCAACTCTGTGACTTCAATGCAAACATCACAAAGAAGTTTCTGAGAATGCTGCTGTCTGCTTTTTACATGTATTCCCGTTTCCAACGAAATCCTCAAAGCTGCCCTAATATCCACTTGCATATTCCACAAAAAGAGTGTTGCAAAACTGCTCTCTCAAAAGAAAGGTTCAACTCTGTTAGCTGAGTAGATCCATCACAGAAAAGTTTCTGACGTTGCTTCTATCTAGATTTTCTTGGAAGATATTTCCATTTTCACCGTCGTCCTGAAAGCGCTCCAAATGTCCACTTCCAGGGAATGCAGAAAGAGTGTTTCCAACCTGCTCTATAAAAGGGAATGTTCAACACTGGGACTTCAATCGAAACATCCCAACGAGGTTTCTGAGAATGCTTCTGTCTAGAGTTTATATGAAGCCATTCCCGTTTGCAACGAAATCCTCAAAGCTATCCAAATATCCTCTTGCAGATTTTACAAAAAGAGTGTTTCAAAACTGCTCTATCAAAAGAAAGGTTCAACTCTGTTAGTTGAGGGCACACATCACAAATAAATTTCTGAGAATGCTTCTGTCTAGTTTTTACAGGAAGATATTTCCTTTTTCACCATACGCCTGAAAGCGCTCCAAATGTCCTCATCCAGATACTACAAAAAGAGTGTTTCCAACCTGCTCTATGAAAGGGAATGCTCAACTCTGTGACTTGAATGCAGACATCACAAAGAAGTTTCTGAGAATGCTGCTGTCTCCTTTTTATATGTAATCCCGTTTCCAACGAAATCCTCAAAGCTAGCCAAATATCCACTTGCAGATTCCACGAAAACAGTGTTTCAAAACTGCTCCTTCAAAACGATGGTTCAATTCTGTTAGTTGAGCAAACACATCACAAGTAAGTTTCTGAGAATGCTTCCGTCTAGTTTTTATGGGAAGATATTTCCTTTTTCAACATAGGCCTGAAAGCGCTCCAAATGTCCACTTCCAGATACTACAAAAAGAGTGTTTCAAATCTGCTCTATGAATGGGAATGTTCTACTCTGTGACTTGAATGCAACATCCCAAAGAAGTTTCTGAGAATGCTTCTGTCTAGAGTTTATCTGAAGACATACCCGTTTCCAACGAAATCCTCAAAGCTATCCAAATATCCTCTTGCAGATTCTACAAAAAGAGTGTTTCAAAGCTGCTCTTTGCAAAGAAAGGTTCAACTCTGTCAGTAGAGGGCACACATCACGAACAAGTTTCTGAGAATGCTTCTGTCTAGTTTTTATGGGAAGATATTTCCTTTTTCACCTTAGGTCTGAAAGCACGACAAATGTTCACTTATAGACACTACAAAAAGAGTGTTTCAAACCTGCTCTGTGAAAGGGAATGTTCAACACTGTGACTTCAATTGAAATATCCCAAAGAAGTTTCTGAGAATGCTTCTGTCTAGAGTTTATCTGAAGACATTCCCGTTTCCCAAGAAATCCTCAAAGCTATCCAAATATCCTCTTGCAGATTCTACAAAAAGAGTGTTTCAAAACTGCTCTTTGCAAAGAAAGGTTCAACTCTGTCAGTAGAGGGCACACATCACAAACAAGTTTCTGAGAATGCTTCTGTCTAGTTTTTATGGGAAGATATTTCCTTTTTCACCTTAGGCCTGAAAGCAATCCATATGTTCACTTACAGACACTACAAAAAGAGTGTTTCAAACCTGCTCTGTGAAAGGGAGTGTTCAATTCTGTGACTTGAATGCAAACATCACAAAGTAGTTTCTGACAATGCTGCTGTCTGCTTTTTATACGTATTCCCGTTTCCAACGAAATCCTCCAAGCTGGCCTAATACCCACTTGCATATTCCACAAAAAGAGTGTTTCAAAACTGCTCTCTCAAAAGAAAGGTTCAACTCTGTGTGCTGAGTAGATACATCATGAAAAAAGTTCTGACATTGCTTCTATCTAGTTTTTATTGGAAGATATCTCCTTTTTCACCGTAGACCTGAAAGCGCTCCAAATGTCCACTTCCAGATAGTACAAAAAGAGTGTTTCAAACCTGCTCTATGAATGGGAATGTTCAACACTGGGACTTCAATTGAAACATCCCAAAGCAGTTTCTGAGAATGCTTCTGTGTAGAGTTTACATGAAGACATTCCCGTTTCCAACGAAATCCTCAAAGCTATCCAAATATCCTCTTGCAGATTTCACAAAAAGTGTGTTTCAGAACTGCTCTATCAAAACAAAGGTTCAACACTGTCAGTTGAGGGCACACATCACAAATAAGTTTCTGAGAATGCTTCTGTCTAGTTTTCATGGGAAGATATTTCCTTTTTCACCATAGGCCTGAAAGCGATCCAAATGTCCACATCCAGATACTACAAAAAGAGTGTTTCAAACCTGCTCTATGAAAGGGAATGTTCAACTCTGTGACTTGAATGCAAACATCACAAAGAAGTTTCTGAGAATGCTGCTGTCTGCTTTTTGTATGTAATCCCGTTTCCAACGAAATCCTCCCAGCTAGCCAAATATCCACTTGCAGATTCCGCAAAAAGAGTGTTTCAAAACTGCTCCTTCAAAACGATGGTTTAGTTCTGTTAGTTGAGTACATACATCACAGATAAGTTTCTGAGAATGCTTCTGTCTAGTTTTTATGGGAGGATATTTCCTTTTTCAACACAAGCCTGAATGCGCTCCGAATGGACACTTCCAGATATGACAAAAGGCGTGTTTCAAACCTGCTCTCTCAAAGGGAATGTTCAACTCTGTGACTTCAATGCAAACATCACAAAGAAGTTTCTGAGAATGCTGCTGTCTGCTTTTTACATGTATTCCCGTTTCCAACGAAATCCTCAAAGCTGCCCTAATATCCACATGCATATTCCACAAAAAGAGTGTTGCAAAACTGCTCTCTCAAAAGAAAGGTTCAACTCTGTTAGCTGAGTAGATCCATCACATAAAAGTTTCTGACATTGCTTCTATCTAGATTTTCTTGGAAGATATTTCCATTTTCACCGTCGTCCTGAAAGCGCTCCAAATGTCCACTTCCAGGGAATGCAGAAAGAGTGTTTCCAACCTGCTCTATAAAAGGGAATGTTCAACACTGGGACTTCAATCGAAACATCCCAACGAAGTTTCTGAGAATGCTTCTGTCTAGAGTTTATATGAAGCCATTCCCGTTTGCAATGAAATCCTCAAAGCTATCCAAATATCCTCTTGCAGATTTTACAAAAAGAGTGTTTCAAAACTGCTCTATCAAAAGAAAGGTTCAACTCTGTTAGTTGAGGGCACACATCACAAATAAATTTCTGAGAATGCTTCTGTCTAGTTTTTACGGGAAGATATTTCCTTTTTCACCATACGCCTGAAAGCGCTCCAAATGTCCTCATCCAGATACTACAAAAAGAGTGTTTCCAACCTTCTCTATGAAAGGGAATGCTCAACTCTGTGACTTGAATGCAGACATCACAAAGAAGTTTCTGAGAATGCTGCTGTCTCCTTTTTATATGTAATCCCGTTTCCAACGAAATCCTCAAAGCTAGCCAAATATCCACTTGCAGATTCCACGAAAACAGTGTTTCAAAACTGCTCCTTCAAAACGATGGTTCAATTCTGTTAGTTGAGCAAACACATCACAAGTAAGTTTCTGAGAATGCTTCCGTCTAGTTTTTATGGGAAGATATTTCCTTTTTCAACATAGGCCTGAAAGCGCTCCAAATGTCCACTTCCAGATACTACAAAAAGAGTGTTTCAAATCTGCTCTATGAATGGGAATGTTCTACTCTGTGACTTGAATGCAACATCCCAAAGAAGTTTCTGAGAATGCTTCTGTCTAGAGTTTATCTGAAGACATACCCGTTTCCAACGAAATCCTCCAAGCTATCCAAATATCCTCTTGCAGATTCTACAAAAAGAGTGTTTCAAAGATGCTCTTTGCAAAGAAAGGTTCAACTCTGTCAGTAGAGGGCACACATCACGAACAAGTTTCTGAGAATGCTTCTGTCTGGTTTTTATGGGAAGATATTTCCTTTTTCACGTTACGCCTGAAAGCACGCCAAATGTTCACTTATAGACACTACAAAAAGAGTGTTTCAAACCTGCTCTGTGAAAGGGAATGTTCAACACTGTGACTTCAATTGAAACATCCCAAAGAAGTTTCTGAGAATGCTTCTGTCTAGAGTTTATCTGAAGACATACCCGTTTCCAACGAAATCCTCAAATCTATCCACATATCCTCTTGCAGATTCTACAAAAAGAGTGTTTCAAAGCTGCTCTTTGCAAAGAAAGGTTCAACTCTGTCAGTAGAGGGCACACATCACGAACAAGTTTCTGAGAATGCTTCTGTCTAGTTTTTATGGGAAGATATTTCCTTTTACACGTTAGGCCTGAAAGCACGCCAAATGTTCAATTATAGACACTACAAAAAGAGTGTTTCAAACCTGCTCTGTGAAAGGGAATGTTCAACACTGTGACTTCAATTGAAACATCCCAAAGAAGTTTCTGAGAATGCTTCTGTCTAGAGTTTATCTGAAGACATTCCCGTTTCCCAAGAAATCTTCAAAGCTATCCAAATATCCTCTTGCAGATTCTACAAAAAGAGTGTTTCAAAACTGCTCTTTGCAAAGAAAGGTTCAACTCTGTCAGTAGAGGGCACACATCACCAACAAGTTTCTGAGAATGCTTCTGTCTAGTTTTTATGGGAAGATATTTCCTTTTTCACCTTAGGCCTGAAAGCAATCCAAATGTTCACTTACAGACACTACAAAAAGAGTGTTTCAAACCTGCTCTGTGAAAGGGAGTGTTCAGTTCTGTGACTTGAATGCAAACATCACAAAGTAGTTTCTGACAATGCTGCTGTCTGCTTTTTATACGTATTCCCGTTTCCAACGAAATCCTCCAAGCTGGCCTAATACCCACTTGCATATTCCACAAAAAGAGTGTTTCAAAACTGCTCTCTCAAAAGAAAGGTTCAACTCTGTTTGCTGAGTAGATACATCATGAAAAAAGTTCTGACATTGCTTCTATCTAGTTTTTATTGGAAGATATCTCCTTTTTCACCGTAGACCTGAAAGCGCTCCAAATGTCCACTTCCAGATAGTACAAAAAGAGTGTTTCAAACCTGCTCTATGAATGGGAATGTTCAACACTGGGACTTCAATTGAAACATCCCAAAGCAGTTTCTGAGAATGCTTCTGTGTAGAGTTTACATGAAGACATTCCCGTTTCCAACGAAATCCTCAAAGCTATCCAAATATCCTCTTGCAGATTTTACAAAAAGTGTGTTTCAGAACTGCTCTATCAAAACAAAGGTTCAACACTGTCAGTTGAGGGCACACATCACAAATAAGTTTCTGAGAATGCTTACTCTGTCTAGTTTTCATGGGAAGATATTTCCTTTTTCACCATAGGCCTGAAAGCGATCCAAATGTCCACATCCAGATACTACAAAAAGAGTGTTTCAAACCTGATCTATGAAAGGGAATGTTCAACTCTGTGACTTGAATGCAAACATCACAAAGAAGTTTCTGAGAATGCTGCTGTCTGCTTTTTGTATGTAATCCCGTTTCCAACGAAATCCTCCCAGCTAGCCAAATATCCACTTGCAGATTCCGCAAAAAGAGTGTTTCAAAACTGCTCCTTCAAAACGATGGTTTAGTTCTGTTAGTTGAGTACATACATCACAGATAAGTTTCTGAGAATGCTTCTGTCTAGTTTTTATGGGAGGATATTTCCTTTTTCAACACAAGCCTGAATGCGCTCCGAATGGACACTTCCAGATATGACAAAAGGCGTGTTTCAAACCTGCTCTCTCAAAGGGAATGTTCAACTCTGTGACTTCAATGCAAACATCACAAAGAAGTTTCTGAGAATGCTGCTGTCTGCTTTTTACATGTATTCCCGTTTCCAACGAAATCCTCAAAGCTGCCCTAATATCCACTTGCATATTCCACAAAAAGAGTGTTGCAAAACTGCTCTCTCAAAAGAAAGGTTCAACTCTGTTAGCTGAGTAGATCCATCACATAAAAGTTTCTGACGTTGCTTCTATCTAGATTTTCTTGGAAGATATTTCCATTTTCACCGTCGTCCTGAAAGCGCTCCAAATGTCCACTTCCAGGGAATGCAGAAAGAGTGTTTCCAACCTGCTCTATAAAAGGGAATGTTCAACACTGGGACTTCAATCGAAACATCCCAACGAAGTTTCTGAGAATGCTTCTGTCTAGAGTTTATATGAAGCCATTCCCGTTTGCAACGAAATCCTCAAAGCTATCCAAATATCCTCTTGCAGATTTTACAAAAAGAGTGTTTCAAAACTGCTCTATCAAAAGAAAGGTTCAACTCTGTTAGTTGAGGGCACACATCACAAATAAATTTCTGAGAATGCTTCTGTCTAGTTTTTACGGGAAGATATTTCCTTTTTCACCATACGCCTGAAAGCGCTCCAAATGTCCTCATCCAGATACTACAAAAAGAGTGTTTCCAACCTGCTCTATGAAAGGGAATGCTCAACTCTGTGACTTGAATGCAGACATCACAAAGAAGTTTCTGAGAATGCTGCTGTCTCCTTTTTATATGTAATCCCGTTTCCAACGAAATCCTCAAAGCTAGCCAAATATCCACTTGCAGATTCCACGAAAACAGTGTTTCAAAACTGCTCCTTCAAAACGATGGTTCAATTCTGTTAGTTGAGCAAACACATCACAAGTAAGTTTCTGAGAATGCTTCCGTCTAGTTTTTATGGGAAGATATTTCCTTTTTCAACATAGGCCTGAAAGCGCTCCAAATGTCCACTTCCAGATACTACAAAAAGAGTGTTTCAAATCTGCTCTATGAATGGGAATGTTCTACTCTGTGACTTGAATGCAACATCCCAAAGAAGTTTCTGAGAATGCTTCTGTCTAGAGTTTATCTGAAGACATACCCGTTTCCAACGAAATCCTCAAAGCTATCCAAATATCCTCTTGCAGATTCTACAAAAAGAGTGTTTCAAAGCTGCTCTTTGCAAAGAAAGGTTCAACTCTGTCAGTAGAGGGCACACATCACGAACAAGTTTCTGAGAATGCTTCTGTCTAGTTTTTATGGGAAGATATTTCCTTTTTCACGTTAGGCCTGAAAGCACGCCAAATGTTCACTTATAGACACTACAAAAAGAGTGTTTCAAACCTGCTCTGTGAAAGGGAATGTTCAACACTGTGACTTCAATTGAAACATCCCAAAGAAGTTTCTGAGAATGCTTCTGTCTAGAGTTTATCTGAAGACATACCCGTTTCCAACGAAATCCTAAAAGCTATCCACATATCCTCTTGCAGATTCTACAAAAAGAGTGTTTCAAAGCTGCTCTTTGCAAAGAAAGGTTCAACTCTGTCAGTAGAGGGCACACATCGCGAACAAGTTTCTGAGAATGCTTCTGTCTAGTTTTTATGGGAAGATATTTCCTTTTTCACGTTAGGCCTGAAAGCACGCCAAATGTTCAATTATAGACACTACAAAAAGAGTGTTTCAAACCTGCTCTGTGAAAGGGAATGTTCAACACTGTGACTTCAATTGAAACATCCCAAAGAAGTTTCTGAGAATGCTTCTGTCTAGAGTTTATCTGAAGACATTCCCGTTTCCCAAGAAATCCTCAAAGCTATCCAAATATCCTCTTGCAGATTCTACAAAAAGAGTGTTTCAAAACTGCTCTTTGCAAAGAAAGGTTCAACTCTGTCAGTAGAGGGCACACATCACAAACAAGTTTCTGAGAATGCTTCTGTCTAGTTTTTATGGGAAGATATTTCCTTTTTCACCTTAGGCCTGAAAGCAATCCAAATGTTCACTTACAGACACTACAAAAAGAGTGTTTCAAACCTGCTCTGTGAAAGGGAGTGTTCAATTCTGTGACTTGAATGCAAACATCACAAAGTAGTTTCTGACAATGCTGCTGTCTGCTTTTTATACGTATTCCCGTTTCCAACGAAATCCTCCAAGCTGGCCTAATACCCACTTGCATATTCCACAAAAAGAGTGTTTCAAAACTGCTCTCTCAAAAGAAAGGTTCAACTCTGTTTGCTGAGTAGATACATCATGAAAAAAGTTCTGACATTGCTTCTATCTAGTTTTTATTGGAAGATATCTCCTTTTTCACCGTAGACCTGAAAGCGCTCCAAATGTCCACTTCCAGATAGTACAAAAAGAGTGTTTGAAACCTGCTCTATGAAAGGGAATGTTCAACACTGGGACTTCAATTGAAACATCCCAAAGCAGTTTCTGAGAATGCTTCTGTCTAGAGTTTACATGAAGACATTCCCGTTTCCAACGAAATCCTCAAAGCTATCCAAATATCCTCTTGCAGATTTTACAAAAAGTGTGTTTCAGAACTGCTCTATCAAAACAAAGGTTCAACACTGTCAGTTGAGGGCACACATCACAAATAAGTTTCTGAGAATGCTTCTGTCTAGTTTTCATGGGAAGATATTTCCTTTTTCACCATAGGCCTGAAAGCGATCCAAATGTCCACATCCAGATACTACAAAAAGAGTGTTTCCAACCTGCTCTATGAAAGGGAATGCTCAACTCTGTGAATTGAATGCAAACATCACAAAGAAGTTTCTGAGAATGCTGCTGTCTCCTTTTTATATGTAATCCCTTTTCCAACGAAATCCTCAAAGCTAGCCAAATATCCACTTGCAGATTCCACGAAAACAGTGTTTCAAAACTGCTCCTTCAAAACGATGGTTCAATCCTGTTAGTTGAGCAAACACATCACAAATAAGTTTCTGAGAATGCTTCCGTCTAGTTTTTATGGGAAGATATTTCCTTTTTCAACATAGGCCTGAAAGCGCTCCAAATGTCCACTTCCAGATACTACAAAAAGAGTGTTTCAAATCTGCTCTATGAATGGGAATGTTCTACTCTGTGACTTGAATGCAACATCCCAAAGAAGTTTCTGAGAATGCTTCTGTCTAGAGTTTAACTGAAGACATACCCGTTTCCAACGAAATCCTCAAAGCTATCCAAATATCCTCTTGCAGATTCTACAAACAGAGTGTTTCAAAGCTGCTCTTTGCAAAGAAAGGTTCAACTCTGTCAGTAGAGGGCACACATCACGAACAAGTTTCTGAGAATGCTTCTGTCTAGTTTTTATGGGAAGATATTTCCTTTTTCACGTTAGGCCTGAAAGCACGCCAAATGTTCACTTATAGACACTACAAAAAGAGTGTTTCAAACCTGCTCTGTGAAAGGGAATGTTCAACACTGTGACTTCAATTGAAACATCCCAAAGAAGTTTCTGAGAATGCTTCTGTCTAGAGTTTATCTGAAGACATTCCCGTTTCCCAAGAAATCCTCAAAGCTATCCAAATATCCTCTTGCAGATTCTACAAAAAGAGTGTTTCAAAACTGCTCTTTGCAAAGAAAGGTTCAACTCTGTCAGTAGAGGGCACACATCACAAACAAGTTTCTGAGAATGCTTCTGTCTAGTTTTTATGGGAAGATATTTCCTTTTTCACCTTACGCCTGAAAGCAATCCAAATGTTCACTTACAGACACTACAAAAAGAGTGTTTCAAACCTGCTCTGTGAAAGGGAGTGTTCAATTCTGTGACTTGAATGCAAACATCACAAAGTAGTTTCTGACAATGCTGCTGTCTGCTTTTTATACGTATTCCCGTTTCCAACGAAATCCTCCAAGCTGGCCTAATACCCACTTGCATATTCCACAAAAAGAGTGTTTCAAAACTGCTCTCTCAAAAGAAAGGTTCAACTCTGTTTGCTGAGTAGATACATCATGAAAAAAGTTCTGACATTGCTTCTATCTAGTTGTTATTGGAAGATATCTCCTTTTTCACCGTAGACCTGAAAGCGCTCCAAATGTCCACTTCCAGATAGTACAAAAAGAGTGTTTCAAACCTGCTCTATGAAAGGGAATGTTCAACACTGGGACTTCAATTGAAACATCCCAAAGCAGTTTCTGAGAATGCTTCTGTCTAGAGTTTACATGAAGACATTCCCGTTTCCAACGAAATCCTCAAAGCTATCCAAATATCCTCTTGCAGATTTTACAAAAAGTGTGTTTCAAAACTGCTCTATCAAAACAAAGGTTCAACACTGTCAGTTGAGGGCACACATCACAAATAAGTTTCTGAGAATGCTTCTGTCTAGTTTTCATGGGAAGATATTTCCTTTTTCACCATAGGCCTGAAAGCGATCCAAATGTCCACATCCAGATACTACAAAAAGAGTGTTTCAAACCTGCTCTATGAAAGGGAATGTTCAACTCTGTGACTTGAATGCAAACATCACAAAGAAGTTTCTGAGAATGCTGCTGTCTGCTTTTTGTATGTAATCCCGTTTCCAACGAAATCCTCCCAGCTAGCCAAATATCCACTTGCAGATTCCGCAAAAAGAGTGTTTCAAAACTGCTCCTTCAAAACGATGGTTTAGTTCTGTTAGTTGAGTACATACATCACAGATAAGTTTCTGAGAATGCTTCTGTCTAGTTTTTATGGGAGGATATTTCCTTTTTCAACACAAGCCTGAATGCGCTCCGAATGGACACTTCCAGATATGACAAAAGGCGTGTTTCAAACCTGCTCTCTCAAAGGGAATGTTCAACTCTGTGACTTCAATGCAAACATCACAAAGAAGTTTCTGAGAATGCTGCTGTCTGCTTTTTACATGTATTCCCGTTTCCAACGAAATCCTCAAAGCTGCCCTAATATCCACTTGCATATTCCACAAAAAGAGTGTTGCAAAACTGCTCTCTCAAAAGAAAGGTTCAACTCTGTTAGCTGAGTAGATCCATCACATAAAAGTTTCTGACATTGCTTCTATCTAGATTTTCTTGGAAGATATTTCCATTTTCACCGTCGTCCTGAAAGCGCTCCAAATGTCCACTTCCAGGGAATGCAGAAAGAGTGTTTCCAACCTGCTCTATAAAAGGGAATGTTCAACACTGGGACTTCAATCGAAACATCCCAACGAAGTTTCTGAGAATGCTTCTGTCTAGAGTTTATATGAAGCCATTCCCGTTTGCAACGAAATCCTCAAAGCTATCCAAATATCCTCTTGCAGATTTTACAAAAAGAGTGTTTCAAAACTGCTCTATCAAAAGAAAGGTTCAACTCTGTTAGTTGAGGGCACACATCACAAATAAACTTCTGAGAATGCTTCTGTCTAGTTTTTACAGGAAGATATTTCCTTTTTCACCATAGGCCAGAAAGCGCTCCAAATGTCCTCATCCAGATACTACAAAAAGAGTGTTTCCAACCTGCTCTATGAAAGGGAATGCTCAACTCTGTGAATTGAATGCAGACATCACAAAGAAGTTTCTGAGAATGCTGCTGTCTCCTTTGTATATGTAATCCCATTTCCAACGAAATCCTCAAAGCTAGCCAAATATCCACTTGCAGATTCCACGAAAACAGTGTTTCAAAACTGCTCCTTCAAAACGATGGTTCAATCCTGTTAGTTGAGCAAACACATCACAAATAAGTTTCTGAGAATGCTTCCGTCTAGTTTTTATGGGAAGATATTTCCTTTTTCAACATAGGCCTGAAAGCGCTCCAAATGTCCACTTCCAGATACTACAAAAAGAGTGTTTCAAATCTGCTCTATGAATGGGAATGTTCTACTCTGTGACTTGAATGCAACATCCCAAAGAAGTTTCTGAGAATGCTTCTGTCTAGAGTTTATCTGAAGACATACCCGTTTCCAACGAAATCCTCCAAGCTATCCAAATATCCTCTTGCAGATTCTACAAAAAGAGTGTTTCAAAGCTGCTCTTTGCAAAGAAAGGTTCAACTCTGTCAGTAGAGGGGACACATCAAGAACAAGTTTCTGAGAATGCTTCTGTCTAGTTTTTATGGGAAGATATTTCCTTTTTCACGTTACGCCTGAAAGCACGCCAAATGTTCACTTATAGACACTACAAAAAGAGTGTTTCAAACCTGCTCTGTGAAAGGGAATGTTCAACACTGTGACTTCAATTGAAACATCCCAAAGAAGTTTCTGAGAATGCTTCTGTCTAGAGTTTATCTGAAGACATTCCCGTTTCCCAAGAAATCCTCAAAGCTATCCAAATATCCTCTTGCAGATTCTACAAAAAGAGTGTTTCAAAACTGCTCTTTGCAAAGAAAGGTTCAACTCTGTCAGTAGAGGGCACACATCACAAACAAGTTTCTGAGAATGCTTCTGTCTAGTTTTTATGGGAAGATATTTCCTTTTTCACCTTAGGCCTGAAAGCAATCCAAATGTTCACTTACAGACACTACAAAAAGAGTGTTTCAAACCTGCTCTGTGAAAGGGAGTGTTCAATTCTGTGACTTGAATGCAAACATCACAAAGTAGTTTCTGACAATGCTGCTGTCTGCTTTTTATACGTATTCCCGTTTCCAACGAAATCCTCCAAGCTGGCCTAATACCCACTTGCATATTCCACAAAGACTGTGTCAAAACTGCTCTCTCAAAAGAAAGGTTCAACTCTGTTTGCTGAGTAGATACATCATGAAAAAAGTTCTGACATTGCTTCTATCTAGTTTTTATTGGAAGATATCTCCTTTTTCACCGTAGACCTGAAAGCGCTCCAAATGTCCACTTCCAGATAGTAGAAAAAGAGTGTTTCAAACCTGCTCTATGAATGGGAATGTTCAACGCTGGGACTTCAATTGAAACATCCCAAAGCAGTTTCTGAGAATGCTTCTGTCTAGAGTTTACATGAAGACATTCCCGTTTCCAACGAAATCCTCAAAGCTATCCAAATATCCTCTTGCAGATTTTACAACAAGTGTGTTTCAGAACTGCTCTATCAAAACAAAGGTTCAACACTGTCAGTTGAGGGCACACATCACAAATAAGTTTCTGAGAATGCTGCTGTCTGCTTTTTGTATGTAATCCCGTTTCCAACGAAATCCTCCCAGCTAGCCAAATATCCACTTGCAGATTCCGCAAAAAGAGTGTTTCAAAACTGCTCCTTCAAAACGATGGTTTAGTTCTGTTACTTGAGTACATACATCACAAATAAGTTTCTGAGAATGCTTCTGTCTAGTTTTTATGGGAGGATATTTCCTTTTTCAACACAAGCCTGAATGCGCTCCGAATGGACACTTCCAGATATGACAAAAGGTGTGTTTCAAACCTGCTCTCTCAAAGGGAATGTTCAACTCTGTGACTTCAATGCAAACATCACAAAGAAGTTTCTGAGAATGCTGCTGTCTGCTTTTTACATGTATTCCCGTTTCCAACGAAATCCTCAAAGCTGCCCTAATATCCACTTGCATATTCCACAAAAAGAGTGTTGCAAAACTGCTCTCTCAAAAGAAAGGTTCAACTCTGTTAGCTGAGTAGATCCATCACATAAAAGTTTCTGACGTTGCTTCTATCTAGATTTTATTGGAAGATATTTCCATTTTCACCGTCGTCCTGAAAGCGCTCCAAATGTCCACTTCCAGGGAATGCAGAAAGAGTGTTTCCAACCTGCTCTATAAAAGGGAATGTTCAACACTGGGACTTCAATCGAAACATCCCAACGAAGTTTCTGAGAATGCTTCTGTCTAGAGTTTATATGAAGCCATTCCCGTTTGCAACGAAATCCTCAAAGCTATCCAAATATCCTCTTGCAGATTTTACAAAAAGAGTGTTTCAAAACTGCTCTATCAAAAGAAAGGTTCAACTCTGTTAGTTGAGGGCACACATCACAAATAAACTTCTGAGAATGCTTCTGTGTAGTTTTCAGGGGAAGATATATCCTTTTTCACCATAGGCCTGAAAGCGCTCCAAATGTCCACATCCAGATACTACAAAAAGAGTGTTTCAAACCTGCTCTATGAAAGGGAATGTTCAACTCTGTGACTTGAATGCAAACATCACAAAGAAGATTCTGGGAATGCTGCTGTCTGCTTTTTATATGTAATCCCGTTTCGAACGAAATCCTCAAAGCTAGACAAATATCCACTTGCAGATTCCACAAAAAGAGTGTTTCAAAACTGCTCTCTCAAAAGAAAGGTTCAACTCTGTTAGTTGAGTACACACATCACAAATAAGTTTCTGAGAATGCTTCTATCTAGTTTTTATGGGAGGATATTTCCTTTTTCAACACAAGCCGGAATGCGCTCCAAATGGACAACTTCCAGATATGACAAAAGGCGTGTTTCAAACCTGCTCTATGAAAGGGAATGTTCAAATCTGGGACTTCAATGCAAACATCACAAAGAAGTTTCTGAGAATGCTGCTGTCTGCTTTTTATATGCATTCCCGTTTCCAAGGAAATCCTCAAAGCTGGCTTAATATCCACTTGCATATTCCACAAAGAGACTGTTTTAAAACTGCTCTCTCAAAAGAAAGATTGATCTCTGTTAGCTGAGTAGATATATCATGAAAAAGTTTCTGACATTGCTTCTATGTAGCTTTTATTGGAAGATATTTCCTTTTTCACCGTAGTCCTGAGAGCGCTCTCAATGTCCACTTCCAGATACTACAAAAAGAGTGTTTCAAACCTGCTCTATGAAAGGGAATATTCAAATCTGTGACTTGAATGCAAACATCACAGAGAAGTTTCTGAGAATGCTGCTGTCTCCTTTTTATATGTAATCCCGTTTCCAACGAAATCCTCAAAGCTAGCCAAATATCCAGTTGCAGATTCCACGAAAACAGTGTTTCAAAACTGCTCCTTCAAAACGATGGTTCAATCCTGTTAGTTGAGCAAACACATCACAAATAAGTTTCAGAGAATGCTTCCGTCTAGTTTTTATGGGAAGATATTTCCTTTTTCAACATAGGCCTGAAAGCGCTCCAAATGTCCACTTCCAGATACTACAAAAAGAGTGTTTCAAATCTGCTCTATGAATGGGAATGTTCTACTCTGTGACTTGAATGCAACATCCCAAAGAAGTTTCTGAGAATGCTTCTGTCTAGAGTTTATCTGAAGACATACCCGTTTCCAACGAAATCCTCCAAGCTATCCAAATATCCTCTTGCAGATTCTACAAAAAGAGTGTTTCAAAGCTGCTCTTTGCAAAGAAAGGTTCAACTCTGTCAGTAGAGGGGACACATCAAGAACAAGTTTCTGAGAATGCTTCTGTCTAGTTTTTATGGGAAGATATTTCCTTTTTCACGTTAGGCCTGAAAGCACGCCAAATGTTCACTTATAGACACTACAAAAAGAGTGTTTCAAACCTGCTCTGTGAAAGGGAATGTTCAACACTGTGACTTCAATTGAAACATCCCAAAGAAGTTTCTGAGAATGCTTCTGTCTAGAGTTTATCTGAAGACATTCCCGTTTCCCAAGAAATCCTCAAAGCTCTCCAAATATCCTCTTGCAGATTCTACAAAAAGAGTGTTTCAAAACTGCTCTTTGCAAAGAAAGGTTCAACTCTGTCAGTAGAGGGCACACATCACAAACAAGTTTCTGAGAATGCTTCTGTCTAGTTTTTATGGGAAGATATTTCCTTTTTCACCTTAGGCCTGAAAGCAATCCAAATGTTCACTTACAGACACTACAAAAAGAGTGTTTCAAACCTGCTCTGTGAAAGGCAGTGTTCCATTCTGTGACTTGCATGCAAACATCACAAAGTAGTTTCTGACAATGCTGCTGTCTGCTTTTTATACGTATTCCCGTTTCCAACGAAATCCTCCAAGCTGGCCTAATACCCACTTGCATATTCCACAGAAAGAGTGTTTCAAAACTGCTCTCTCAAAAGAAAGGTTCAACTCTGTTTGCTGAGTAGATACATCATGAAAAAAGTTCTGACATTGCTTCTATCTAGTTTTTATTGGAAGATATCTCCTTTTTCACCGTAGACCTGAAAGCGCTCCAAATGTCCACTTCCAGATAGTACAAAAAGAGTGTTTCAAACCTGCTCTATGAAAGGGAATGTTCAACACTGGGACTTCAATTGAAACATCCCAAAGCAGTTTCTGGGAATGCTTCTGTCCAGAGTTTACATGAAGACATTCCCGTTTCCAACGAAATCCTCAAAGCTATCCAAATATCCTCTTGCAGATTTTACAAAAAGTGTGTTTCAGAACTGCTCTATCAAAACAAAGGTTCAACACTGTCAGTTGAGGGCACACATCACAAATAAGTTTCTGAGAATGCTTCTGTCTAGTTTTCATGGGAAGATATTTCCTTTTTCACCATAGGCCTGAAAGCGATCCAAATGTCCACATCCAGATACTACAAAAAGAGTGTTTCAAACCTGCTCTATGAAAGGGAATGTTCAACTCTGTGACTTGAATGCAAACATCACAAAGAAGTTTCTGAGAATGCTGCTGTCTGCTTTTTGTATGTAATCCCGTTTCCAACGAAATCCTCCCAGCTAGCCAAATATCCACTTGCAGATTCCGCAAAAAGAGTGTTTCAAAACTGCTCCTTCAAAACGATGGTTTAGTTCTGTTAGTTGAGTACATACATCACAGATAAGTTTCTGAGAATGCTTCTGTCTAGTTTTTCTGGGAGGATATTTCCTTTTTCAACACAAGCCTGAATGCGCTCCGAATGGACACTTCCAGATATGACAAAAGGCGTGTTTCAAACCTGCTCTCTCAAAGGGAATGTTCTACTACTGTGACTTCAATGCAAACATCACAAAGAAGTTTGCTGAGAATGCTTGCTGTCTGCTTTTTACATGTATTCCCGTTTCCAACGAAATCCTCAAAGCTGCCCTAATATCCACTTGCATATTCCACAAAAAGAGTGTTGCAAAACTGCTCTCTCAAAAGAAAGGTTCAACTCTGTTAGCTGAGTAGATCCATCACATAAAAGTTTCTGACATTGCTTCTATCTAGATTTTCTTGGAAGATATTTCCATTTTCACCGTCGTCCTGAAAGCGCTCCAAATGTCCACTTCCAGGGAATGCAGAAAGAGTGTTTCCAACCTGCTCTATAAAAGGGAATGTTCAACACTGGGACTTCAATCGAAACATCCCAACGAAGTTTCTGAGAATGCTTTCTGTCTAGAGTTTATATGAAGCCATTCCCGTTTGCAACGAAATCCTCAAAGCTATCCAAATATCCTCTTGCAGATTTTACAAAAAGAGTGTTTCAAAACTGCTCTATCAAAAGAAAGGTTCAACTCTGTTAGTTGAGGGCACACATCACAAATAAACTTCTGAGAATGCTTCTGTCTAGTTTTTACAGGAAGATATTTCCTTTTTCACCATAGGCCAGAAAGCGCTCCAAATGTCCTCATCCAGATACTACAAAAAGAGTGTTTCCAACCTGCTCTATGAAAGGGAATGCTCAACTCTGTGAATTGAATGCAGACATCACAAAGAAGTTTCTGAGAATGCTGCTGTCTCCTTTGTATATGTAATCCCATTTCCAACGAAATCCTCAAAGCTAGCCAAATATCCACTTGCAGATTCCACGAAAACAGTGTTTCAAAACTGCTCCTTCAAAACGATGGTTCAATCCTGTTAGTTGAGCAAACACATCACAAATAAGTTTCTGAGAATGCTTCCGTCTAGTTTTTATGGGAAGATATTTCCTTTTTCAACATAGGCCTGAAAGCGCTCCAAATGTCCACTTCCAGATACTACAAAAAGAGTGTTTCAAATCTGCTCTATGAATGGGAATGTTCTACTCTGTGACTTGAATGCAACATCCCAAAGAAGTTTCTGAGAATGCTTCTGTCTAGAGTTTATCTGAAGACATACCCGTTTCCAACGAAATCCTCAAAGCTATCCAAATATCCTCTTGCAGATTCTACAAAAAGTGTGTTTCAAAGCTGCTCTTTGCAAAGAAAGGTTCAACTCTGTCAGTAGAGGGGACACATCAAGAACAAGTTTCTGAGAATGCTTCTGTCTAGTTTTTATGGGAAGATATTTCCTTTTTCACGTTAGGCCTGAAAGCACGCCAAATGTTCACTTATAGACACTACAAAAAGAGTGTTTCAAACCTGCTCTGTGAAAGGGAATGTTCAACACTGTGACTTCAATTGAAACATCCCAAAGAAGTTTCTGAGAATGCTTCTGTCTAGAGTTTATCTAAAGACATTCCCGTTTCCCAAGAAATCTTCAAAGCTATCCAAATATCCTCTTGCAGATTCTACAAAAAGAGTGTTTCAAAACTGCTCTTTGCAAAGAAAGGTTCAACTCTGTCAGTAGAGGGCACACATCACAAACAAGTTTCTGAGAATGCTTCTGTCTAGTTTTTATGGGAAGATATTTCCTTTTTCACCTTAGGCCTGAAAGCAATCCATATGTTCACTTACAGACACTACAAAAAGAGTGTTTCAAACCTGCTCTGTGAAAGGGAGTGTTCAATTCTGTGACTTGAATGCAAACATCACAAAGTAGTTTCTGACAATGCTGCTGTCTGCTTTTTATACGTATTCCCGTTTCCAACGAAATCCTCCAAGCTGGCCTAATACCCACTTGCATATTCCACAAAAAGAGTGTTTCAAAACTGCTCTCTCAAAAGAAAGGTTCAACTCTGTTAGCTGAGTAGATACATCATGAAAAAAGTTCTGACATTGCTTCTATCTAGTTTTTATTGGAAGATATCTCCTTTTTCACCGTAGACCTGAAAGCGCTCCAAATGTCCACTTCCAGATAGTACAAAAAGAGTGTTTCAAACCTGCTCTATGAATGGGAATGTTCAACACTGGGACTTCAATTGAAACATCCCAAAGCAGTTTCTGAGAATGCTTCTGTGTAGAGTTTACATGAAGACATTCCCGTTTCCAACGAAATCCTCAAAGCTATCCAAATATCCTCTTGCAGATTTTACAAAAAGTGTGTTTCAGAACTGCTCTATCAAAACAAAGGTTCAACACTGTCAGTTGAGGGCACACATCACAAATAAGTTTCTGAGAATGCTTCTGTCTAGTTTTCATGGGAAGATATTTCCTTTTTCACCATAGGCCTGAAAGCGATCCAAATGTCCACATCCAGATACTACAAAAAGAGTGTTTCAAACCTGCTCTATGAAAGGGAATGTTCAACTCTGTGACTTGAATGCAAACATCACAAAGAAGTTTCTGAGAATGCTGCTGTCTGCTTTTTGTATGTAATCCCGTTTCCAACGAAATCCTCCCAGCTAGCCAAATATCCACTTGCAGATTCCGCAAAAAGAGTGTTTCAAAACTGCTCCTTCAAAACGATGGTTTAGTTCTGTTAGTTGAGTACATACATCACAGATAAGTTTCTGAGAATGCTTCTGTCTAGTTTTTATGGGAGGATATTTCCTTTTTCAACACAAGCCTGAATGCGCTCCGAATGGACACTTCCAGATATGACAAAAGGCGTGTTTCAAACCTGCTCTCTCAAAGGGAATGTTCAACTCTGTGACTTCAATGCAAACATCACAAAGAAGTTTCTGAGAATGCTGCTGTCTGCTTTTTACATGTATTCCCGTTTCCAACGAAATCCTCAAAGCTGCCCTAATATCCACTTGCATATTCCACAAAAAGAGTGTTGCAAAACTGCTCTCTCAAAAGAAAGGTTCAACTCTGTTAGCTGAGTAGATCCATCACAGAAAAGTTTCTGACGTTGCTCTATCCAGATTTTATTGGAAGATATTTCCATTTTCACCGTCGTCCTGAAAGCGCTCCAATTGTCCACTTCCAGGGAATGCAGAAAGAGTGTTTCCAACCTGCTCTATAAAAGGGAATGTTCAACACTGGGACTTCAATCGAAACATCCCGACGAAGTTTCTGAGAATGCTTTCTGTCTAGAGTTTATATGAAGCCATTCCCGTTTGCAACGAAATCCTCAAAGCTATCCAAATATCCTCTTGCAGATTTTACAAAAAGAGTGTTTCAAAACTGCTCTATCAAAAGAAAGGTTCAACTCTGTTAGTTGAGGGCACACATCACAAATAAATTTCTGAGAATGCTTCTGTCTAGTTTTTACGGGAAGATATTTCCTTTTTCACCATAGGCCTGAAAGCGCTCCAAATGTCCTCATCCAGATACTACAAAAAGAGTGTTTCCAACCTGCTCTATGAAAGGGAATGCTCAACTCTGTGACTGGAATGCAGACATCACAAAGAAGTTTCTGAGAATGCTGCTGTCTCCTTTTTATATGTAATCCCGTTTCCAACGAAATCCTCAAAGCTAGCCAAATATCCACTTGCAGATTCCACGAAAACAGTGTTTCAAAACTGCTCCTTCAAAACGATGGTTCAATCCTGTTAGTTGAGCAAACACATCACAAATAAGTTTCTGAGAATGCTTCCGTCTAGTTTTTATGGGAAGATATTTCCTTTTTCAACATAGGCCTGAAAGCGCTCCAAATGTCCACTTCCAGATACTACAAAAAGAGTGTTTCAAATCTGCTCTATGAATGGGAATGTTCTACTCTGTGACTTGAATGCAACATCCCAAAGAAGTTTCTGAGAATGCTTCTGTCTAGAGTTTATCTGAAGACATACCCGTTTCCAACGAAATCCTCAAAGCTATCCAAATATCCTCTTGCAGATTCTACAAAAAGTGTGTTTCAAAGCTGCTCTTTGCAAAGAAAGGTTCAACTCTGTCAGTAGAGGGCACACATCACGAACAAGTTTCTGAGAATGCTTCTGTCTAGTTTTTATGGGAAGATATTTCCTTTTTCACGTTACGCCTGAAAGCACGCCAAATGTTCACTTATAGACACTACAAAAAGAGTGTTTCAAACCTGCTCTGTGAAAGGGAATGTTCAACACTGTGACTTCAATTGAAACATCCCAAAGAAGTTTCTGAGAATGCTTCTGTCTAGAGTTTATCTGAAGACATTCCCGTTTCCCAAGAAATCCTCAAAGCTATCCAAATATCCTCTTGCAGATTCTACAAAAAGAGTGTTTCAAAACTGCTCTTTGCAAAGAAAGGTTCAACTCTGTCAGTAGAGGGCACACATCACAAACAAGTTTCTGAGAATGCTTCTGTCTAGTTTTTATGGGAAGATATTTCCTTTTTCACCTTAGGCCTGAAAGCAATCCAAATGTTCACTTACAGACACTACAAAAAGAGTGTTTCAAACCTGCTCTGTGAAAGCGAGTGTTCAATTCTGTGACTTGAATGCAAACATCACAAAGTAGTTTCTGACAATGCTGCTGTCTGCTTTTTATACGTATTCCCGTTTCCAACGAAATCCTCCAAGCTGGCCTAATACCCACTTGCATATTCCACAAAAAGAGTGTTTCAAAACTGCTCTCTCAAAAGAAAGGTTCAACTCTGTTTGCTGAGTAGATACATCATGAAAAAAGTTCTGACATTGCTTCTATCTAGTTGTTATTGGAAGATATCTCCTTTTTCACCGTAGACCTGAAAGCGCTCCAAATGTCCACTTCCAGATAGTACAAAAAGAGTGTTTCAAACCTGCTCTATGAAAGGGAATGTTCAACACTGGGACTTCAATTGAAACATCCCAAAGCAGTTTGCTGAGAATGCTTCTGTCTAGAGTTTACATGAAGACATTCCCGTTTCCAACGAAATCCTCAAAGCTATCCCAATATCCTCTTGCAGATTTTACAAAAAGTGTGTTTCAGAACTGCTCTATCAAAACAAAGGTTCAACACTGTCAGTTGAGGGCACACATCACAAATAAGTTTCTGAGAATGCTTCTGTCTAGTTTTCATGGGAAGATATTTCCTTTTTCACCATAGGCCTGAAAGCGATCCAAATGTCCACATCCAGATACTACAAAAAGAGTGTTTCAAACCTGCTCTATGAAAGGGAATGTTCAACTCTGTGACTTGAATGCAAACATCACAAAGAAGTTTCTGAGAATGCTGCTGTCTGCTTTTTGTATGTAATCCCGTTTCCAACGAAATCCTCCCAGCTAGCCAAATATCCACTTGCAGATTCCGCAAAAAGAGTGTTTCAAAACTGCTCCTTCAAAACGATGGTTTAGTTCTGTTAGTTGAATACATACATCACAGATAAGTTTCTGAGAATGCTTCTGTCTAGTTTTTATGGGAGGATATTTCCTTTTTCAACACAAGCCTGAATGTGCTCCGAATGGACACTTCCAGATATGACAAAAGGCGTGTTTCAAACCTGCTCTCTCAAAGGGAATGTTCAACTCTGTGACTTCAATGCAAACATCACAAAGAAGTTTCTGAGAATGCTGCTGTCTGCTTTTTACATGTATTCCCGTTTCCAACGAAATCCTCAAAGCTGCCCTAATATCCACTTGCATATTCCACAAAAAGAGTGTTGCAAAACTGCTCTCTCAAAAGAAAGGTTCAACTCTGTTAGCTGAGTAGATCCATCACAGAAAAGTTTCTGACGTTGCTTCTATCTAGATTTTCTTGGAAGATATTTCCATTTTCACCGTCGTCCTGAAACCGCTCCAAATGTCCACTTCCAGGGAATGCAGAAAGAGTGTTTCCAACCTGCTCTATAAAAGGGAATGTTCAACACTGGGACTTCAATCGAAACATCCCAACGAGGTTTCTGAGAATGCTTCTGTCTAGAGTTTATATGAAGCCATTCCCGTTTGCAACGAAATCCTCAAAGCTATCCAAATATCCTCTTGCAGATTTTACAAAAAGAGTGTTTCAAAACTGCTCTATCAAAAGAAAGGTTCAACTCTGTTAGTTGAGGGCACACATCACAAATAAATTTCTGAGAATGCTTCTGTCTAGTTTTTACGGGAAGATATTTCCTTTTTCACCATAGGCCTGAAAGCGCTCCAAATGTCCTCATCCAGATACTACAAAAAGAGTGTTTCCAACCTGCTCTATGAAAGGGAATGCTCAACTCTGTGACTTGAATTTAGACATCACAAAGAAGTTTCTGAGAATGCTTGCTGTCTCCTTTTTATATGTAATCCCGTTTCCAACGAAATCCTCAAAGCTAGCCAAATATCCACTTGCAGATTCCACGAAAACAGTGTTTCAAAACTGCTCCTTCAAAACGATGGTTCAATTCTGTTAGTTGAGCAAACACATCACAAGTAAGTTTCTGAGAATGCTTCCGTCTAGTTTTTATGGGAAGATATTTCCTTTTTCAACATAGGCCTGAAAGCGCTCCAAATGTCCACTTCCAGATACTACAAAAAGAGTGTTTCAAATCTGCTCTATGAATGGGAATGTTCTACTCTGTGACTTGAATGCAACATCCCAAAGAAGTTTCTGAGAATGCTTCTGTCTAGAGTTTATCTGAAGACATACCCGTTTCCAACGAAATCCTCAAAGCTATCCAAATATCCTCTTGCAGATTCTACAAAAAGAGTGTTTCAAAGATGCTCTTTGCAAAGAAAGGTTCAACTCTGTCAGTAGAGGGCACACATCATGAACAAGTTTCTGAGAATGCTTCTGTCTGGTTTTTATGGGAAGATATTTCCTTTTTCACGTTACGCCTGAAAGCACGCCAAATGTTCACTTATAGACACTACAAAAAGAGTGTTTCAAACCTGCTCTGTGAAAGGGAATGTTCAACACTGTGACTTCAATTGAAACATCCCAAAGAAGTTTCTGAGAATGCTTCTGTCTAGAGTTTATCTGAAGACATTCCCGTTTCCCAAGAAATCCTCAAAGCTATCCAAATATCCTCTTGCAGATTCTACAAAAAGAGTGTTTCAAAACTGCTCTTTGCAAAGAAAGGTTCAACTCTGTCAGTAGAGGGCACACATCACAAACAAGTTTCTGAGAATGCTTCTGTCTAGTTTTTATGGGAAGATATTTCCTTTTTCACCTTAGGCCTGAAAGCAATCCAAATGTTCACTTACAGACACTACAAAAAGAGTGTTTCAAACCTGCTCTGTGAAAGGGAGTGTTCAATTCTGTGACTTGAATGCAAACATCACAAAGTAGTTTCTGACAATGCTGCTGTCTGCTTTTTATACGTATTCCCGTTTCCAACGAAATCCTCCAAGCTGGCCTAATACCCACTTGCATATTCCACAAAAAGAGTGTTTCAAAACTGCTCTCTCAAAAGAAAGGTTCAACTCTGTTTGCTGAGTAGATACATCATGAAAAAAGTTCTGACATTGCTTCTATCTAGTTTTTATTGGAAGATATCTCCTTTTTCACCGTAGACCTGAAAGCGCTCCAAATGTCCACTTCCAGATAGTACAAAAAGAGTGTTTCAAACCTGCTCTATGAAAGGGAATGTTCAACACTGGGACTTCAATTGAAACATCCCAAAGCAGTTTCTGAGAATGCTTCTGTCTAGAGTTTACATGAAGACATTCCCGTTTCCAACGAAATCCTCAAAGCTATCCAAATATCCTCTTGCAGATTTTACAAAAAGTGTGTTTCAGAACTGCTCTATCAAAACAAAGGTTCAACACTGTCAGTTGAGGGCACACATCACAAATAAGTTTCTGAGAATGCTTCTGTCTAGTTTTCATGGGAAGATATTTCCTTTTTCACCATAGGCCTGAAAGCGATCCAAATGTCCACATCCAGATACTACAAAAAGAGTGTTTCAAACCTGCTCTATGAAAGGGAATGTTCAACTCTGTGACTTGAATGCAAACATCACAAAGAAGTTTCTGAGAATGCTGCTGTCTGCTTTTTGTATGTAATCCCGTTTCCAACGAAATCCTCCCAGCTAGCCAAATATCCACTTGCAGATTCCGCAAAAAGAGTGTTTCAAAACTGCTCCTTCAAAACGATGGTTTAGTTCTGTTAGTTGAGTACATACATCACAGATAAGTTTCTGAGAATGCTTCTGTCTAGTTTTTATGGGAGGATATTTCCTTTTTCAACACAAGCCTGAATGCGCTCCGAATGGACACTTCCAGATATGACAAAAGGCGTGTTTCAAACCTGCTCTCTCAAAGGGAATGTTCAACTCTGTGACTTCAATGCAAACATCACAAAGAAGTTTCTGAGAATGCTGCTGTCTGCTTTTTACATGTATTCCCGTTTCCAACGAAATCCTCAAAGCTGCCCTAATATCCACTTGCATATTCCACAAAAAGAGTGTTGCAAAACTGCTCTCTCAAAAGAAAGGTTCAACTCTGTTAGCTGAGTAGATCCATCACAGAAAAGTTTCTGACATTGCTTCTATCTAGATTTTATTGGAAGATATTTCCATTTTCACCGTCGTCCTGAAAGCGCTCCAAATGTCCACTTCCAGGGAATGCAGAAAGAGTGTTTCCAACCTGCTCTATAAAAGGGAATGTTCAACACTGGGACTTCAATCGAAACATCCCAACGAAGTTTCTGAGAATGCTTCTGTCTAGAGTTTATATGAAGCCATTCCCGTTTGCAACGAAATCCTCAAAGCTATCCAAATATCCTCTTGCAGATTTTACAAAAAGAGTGTTTCAAAACTGCTCTATCAAAAGAAAGGTTCAACTCTGTTAGTTGAGGGCACACATCACAAATAAATTTCTGAGAATGCTTCTGTCTAGTTTTCATGGGAAGATATTTCCTTTTTCACCATAGGCCTGAAAGCGAACCAAATGTCCACATCCAGATACTACAAAAAGAGTGTTTCCAACCTGCTCTATGAAAGGGAATGCTCAACTCTGTGAATTGAATGCAGACATCACAAAGAAGTTTCTCAGAATGCTGCTGTCTCCTTTTTATAGGTAATCCCGTTTCCAACGAAATCCTCAAAGCTAGCCAAATATCCACTTGCAGATTCCACGAAAACAGTGTTTCAAAACTGCTCCTTCAAAACGATGGTTCTATTCTGTTAGTTGAGCAAACACATCAGAAATAAGTTTCTGAGAATGCTTCCGTCTAGTTTTTATGGGAAGATATTTCCTTTTTCAACATAGGCCTGAAAGTGCTCCAAATGTCCACTTCCAGATACTACAAAAAGAGTGTTTCAAATCTGCTCTATGAATGGGAATGTTCTACTCTGTGACTTGAATGCAACATCCCAAAGAAGTTTCTGAGAATGCTTCTGTCTAGAGTTTATCTGAAGACATACCCGTTTCCAACGAAATCCTCAAAGCTATCCAAATATCCTCTTGCAGATTCTACAAAAAGAGTGTTTCAAAGCTGCTCTTTGCAAAGAAAGGTTCAACTCTGTCAGTAGAGGGCACACATCATGAACAAGTTTCTGAGAATGCTTCTGTCTAGTTTTTATGGGAAGATATTTCCTTTTTCACGTTAGGCCTGAAAGCACGCCAAATGTTCACTTATAGACACTACAAAAAGAGTGTTTCAAACCTGCTCTGTGAAAGGGAATGTTCAACACTGTGACTTCAATTGAAACATCCCAAAGAAGTTTCTGAGAATGCTTCTGTCTAGAGTTTTTCTGAAGACATTCCCGTTTCCCAAGAAATCTTCAAAGCTATCCAAATATCCTCTTGCAGATTCTACAAAAAGAGTGTTTCAAAACTGCTCTTTGCAAAGAAAGGTTCAACTCTGTCAGTAGAGGGCACACATCACAAACAAGTTTCTGAGAATGCTTCTGTCTAGTTTTTATGGGAAGATATTTCCTTTTTCACCTTAGGCCTGAAAGCAATCCATATGTTCACTTACAGACACTACAAAAAGAGTGTTTCAAACCTGCTCTGTGAAAGGGAGTGTTCAATTCTGTGACTTGAATGCAAACATCACAAAGTAGTTTCTGACAATGCTGCTGTCTGCTTTTAATACGTATTCCCGTTTCCAACGAAATCCTCCAAGCTGGCCTAATACCCACTTGCATATTCCACAAAAAGAGTGTTTCAAAACTGCTCTCTCAAAAGAAAGGTTCAACTCTGTTTGCTGAGTAGATACATCATGAAAAACTTCTGACATTGCTTCTATCTAGTTTTTATTGGAAGATATCTCCTTTTTCACCGTAGACCTGAAAGCGCTCCAAATGTCCACTTCCAGATAGTACAAAAAGAGTGTTTCAAACCTGCTCTATGAATGGGAATGTTCAACACTGGGACTTCAATTGAAACATCCCAAAGCAGTTTCTGAGAATGCTTCTGTCTAGAGTTTACATGAAGACATTCCCGTTTCCAACGAAATCCTCAAAGCTATCCAAATATCCTCTTGCAGATTTTACAAAAAGTGTGTTTCAGAACTGCTCTATCAAAACAAAGGTTCAACACTGTCAGTTGAGGGCACACATCACAAATAAGTTTCTGAGAATGCTTCTGTCTAGTTTTCATGGGAAGATATTTCCTTTTTCACCATAGGCCTGAAAGCGATCCAAATGTCCACATCCAGATACTACAAAAAGAGTGTTTCAAACCTGCTCTATGAAAGGGAATGTTCAACTCTGTGACTTGAATGCAAACATCACAAAGAAGTTTCTGAGAATGCTGCTGTCTGCTTTTTGTATGTAATCCCGTTTCCAACGAAATCCTCCCAGCTAGCCAAATATCCACTTGCAGATTCCGCAAAAAGAGTGTTTCAAAACTGCTCCTTCAAAACGATGGTTTAGTTCTGTTAGTTGAGTACATACATCACAGATAAGTTTCTGAGAATGCTTCTGTCTAGTTTTTATGGGAGGATATTTCCTTTTTCAACACAAGCCTGAATGCGCTCCGAATGGACACTTCCAGATATGACAAAAGGCGTGTTTCAAACCTGCTCTCTCAAAGGGAATGTTCAACTCTGTGACTTCAATGCAAACATCACAAAGAAGTTTCTGAGAATGCTGCTGTCTGCTTTTTACATGTATTCCCGTTTCCAACGAAATCCTCAAAGCTGCCCTAATATCCACTTGCATATTCCACAAAAAGAGTGTTGCAAAACTGCTCTCTCAAAAGAAAGGTTCAACTCTGTTAGCTGAGTAGATCCATCACATAAAAGTTTCTGACGTTGCTTCTATCTAGATTTTCTTGGAAGATATTTCCATTTTCACCGTCGTCCTGAAAGCGCTCCAAATGTCCACTTCCAGGGAATGCAGAAAGAGTGTTTCCAACCTGCTCTATAAAAGGGAATGTTCAACACTGGGACTTCAATCGAAACATCCCAACGAAGTTTCTGAGAATGCTTCTGTCTAGAGTTTATATGAAGCCATTCCCGTTTGCAACGAAATCCTCAAAGCTATCCAAATATCCTCTTGCAGATTTTACAAAAAGAGTGTTTCAAAACTGCTCTATCAAAAGAAAGGTTCAACTCTGTTAGTTGAGGGCACACATCACAAATAAATTTCTGAGAATGCTTCTGTCTAGTTTTCATGGGAAGATATTTCCTTTTTCACCATACGCCTGAAAGCGATCCAAATGTCCACATCCAGATACTACAAAAAGAGTGTTTCAAACCTGCTCTATGAAAGGGAATGTTCAACTCTGTGACTTGAATGCAAACATCACAAAGAAGTTTCTGAGAATGCTGCTGTCTGCTTTTTGTATGTAATCCCGTTTCCAACGAAATCCTCCCAGCTAGCCAAATATCCACTTGCAGATTCCGCAAAAAGAGTTTTTCAAAACTACTCCTTCAAAACGATGGTTTAGTTCTGTTAGTTGAGTACATACATCACAGATAAGTTTCTGAGAATGCTTCTGTCTAGTTTTTCTGGGAGGATATTTCCTTTTTCAACACAAGCCTGAATGCGCTCCGAATGGACACTTCCAGATATGACAAAAGGCGTGTTTCAAACCTGCTCTCTCAAAGGGAATGTTCAACTCTGTGACTTCAATGCAAACATCACAAAGAAGTTTCTGAGAATGCTGCTGTCTGCTTTTTACATGTATTCCCGTTTCCAACGAAATCCTCAAAGCTGCCCTAATATCCACTTGCATATTCCACAAAAAGAGTGTTGCAAAACTGCTCTCTCAAAAGAAAGGTTCAACTCTGTTAGCTGAGTAGATCCATCACAGAAAAGTTTCTGACGTTGCTTCTATCTAGATTTTCTTGGAAGATATTTCCATTTTCACCGTCGTCCTGAAAGCGCTCCAAATGTCCACTTCCAGGGAATGCAGAAAGAGTGTTTCCAACCTGCTCTATAAAAGGGAATGTTCAACACTGGGACTTCAATCGAAACATCCCAACGAAGTTTCTGAGAATGCTTCTGTCTAGAGTTTATATGAAGCCATTCCCGTTTGCAACGAAATCCTCAAAGCTATCCAAATATCCTCTTGCAGATTTTACAAAAAGAGTGTTTCAAAACTGCTCTATCAAAAGAAAGGTTCAACTCTGTTAGTTGAGGGCACACATCACAAATAAACTTCTGAGAATGCTTCTGTCTAGTTTTTACAGGAAGATATTTCCTTTTTCACCATAGGCCAGAAAGCGCTCCAAATGTCCTCATCCAGATACTACAAAAAGAGTGTTTCCAACCTGCTCTATGAAAGGGAATGCTCAACTCTGTGAATTGAATGCAGACATCACAAAGTAGTTTCTGAGAATGCTGCTGTCTCCTTTGTATATGTAATCCCATTTCCAACGAAATCCTCAAAGCTAGCCAAATATCCACTTGCAGATTCCACGAAAACAGTGTTTCAAAACTGCTCCTTCAAAACGATGGTTCAATCCTGTTAGTTGAGCAAACACATCACAAATAAGTTTCTGAGAATGCTTCCGTCTAGTTTTTATGGGAAGATATTTCCTTTTTCAACATAGGCCTGAAAGCGCTCCAAATGTCCACTTCCAGATACTACAAAAAGAGTGTTTCAAATCTGCTCTATGAATGGGAATGTTCTACTCTGTGACTTGAATGCAACATCCCAAAGAAGTTTCTGAGAATGCTTCTGTCTAGAGTTTATCTGAAGACATACCCGTTTCCAAGGAAATCCTCCAAGCTATCCAAATATCCTCTTGTAGATTCTACAGAAAGAGTGTTTCAAAGCTGCTCTTTGCAAAGAAAGGTTCAACTCTGTCAGTAGAGGGCACACATCACGAACAAGTTTCTGAGAATGCTTCTGTCTAGTTTTTATGGGAAGATATTTCCTTTTTCACGTTAGGCCTGAAAGCACGCCAAATGTTCACTTATAGACACTACAAAAAGAGTGTTTCAAACCTGCTCTGTGAAAGGGAATGTTCAACACTGTGACTTCAATTGAAACATCCCAAAGAAGTTTCTGAGAATGCTTCTGTCTAGAGTTTATCTGAAGACATACCCGTTTCCAACGAAATCCTCAAAGCTATCCACATATCCTCTTGCAGATTCTACAAAAAGAGTGTTTCAAAGCTGCTCTTTGCAAAGAAAGGTTCAACTCTGTCAGTAGAGGGCACACATCACAAACAAGTTTACTGAGAATGCTTCTGTCTAGTTTTTATGGGAAGATATTTCCTTTTTCACGTTAGGCCTGAAAGCACGCCAAATGTTCAATTATAGACACTACAAAAAGAGTGTTTCAAACCTGCTCTGTGAAAGGGAATGTTCAACACTGTGACTTCAATTGAAACATCCCAAAGAAGTTTCTGAGAATGCTTCTGTCTAGAGTTTATCTGAAGACATTCCCGTTTCCCAAGAAATCCTCAAAGCTATCCAAATATCCTCTTGCAGATTCTACAAAAAGAGTGTTTCAAAACTGCTCTTTGCAAAGAAAGTTTCAACTCTGTCAGTAGAGGGCACACATCACAAACAAGTTTGCTGAGAATGCTTCTGTCTAGTTTTTATGGGAAGATATTTCCTTTTTCACCTTAGGCCTGAAGCAATCCAAATGTTCACTTACAGACACTACAAAAAGAGTGTTTCAAACCTGCTCTGTGAAAGGGAGTGTTCAATTCTGTGACTTGAATGCAAACATCACAAAGTAGTTTCTGACAATGCTGCTGTCTGCTTTTTATACGTATTCCCGTTTCCAACGAAATCCTCCAAGCTGGCCTAATACCCACTTGCATATTCCACAAAAAGAGTGTTTCAAAACTGCTCTCTCAAAAGAAAGGTTCAACTCTGTTTGCTGAGTAGATACATCATGAAAAAAGTTCTGACATTGCTTCTATCTAGTTTTTATTGGAAGATATCTCCTTTTTCACCGTAGACCTGAAAGCGCTCCAAATGTCCACTTCCAGATAGTACAAAAAGAGTGTTTCAAACCTGCTCTATGAAAGGGAATGTTCAACACTGGGACTTCAATTGAAACATCCCAAAGCAGTTTCTGAGAATGCTTCTGTCTAGAGTTTACATGAAGACATTCCCGTTTCCAACGAAATCCTCAAAGCTATCCAAATATCCTCTTGCAGATTTTACAAAAAGTGTGTTTCAAAACTGCTCTATCAAAACAAAGGTTCAACACTGTCAGTTGAGGGCACACATCACAAATAAGTTTCTGAGAATGCTTCTGTCTAGTTTTCATGGGAAGATATTTCCTTTTTCACCATAGGCCTGAAAGCGATCCAAATGTCCACATCCAGATACTACAAAAAGAGTGTTTCAAACCTGCTCTATGAAAGGGAATGTTCAACTCTGTGACTTGAATGCAAACATCACAAAGAAGTTTCTGAGAATGCTGCTCTCTGCTTTTTGTATGTAATCCCGTTTCCAACGAAATCCTCCCAGCTAGCCAAATATCCACTTGCAGATTCCGCAAAAAGAGTGTTTCAAAACTGCTCCTTCAAAACGATGGTTTAGTTCTGTTAGTTGAGTACATACATCACAGATAAGTTTCTGAGAATGCTTCTGTCTAGTTTTTATGGGAGGATATTTCCTTTTTCAACACAAGCCTGAATGCGCTCCGAATGGACACTTCCAGATATGACAAAAGGCGTGTTTCAAACCTGCTCTCTCAAAGGGAATGTTCAACTCTGTGACTTCAATGCAAACATCACAAAGAAGTTTCTGAGAATGCTGCTGTCTGCTTTTTACATGTATTCCCGTTTCCAACGAAATCCTCAAAGCTGCCCTAATATCCACTTGCATATTCCACAAAAAGAGTGTTGCAAAACTGCTCTCTCAAAAGAAAGCTTCAACTCTGTTAGCTGAGTAGATCCATCACATAAAAGTTTCTGACATTGCTTCTATCTAGATTTTCTTGGAAGATATTTCCATTTTCACCGTCGTCCTGAAAGCGCTCCAAATGTCCACTTCCAGGGAATGCAGAAAGAGTGTTTCCAACCTGCTCTATAAAAGGGAATGTTCAACACTGGGACTTCAATCGAAACATCCCAACGAAGTTTCTGAGAATGCTTCTGTCTAGAGTTTATATGAAGCCATTCCCGTTTGCAACGAAATCCTCAAAGCTATCCAAATATCCTCTTGCAGATTTTACAAAAAGAGTGTTTCAAAACTGCTCTATCAAAAGAAAGGTTCAACTCTGTTAGTTGAGGGAACACATCACAAATAAATTTCTGAGAATGCTTCTGTCTAGTTTTTACGGGAAGATATTTCCTTTTTCACCATACGCCTGAAAGCGCTCCAAATGTCCTCATCCAGATACTACAAAAAGAGTGTTTCAAACCTGCTCTATGAAAGGGAATGCTCAACTCTGTGAATTGAATGCAGACATCACAAAGAAGTTTCTGAGAATGCTGCTGTCTCCTTTGTATATGTAATCCCGTTTCCAACGAAATCCTCAAAGCTAGCCAAATATCCACTTGCAGATTCCACGAAAACAGTGTTTCAAAACTGCTCCTTCAAAACGATGGTTCAATCCTGTTAGTTGAGCAAACACATCACAAATAAGTTTCTGAGAATGCTTCCGTCTAGTTTTTATGGGAAGATATTTCCTTTTTCAACATAGGCCTGAAAGCGCTCCAAATGTCCACTTCCAGATACTACAAAAAGAGTGTTTCAAATCTGCTCTATGAATGGGAATGTTCTACTCTGTGACTTGAATGCAACATCCCAAAGAAGTTTCTGAGAATGCTTCTGTCTAGAGTTTATCTGAAGACATACCCGTTTCCAACGAAATCCTCAAAGCTATCCAAATATCCTCTTGCAGATTCTACAAAAAGAGTGTTTCAAAGCTGCTCTTTGCAAAGAAAGGTTCAACTCTGTCAGTAGAGGGGACACATCAAGAACAAGTTTCTGAGAATGCTTCTGTCTAGTTTTTATGGGAAGATATTTCCTTTTTCACGTTACGCCTGAAAGCACGCCAAATGTTCACTTATAGACACTACAAAAAGAGTGTTTCAAACCTGCTCTGTGAAAGGGAATGTTCAACACTGTGACTTCAATTGAAACATCCCAAAGAAGTTTCTGAGAATGCTTCTGTCTAGAGTTTATCTGAAGACATTCCCGTTTCCCAAGAAATCCTCAAAGCTATCCAAATATCCTCTTGCAGATTCTACAAAAAGAGTGTTTCAAAACTGCTCTTTGCAAAGAAAGGTTCAACTCTGTCAGTAGAGGGCACACATCACAAACAAGTTTCTGAGAATGCTTCTGTCTGGTTTTTATGGGAAGATATTTCCTTTTTCACCTTAGGCCTGAAAGCAATCCAAATGTTCACTTACAGACACTACAAAAAGAGTGTTTCAAACCTGCTCTGTGAAAGGGAGTGTTCAATTCTGTGACTTGAATGCAAACATCACAAAGTAGTTTCTGACAATGCTGCTGTCTGCTTTTTATACGTATTCCCGTTTCCAACGAAATCCTCCAAGGTGGCCTAATACCCACTTGCATATTCCACAAAAAGAGTGTTTCAAAACTGCTCTCTCAAAAGAAAGCTTCAACTCTGTTTGCTGAGTAGATACATAATGAAAAAAGTTCTGACATTGCTTCTATCTAGTTTTTATTGGAAGATATCTCCTTTTTCACCGTAGACCTGAAAGCGCTCCAAATGTCCACTTCCAGATAGTACAAAAAGAGTGTTTCAAACCTGCTCTATGAAAGGGAATGTTCAACACTGGGACTTCAATTGAAACATCCCAAAGCAGTTTCTGAGAATGCTTCTGTCTAGAGTTTACATGAAGACATTCCCGTTTCCAACGAAATCCTCAAAGCTATGCAAATATCCTCTTGCAGATTTTACAAAAAGTGTGTTTCAGAACTGCTCTATCAAAACAAAGGTTCAACACTGTCAGTTGAGGGCACACATCACAAATAAGTTTCTGAGAATGCTTCTGTCTAGTTTTCATGGGAAGATATTTCCTTTTTCACCATAGGCCTGAAAGCGATCCAAATGTCCACATCCAGATACTACAAAAAGAGTGTTTCAAACCTGCTCTATGAAAGGGAATGTTCAACTCTGTGACTTGAATGCAAACATCACAAAGAAGTTTCTGAGAATGCTGCTGTCTGCTTTTTATATGTAATCCCGTTTCCAACGAAATCCTCAAAGCTAGACAAATATCCACTTGCAGATTCCACAAAAGGAGTGTTTCAAAACTGCTCTTTCAAAACGATGGTTCAATTCTGTTAGTTGAGTACACACATCACAAATAAGTTTCTGAGAATGCTTCTGTCTAGTTTTCATGGGAAGATATTTCCTTTTTCACCATAGGCCTGAAAGCGATCCAAATGTCCACATCCAGATACTACAAAAAGAGTGTTTCAAACCTGCTCTATGAAAGGGAATGTTCAACTCTGTGACTTGAATGCAAACATCACAAAGTAGTTTCTGAAAATGCTGCTGTCTGCTTTTTGTATGTAATCCCGTTTCTAACGAAATCCTCCCAGCTAGCCAAATATCCACTTGCAGATTCCGCAAAAAGAGTGTTTCAAAACTGCTCCTTCAAAACGATGGTTTAGTTCGGTTAGTTGAGTACATACATCACAGATAAGTTTCTGAGAATGCTTCTGTCTAGTTTTTATGGGAGGATATTTCCTTTTTCAACACAAGCCTGAATGCGCTCCGAATGGACACTTCCAGATATGACAAAAGGCGTGTTTCAAACCTGCTCTCTCAAAGGGAATGTTCAACTCTGTGACTTCAATGCAAACATCACAAAGAAGTTTCTGAGAATGCTGCTGTCTGCTTTTTACATGTATTCCCGTTTCCAACGAAATCCTCAAAGCTGCCCTAATATCCACTTGCATATTCCACAAAAAGAGTGTTGCAAAACTGCTCTCTCAAAAGAAAGGTTCAACTCTGTTAGCTGAGTAGATCCATCACAGAATAGTTTCTGACATTGCTTCTATCCAGATTTTATTGGAAGATATTTCCATTTTCACCGTCGTCCTGAAAGCGCTCCAATTGTCCACTTCCAGGGAATGCAGAAAGAGTGTTTCCAACCTGCTCTATAAAAGGGAATGTTCAACACTGGGACTTCAATCGAAACATCCCAACGAAGTTTCTGAGAATGCTTCTGTCTAGAGTTTATATGAAGCCATTCCCGTTTGCAACGAAATCCTCAAAGCTATCCAAATATCCTCTTGCAGATTTTACAAAATGAGTGTTTCAAAACTGCTCTATCAAAAGAAAGTTTCAACTCTGTTAGTTGAGGGCACACATCACAAATAAACTTCTGAGAATGCTTCTGTCTAGTTTTTACGGGAAGATATTTCCTTTTTCACCATACGCCTGAAAGCGCTCCAAATGTCCTCATCCAGATACTACAAAAAGAGTGTTTCCAACCTGCTCTATGAAAGGGAATGCTCAACTCTGTGACTTGAATGCAGACATCACAAAGAAGTTTCTGAGAATGCTGCTGTCTCCTTTGTATATGTAATCCCGTTTCCAACGAAATCCTCAAAGCTAGCCAAATATCCACTTGCAGATTCCACGAAAACAGTGTTTCAAAACTGCTCCTTCAAAACGATGGTTCAATTCTGTTAGTTGAGCAAACACATCACAAGTAAGTTTCTGAGAATGCTTCCGTCTAGTTTTTATGGGAAGATATTTCCTTTTTCAACATAGGCCTGAAAGCGCTCCAAATGTCCACTTCCAGATACTACAAAAAGAGTGTTTCAAATCTGCTCTATGAATGGGAATGTTCTACTCTGTGACTTGAATGCAACATCCCAAAGAAGTTTCTGAGAATGCTTCTGTCTAGAGTTTATCTGAAGACATACCCGTTTCCAACGAAATCCTCAAAGCTATCCAAATATCCTCTTGCAGATTCTACAAAAAGAGTGTTTCAAAGCTGCTCTTTGCAAAGAAAGGTTCAACTCTGTCAGTAGAGGGCACACATCATGAACAAGTTTCTGAGAATGCTTCTGTCTAGTTGTTACGGGAAGATATTTCCTTTTTCACGTTAGGCCTGAAAGCACGCCAAATGTTCACTTATAGACACTACAAAAAGAGTGTTTCAAACCTGCTCTGTGAAAGGGAATCTTCAACACTGTGACTTCAATTGAAACATCCCAAAGAAGTTTCTGAGAATGCTTCTGTCTAGTTTTTATGGGAAGATATTTCCTTTTTCACCTTAGGCCTGAAAGCAATCCATATGTTCACTTACAGACACTACAAAAAGAGTGTTTCAAACCTGCTCTGTGAAAGGGAGTGTTCAATTCTGTGACTTGAATGCAAACATCACAAAGTAGTTTCTGACAATGCTGCTGTCTGCTTTTTATACGTATTCCCGTTTCCAACGAAATCCTCCAAGCTGGCCTAATACCCACTTGCATATTCCACAAAAAGAGTGTTTCAAAACTGCTCTCTCAAAAGAAAGGTTCAACTCTGTTTGCTGAGTAGATACATCATGAAAAAAGTTCTGACATTGCTTCTATCTAGTTTTTATTGGAAGATATCTCCTTTTTCACCGTAGACCTGAAAGCGCTCCAAATGTCCACTTCCAGATAGTACAAAAAGAGTGTTTCAAACCTGCTCTATGAATGGGAATGTTCAACACTGGGACTTCAATTGAAACATCCCAAAGCAGTTTCTGAGAATGCTTCTGTCTAGAGTTTACATGAAGACATTCCCGTTTCCAACGAAATCCTCAAAGCTATCCAAATATCCTCTTGCAGATTTTACAAAAAGTGTGTTTCAGAACTGCTCTATCAAAACAAAGGTTCAACACTGTCAGTTGAGGGCACACATCACAAATAAGTTTCTGAGAATGCTTCTGTCTAGTTTTCATGGGAAGATATTTCCTTTTTCACCATAGGCCTGAAAGCGATCCAAATGTCCACATCCAGATACTACAAAAAGAGTGTTTCAAACCTGCTCTATGAAAGGGAATGTTCAACTCTGTGACTTGAATGCAAACATCACAAAGAAGTTTCTGAGAATGCTGCTCTCTGCTTTTTGTATGTAATCCCGTTTCCAACGAAATCCTCCCAGCTAGCCAAATATCCACTTGCAGATTCCGCAAAAAGAGTGTTTCAAAACTGCTCCGTCAAAACGATGGTTTAGTTCTGTTAGTTGAGTACATACATCACAAATAAGTTTCTGAGAATGCTTCTGTATACTTTTTATGGGAGGATATTTCCTTTTTCAACACAAGCCTGAATGCGCTCCGAATGGACACTTCCAGATATGACAAAAGGCGTGTTTCAATCCTGCTCTCTCAAAGGGAATGTTCAACTCTGTGACTTCAATGCAAACATCACAAAGAAGTTTCTGAGAATGCTGCTGTCTGCTTTTTACATGTATTCCCGTTTCCAACGAAATCCTCAAAGCTGCCCTAATATCCACTTGCATATTCCACAAAAAGAGTGTTGCAAAACTGCTCTCTCAAAAGAAAGGTTCAACTCTGTTAGCTGAGTAGATCCATCACATAAAAGTTTCTGACATTGCTTCTATCTAGATTTTCTTGGAAGATATTTCCATTTTCACCGTCGTCCTGAAAGCGCTCCAAATGTCCACTTCCAGGGAATGCAGAAAGAGTGTTTCCAACCTGCTCTATAAAAGGGAATGTTCAACACTGGGACTTCAATCGAAACATCCCAACGAAGTTTCTGAGAATGCTTCTGTCTAGAGTTTATATGAAGCCATTCCCGTTTGCAACGAAATCCTCAAAGCTATCCAAATATCCTCTTGCAGATTTTACAAAAAGAGTGTTTCAAAACTGCTCTATCAAAAGAAAGGTTCAACTCTGTTAGTTGAGGGCACACATCACAAATAAACTTCTGAGAATGCTTCTGTCTAGTTTTTACGGGAAGATATTTCCTTTTTCACCATACGCCTGAAAGCGCTCCAAATGTCCTCATCCAGATACTACAAAAAGAGTGTTTCCAACCTGCTCTATGAAAGGGAATGCTCAACTCTGTGAATTGAATGCAGACATCACAAAGAAGTTTCTGAGAATGCTGCTGTCTCCTTTTTATATGTAATCCCGTTTCCAACGAAATCCTCAAAGCTAGCCAAATATCCACTTGCAGATTCCACGAAAACAGTGTTTCAAAACTGCTCCTTCAAAACGATGGTTCAATCCTGTTAGTTGAGCAAACACATCACAAATAAGTTTCTGAGAATGCTTCCGTCTAGTTTTTATGGGAAGATATTTCCTTTTTCAACATAGGCCTGAAAGCGCTCCAAATGTCCACTTCCAGATACTACAAAAAGAGTGTTTCAAATCTGCTCTATGAATGGGAATGTTCTACTCTGTGACTTGAATGCAACATCCCAAAGAAGTTTCTGAGAATGCTTCTGTCTAGAGTTTATCTGAAGACATACCCGTTTCCAACGAAATCCTCAAAGCTATCCAAATATCCTCTTGCAGATTCTACAAAAAGAGTGTTTCAAAGCTGCTCTTTGCAAAGAAAGGTTCAACTCTGTCAGTAGAGGGCACACATCACGAACAAGTTTCTGAGAATGCTTCTGTCTAGTTTTTATGGGAAGATATTTCCTTTTTCACGTTACGCCTGAAAGCACGCCAAATGTTCACTTATAGACACTACAAAAAGAGTGTTTCAAACCTGCTCTGTGAAAGGGAATGTTCAACACTGACTTCAATTGAAACATCCCAAAGAAGTTTCTGAGAATGCTTCTGTCTAGAGTTTATCTGAAGACATTCCCGTTTCCCAAGAAATCCTCAAAGCTATCCAAATATCCTCTTGCAGATTCTACAAAAAGAGTGTTTCAAAACAGCTCTTTGCAAAGAAAGTTTCAACTCTGTCAGTAGAGGGCACACATCACAAACAAGTTTCTGAGAATGCTTCTGTCTAGTTTTTATGGGAAGATATTTCCTTTTTCACCTTAGGCCTGAAAGCAATCCAAATGTTCACTTACAGACACTACAAAAAGAGTGTTTCAAACCTGCTCTGTGAAAGGGAGTGTTCAATTCTGTGACTTGAATGCAAACATCACAAAGTAGTTTCTGACAATGCTGCTGTCTGCTTTTTATACGTATTCCCGTTTCCAACGAAATCCTCCAAGCTGGCCTAATACCCACTTGCATATTCCACAAAAAGAGTGTTTCAAAACTGCTCTCTCAAAAGAAAGGTTCAACTCTGTTTGCTGAGTAGATACATCATGAAAAAAGTTCTGACATTGCTTCTATCTAGTTTTTATTGGAAGATATCTCCTTTTTCACCGTAGACCTGAAAGCGCTCCAAATGTCCACTTCCAGATAGTACAAAAAGAGTGTTTCAAACCTGCTCTATGAAAGGGAATGTTCAACACTGGGACTTCAATTGAAACATCCCAAAGCAGTTTCTGAGAATGCTTCTGTCTAGAGTTTACATGAAGACATTCCCGTTTCCAACGAAATCCTCAAAGCTATCCAAATATCCTCTTGCAGATTTTACAAAAAGTGTGTTTCAGAACTGCTCTATCAAAACAAAGGTTCAACACTGTCAGTTGAGGGCACACATCACAAATAAGTTTCTGAGAATGCTGCTGTCTGCTTTTTGTATGTAATCCCGTTTCCAACGAAATCCTCCCAGCTAGCCAAATATCCACTTGCAGATTCCGCAAAAAGAGTGTTTCAAAACTGCTCCTTCAAAACGATGGTTTAGTTCTGTTAGTTGAGTACATACATCAGAGATAAGTTTCTGAGAATGCTTCTGTCTAGTTTTTATGGGAGGATATTTCCTTTTTCAACACAAGCCTGAATGCGCTCCGAATGGACACTTCCAGATATGACAAAAGGCGTGTTTCAAACCTGCTCTCTCAAAGGGAATGTTCAACTCTGTGACTTCAATGCAAACATCACAAAGAAGTTTCTGAGAATGCTGCTGTCTGCTTTTTACATGTATTCCCGTTTCCAACGAAATCCTCAAAGCTGCCCTAATATCCACTTTCATATTCCACAAAAAGAGTGTTGCAAAACTGCTCTCTCAAAAGAAAGGTTCAACTCTGTTAGCTGAGTAGATCCATCACATAAAAGTTTCTGACGTTGCTTCTATCTAGAATTTCTTGGAAGATATTTCCATTTTCACCGTCGTCCTGAAAGCGCTCCAAATGTCCACTTCCAGGGAATGCAGAAAGAGTGTTTCCAACCTGCTCTATAAAAGGGAATGTTCAACACTGGGACTTCAATCGAAACATCCCAACGAAGTTTCTGAGAATGCTTCTGTCTAGAGTTTATATGAAGCCATTCCCGTTTGCAACGAAATCCTCAAAGCTATCCAAATATCCTCTTGCAGATTTTACAAAAAGAGTGTTTCAAAACTGCTCTATCAAAAGAAAGGTTCAACTCTGTTAGTTGAGGGCACACATCACAAATAAATTTCTGAGAATGCTTCTGTCTAGTTTTTACGGGAAGATATTTCCTTTTTCACCATAGGCCTGAAAGCGCTCCAAATGTCCTCATCCAGATACTACAAAAAGAGTGTTTCCAACCTGCTCTATGAAAGGGAATGCTCAACTCTGTGAATTGAATGCAGACATCACAAAGAAGTTTCTGAGAATGCTGCTGTCTCCTTTTTATATGTAATCCCGTTTCCAACGAAATCCTCAAAGCTAGCCAAATATCCACTTGCAGATTCCACGAAAACAGTGTTTCAAAACTGCTCCTTCAAAACGATGGTTCAATCCTGTTAGTTGAGCAAACACATCACAAATAAGTTTCTGAGAATGCTTCCGTCTAGTTTTTATGGGAAGATATTTCCTTTTTCAACATAGGCCTGAAAGCGCTCCAAATGTCCACTTCCAGATACTACAAAAAGAGTGTTTCAAATCTGCTCTATGAATGGGAATGTTCTACTCTGTGACTTGAATGCAACATCCCAAAGAAGTTTCTGAGAATGCTTCTGTCTAGAGTTTATCTGAAGACATACCCGTTTCCAACGAAATCCTCAAAGCTATCCAAATATCCTCTTGCAGATTCTACAAAAAGTGTGTTTCAAAGCTGCTCTTTGCAAAGAAAGGTTCAACTCTGTCAGTAGAGGGCACACATCACGAACAAGTTTCTGAGAATGCTTCTGTCTAGTTTTTATGGGAAGATATTTCCTTTTTCACGTTAGGCCTGAAAGCACGCCAAATGTTCACTTATAGACACTACAAAAAGAGTGTTTCAAACTTGCTCTGTGAAAGGGAATGTTCAACACTGTGACTTCAATTGAAACATCCCAAAGAAGTTTCTGAGAATGCTTCTGTCTAGAGTTTATCTGAAGACATTCCCGTTTCCCAAGAAATCCTCAAAGCTATCCAAATATCCTCTTGCAGATTCTACAAAAAGAGTGTTTCAAAACTGCTCTTTGCAAAGAAAGGTTCAACTCTGTCAGTAGAGGGCACACATCACAAACAAGTTTCTGAGAATGCTTCTGTCTAGTTTTTATGGGAAGATATTTCCTTTTTCACCTTAGGCCTGAAAGCAATCCATATGTTCACTTACAGACACTACAAAAAGAGTGTTTCAAACCTGCTCTGTGAAAGGGAGTGTTCAATTCTGTGACTTGAATGCAAACATCACAAAGTAGTTTCTGACAATGCTGCTGTCTGCTTTTTATACGTATTCCCGTTTCCAACGAAATCCTCCAAGCTGGCCTAATACCCACTTGCATATTCCACACAAAGAGTGTTTCAAAACTGCTCTCTCAAAAGAAAGGTTCAACTCTGTTAGCTGAGTAGATACATCATGAAAAAAGTTCTGACATTGCTTTCTATCTAGTTTTTATTGGAAGATATCTCCTTTTTCACCGTAGACCTGAAAGCGCTCTAAATGTCCACTTCCAGATAGTACAAAAAGAGTGTTTCAAACCTGCTCTATGAAAGGGAATGTTCAACACTGGGACTTCAATTGAAACATCCCAAAGCAGTTTCTGAGAATGCTTCTGTCTAGAGTTTACATGAAGACATTCCCGTTTCCAACGAAATCCTCAAAGCTATCCAAATATCCTCTTGCAGATTTTACAAAAAGTGTGTTTCAGAACTGCTCTATCAAAACAAAGGTTCAACACTGTCAGTTGAGGGCACACATCACAAATAAGTTTCTGAGAATGCTTCTGTCTAGTTTTCATGGGAAGATATTTCCTTTTTCACCATAGGCCTGAAAGCGATCCAAATGTCCACATCCAGATACTACAAAAAGAGTGTTTCAAACCTGCTCTATGAAAGGGAATGTTCAACTCTGTGACTTGAATGCAAACATCACAAAGAAGTTTCTGAGAATGCTGCTGTCTGCTTTTTGTATGTAATCCCGTTTCCAACGAAATCCTCCCAGCTAGCCAAATATCCACTTGCAGATTCCGCAAAAAGAGTGTTTCAAAACTGCTCCTTCAAAACGATGGTTTAGTTCTGTTAGTTGAGTACATACATCACAGATAAGTTTCTGAGAATGCTTCTGTCTAGTTTTTATGGGAGGATATTTCCTTTTTCAACACAAGCCTGAATGCGCTCCGAATGGACACTTCCAGATATGACAAAAGGCGTGTTTCAAACCTGCTCTCTCAAAGGGAATGTTCAACTCTGTGACTTCAATGCAAACATCACAAAGAAGTTTCTGAGAATGCTGCTGTCTGCTTTTTACATGTATTCCCGTTTCCAACGAAATCCTCAAAGCTGCCCTAATATCCACTTGCATATTCCACAAAAAGAGTGTTGCAAAACTGCTCTCTCAAAAGAAAGCTTCAACTCTGTTAGCTGAGTAGATCCATCACATAAAAGTTTCTGACATTGCTTCTATCTAGATTTTCTTGGAAGATATTTCCATTTTCACCGTCGTCCTGAAAGCGCTCCAAATGTCCACTTCCAGGGAATGCAGAAAGAGTGTTTCCAACCTGCTCTATAAAAGGGAATGTTCAACACTGGGACTTCAATCGAAACATCCCAACGAAGTTTCTGAGAATGCTTCTGTCTAGAGTTTATATGAAGCCATTCCCGTTTGCAACGAAATCCTCAAAGCTATCCAAATATCCTCTTGCAGATTTTACAAAAAGAGTGTTTCAAAACTGCTCTATCAAAAGAAAGGTTCAACTCTGTTAGTTGAGGGCACACATCACAAATAAACTTCTGAGAATGCTTCTGTCTAGTTTTTACGGGAAGATATTTCCTTTTTCACCATACGCCTGAAAGCGCTCCAAATGTCCTCATCCAGATACTACAAAAAGAGTGTTTCCAACCTGCTCTATGAAAGGGAATGCTCAACTCTGTGAATTGAATGCAGACATCACAAAGAAGTTTCTGAGAATGCTGCTGTCTCCTTTTTATATGTAATCCCGTTTCCAACGAAATCCTCAAAGCTAGCCAAATATCCACTTGCAGATTCCACGAAAACAGTGTTTCAAAACTGCTCCTTCAAAACGATGGTTCAATCCTGTTAGTTGAGCAAACACATCACAAATAAGTTTCTGAGAATGCTTCCGTCTAGTTTTTATGGGAAGATATTTCCTTTTTCAACATAGGCCTGAAAGCGCTCCAAATGTCCACTTCCAGATACTACAAAAAGAGTGTTTCAAATCTGCTCTATGAATGGGAATGTTCTACTCTGTGACTTGAATGCAACATCCCAAAGAAGTTTCTGAGAATGCTTCTGTCTAGAGTTTATCTGAAGTCATACCCGTTTCCAACGAAATCCTCCAAGCTATCCAAATATCCTCTTGCAGATTCTACAAAAAGAGTGTTTCAAAGCTGCTCTTTGCAAAGAAAGGTTCAACTCTGTCAGTAGAGGGGACACATCAAGAACAAGTTTCTGAGAATGCTTCTGTCTAGTTTTTATGGGAAGATATTTCCTTTTTCACGTTAGGCCTGAAAGCACGCCAAATGTTCACTTATAGACACTACAAAAAGAGTGTTTCAAACCTGCTCTGTGAAAGGGAATGTTCAACACTGTGACTTCAATTGAAACATCCCAAAGAAGTTTCTGAGAATGCTTCTGTCTAGAGTTTATCTGAAGACATTCCCGTTTCCCAAGAAATCCTCAAAGCTATCCAAATATCCTCTTGCAGATTCTACAAAAAGAGTGTTTCAAAACTGCTCTTTGCAAAGAAAGGTTCAACTCTGTCAGTAGAGGGCACACATCACAAACAAGTTTCTGAGAATGCTTCTGTCTAGTTTTTATGGGAAGATATTTCCTTTTTCACCTTAGGCCTGAAAGCAATCCATATGTTCACTTACAGACACTACAAAAAGAGTGTTTCAAACCTGCTCTGTGAAAGGGAGTGTTCAATTCTGTGACTTGAATGCAAACATCACAAAGTAGTTTCTGACAATGCTGCTGTCTGCTTTTTATACGTATTCCCGTTTCCAACGAAATCCTCCAAGCTGGCCTAATACCCACTTGCATATTCCACAAAAAGAGTGTTTCAAAACTGCTCTCTCAAAAGAAAGGTTCAACTCTGTTTGCTGAGTAGATACATCATGAAAAAAGTTCTGACATTGCTTCTATCTAGTTTTTATTGGAAGATATCTCCTTTTTCACCGTAGACCTGAAAGCGCTCCAAATGTCCACTTCCAGATAGTACAAAAAGAGTGTTTCAAACCTGCTCTATGAATGGGAATGTTCAACACTGGGACTTCAATTGAAACATCCCAAAGCAGTTTCTGAGAATGCTTCTATGTAGAGTTTACATGAAGACATTCCCGTTTCCAACGAAATCCTCAAAGCTATCCAAATATCCTCTTGCAGATTTTACAAAAAGTGTGTTTCAGAACTGCTCTATCAAAACAAAGGTTCAACACTGTCAGTTGAGGGCACACATCACAAATAAGTTTCTGAGAATGCTTCTGTCTAGTTTTCATGGGAAGATATTTCCTTTTACACCATAGGCCTGAAAGCGATCCAAATGTCCACATCCAGATACTACAAAAAGAGTGTTTCAAACCTGCTCTATGAAAGGGAATGTTCAACTCTGTGACTTGAATGCAAACATCACAAAGAAGTTTCTGAGAATGCTGCTGTCTGCTTTTTGTATGTAATCCCGTTTCCAACGAAATCCTCCCAGCTAGCCAAATATCCACTTGCAGATTCCGCAAAAAGAGTGTTTCAAAACTGCTCCTTCAAAACGATGGTTTAGTTCTGTTAGTTGAGTACATACATCACAGATAAGTTTCTGAGAATGCTTCTGTCTAGTTTTTCTGGGAGGATATTTCCTTTTTCAACACAAGCCTGAATGCGCTCCGAATGGACACTTCCAGATATGACAAAAGGCGTGTTTCAAACCTGCTCTCTCAAAGGGAATGTTCAACTCTGTGACTTCAATGCAAACATCACAAAGAAGTTTCTGAGAATGCTGCTGTCTGCTTTTTACATGTATTCCCGTTTCCAACGAAATCCTCAAAGCTGCCCTAATATCCACTTGCATATTCCACAAAAAGAGTGTTGCAAAACTGCTCTCTCAAAAGAAAGGTTCAACTCTGTTAGCTGAGTAGATCCATCACATAAAAGTTTCTGACGTTGCTTCTATCTAGATTTTCTTGGAAGATATTTCCATTTTCACCGTCGTCCTGAAAGCGCTCCAAATGTCCACTTCCAGGGAATGCAGAAAGAGTGTTTCCAACCTGCTCTATAAAAGGGAATGTTCAACACTGGGACTTCAATCGAAACATCCCAACGAAGTTTCTGAGAATGCTTCTGTCTAGAGTTTATATGAAGCCATTCCCGTTTGCAACGAAATCCTCAAAGCTATCCAAATATCCTCTTTCAGATTCTACAAAAAGAGTGTTTCAAAGCTGCTCTTTGCAAAGAAAGGTTCAACTCTGTCAGTAGAGGGCACACATCACGAACAAGTTTCTGAGAATGCTTCTGTCTAGTTTTTATGGGAAGATATTTCCTTTTTCACCTTAGGCCTGAAAGCAATCCAAATGTACACTTACAGACACTACAAAAAGAGTGTTTCAAACCTGCTCTGTGAAAGGGAGTGTTCAATTCTGTGACTTGAATGCAAACATCACAAAGTAGTTTCTGACAATGCTGCTGTCTGCTTTTTATACGTATTCCCGTTTCCAACGAAATCCTCCAAGCTGGCCTAATACCCACTTGCATATTCCACAAAAAGAGTGTTTCAAAACTGCTCTCTCAAAAGAAAGGTTCAACTCTGTTAGCTGAGTAGATACATCATGAAAAAAGTTCTGACATTGCTTCTATCTAGTTTTTATTGGAAGATATCTCCTTTTTCACCGTAGACCTGAAAGCGCTCCAAATGTCCACTTCCAGATATTACAAAAAGAGTGTTTCAAACCTGCTCTATGAATGGGAATGTTCAACACTGGGACTTCAATTGAAACATCCCAAAGCAGTTTCTGAGAATGCTTCTGTGTAGAGTTTACATGAAGACATTCCCGTTTCCAACGAAATCCTCAAAGCTATCCAAATATCCTCTTGCAGATTTTACAAAAAGTGTGTTTCAGAACTGCTCTATCAAAACAAAGGTTCAACACTGTCAGTTGAGGGCACACATCACAAATAAGTTTCTGAGAATGCTTCTGTCTAGTTTTCATGGGAAGATATTTCCTTTTTCACCATAGGCCTGAAAGCGATCCAAATGTCCACATCCAGATACTACAAAAAGAGTGTTTCAAACCTGCTCTATGAAAGGGAATGTTCAACTCTGTGACTTGAATGCAAACATCACAAAGAAGTTTCTGAGAATGCTGCTGTCTGCTTTTTGTATGTAATCCCGTTTCCAACGAAATCCTCCCAGCTAGCCAAATATCCACTTGCAGATTCCGCAAAAAGAGTGTTTCAAAACTGCTCCTTCAAAACGATGGTTTAGTTCTGTTAGTTGAGTACATACATCACAGATAAGTTTCTGAGAATGCTTCTGTCTAGTTTTTATGGGAGGATATTTCCTTTTTCAACACAAGCCTGAATGCGCTCCGAATGGACACTTCCAGATATGACAAAAGGCGTGTTTCAAACCTGCTCTCTCAAAGGGAATGTTCAACTCTGTGACTTCAATGCAAACATCACAAAGAAGTTTCTGAGAATGCTGCTGTCTGCTTTTTACATGTATTCCCGTTTCCAACGAAATCCTCAAAGCTGCCCTAATATCCACTTGCATATTCCACAAAAAGAGTGTTGCAAAACTGCTCTCTCAAAAGAAAGGTTCAACTCTGTTAGCTGAGTAGATCCATCACATAAAAGTTTCTGACGTTGCTTCTATCTAGATTTTCTTGGAAGATATTTCCATTTTCACCGTCGTCCTGAAAGCGCTCCAAATGTCCACTTCCAGGGAATGCAGAAAGAGTGTTTCCAACCTGCTCTATAAAAGGGAATGTTCAACACTGGGACTTCAATCGAAACATCCCAACGAAGTTTCTGAGAATGCTTCTGTCTAGAGTTTATATGAAGCCATTCCCGTTTGCAACGAAATCCTCAAAGCTATCCAAATATCCTCTTGCAGATTTTACAAAAAGAGTGTTTCAAAACTGCTCTATCAAAAGAAAGGTTCAACTCTGTTAGTTGAGGGCACACATCACAAATAAATTTCTGAGAATGCTTCTGTCTAGTTTTTACGGGAAGATATTTCCTTTTTCACCATAGGCCTGAAAGCGCTCCAAATGTCCTCATCCAGATACTACAAAAAGAGTGTTTCCAACCTGCTCTATGAAAGGGAATGCTCAACTCTGTGACTTGAATGCAGACATCACAAAGAAGTTTCTGAGAATGCTGCTGTCTCCTTTTTATATGTAATCCCGTTTCCAACGAAATCCTCAAAGCTAGCCAAATATCCACTTGCAGATTCCACGAAAACAGTGTTTCAAAACTGCTCCTTCAAAACGATGGTTCAATTCTGTTAGTTGAGCAAACACATCACAAGTAAGTTTCTGAGAATGCTTCCGTCTAGTTTTTATGGGAAGATATTTCCTTTTTCAACATAGGCCTGAAAGCGCTCCAAATGTCCACTTCCAGATACTACAAAAAGAGTGTTTCAAATCTGCTCTATGAATGGGAATGTTCTACTCTGTGACTTGAATGCAACATCCCAAAGAAGTTTCTGAGAATGCTTCTGTCTAGAGTTTATCTGAAGACATACCCGTTTCCAACGAAATCCTCAAAGCTATCCAAATATCCTCTTGCAGATTCTACAAAAAGAGTGTTTCAAAGCTGCTCTTTGCAAAGAAAGGTTCAACTCTGTCAGTAGAGGGCACACATCATGAACAAGTTTCTGAGAATGCTTCTGTCTAGTTTTTATGGGAAGATATTTCCTTTTTCACGTTAGGCCTGAAAGCACGCCAAATGTTCACTTATAGACACTACAAAAAGAGTGTTTCAAACCTGCTCTGTGAAAGGGAATGTTCAACACTGTGACTTCAATTGAAACATCCCAAAGAAGTTTCTGAGAATGCTTCTGTCTAGAGTTTATCTGAAGACATTCCCGTTTCCCAAGAAATCTTCAAAGCTATCCAAATATCCTCTTGCAGATTCTACAAAAAGAGTGTTTCAAAACTGCTCTTTGCAAAGAAAGGTTCAACTCTGTCAGTAGAGGGCACACATCACAAACAAGTTTCTGAGAATGCTTCTGTCTAGTTTTTATGGGAAGATATTTCCTTTTTCACCTTAGGCCTGAAAGCAATCCATATGTTCACTTACAGACACTACAAAAAGAGTGTTTCAAACCTGCTCTGTGAAAGGGAGTGTTCAATTCTGTGACTTGAATGCAAATATCACAAAGTAGTTTCTGACAATGCTGCTGTCTGCTTTTTATACGTATTCCCGTTTCCAACGAAATCCTCCAAGCTGGCCTAATACCCACTTGCATATTCCACAAAAAGAGTGTTTCAAAACTGCTCTCTCAAAAGAAAGGTTCAACTCTGTTAGCTGAGTAGATACATCATGAAAAAAGTTCTGACATTGCTTCTATCTAGTTTTTATTGGAAGATATCTCCTTTTTCACCGTAGACCTGAAAGCGCTCCAAATGTCCACTTCCAGATAGTACAAAAAGAGTGTTTCAAACCTGCTCCTATGAAAGGGAATGTTCAACACTGGGACTTCAATTGAAACATCCCAAAGCAGTTTCTGAGAATGCTTCTGTCCAGAGTTTACATGAAGACATTCCCGTTTGCAACGAAATCCTCAAAGCTATCCAAATATCCTCTTGCAGATTTTACAAAAAGTGTGTTTCAGAACTGCTCTATCAAAACAAAGGTTCAACACTGTCAGTTGAGGGCACACATCACAAATAAGTTTCTGAGAATGCTTCTGTCTAGTTTTCATGGGAAGATATTTCCTTTTTCACCATAGGCCTGAAAGCGATCCAAATGTCCACATCCAGATACTACAAAAAGAGTGTTTCAAACCTGCTCTATGAAAGGGAATGTTCAACTCTGTGACTTGAATGCAAACATCACAAAGAAGTTTCTGAGAATGCTGCTGTCTGCTTTTTGTATGTAATCCCGTTTCCAACGAAATCCTCCCAGCTAGCCAAATATCCACTTGCAGATTCCGCAAAAAGAGTGTTTCAAAACTGCTCCTTCAAAACGATGGTTTAGTTCTGTTAGTTGAGTACATACATCACAGATAAGTTTCTGAGAATGCTTCTGTCTAGTTTTTATGGGAGGATATTTCCTTTTTCAACACAAGCCTGAATGCGCTCCGAATGGACACTTCCAGATATGACAAAAGGCGTGTTTCAAACCTGCTCTCTCAAAGGGAATGTTCAACTCTGTGACTTCAATGCAAACATCACAAAGAAGTTTCTGAGAATGCTGCTGTCTGCTTTTTACATGTATTCCCGTTTCCAACGAAATCCTCAAAGCTGCCCTAATATCCACTTGCATATTCCACAAAAAGAGTGTTGCAAAACTGCTGTCTCAAAAGAAAGGTTCAACTCTGTTAGCTGAGTAGATCCATCACATAAAAGTTTCTGACATTGCTTCTATCTAGATTTTCTTGGAAGATATTTCCATTTTCACCGTCGTCCTGAAAGCTCTCCAAATGTCCACTTCCAGGGAATGCAGAAAGAGTGTTTCCAACCTGCTCTATAAAAGGGAATGTTCAACACTGGGACTTCAATCGAAACATCCCAACGAAGTTTCTGAGAATGCTTCTGTCTAGAGTTTATATGAAGCCATTCCCGTTTGCAACGAAATCCTCAAAGCTATCCAAATATCCTCTTGCAGATTTTACAAAAAGAGTGTTTCAAAACTGCTCTATCAAAAGAAAGGTTCAACTCTGTTAGTTGAGGGCACACATCACAAATAAATTTCTGAGAATGCTTCTGTCTAGTTTTTACGGGAAGATATTTCCTTTTTCACCATACGCCTGAAAGCGCTCCAAATGTCCTCATCCAGATACTACAAAAAGAGTGTTTCCAACCTGCTCTATGAAAGGGAATGCTCAACTCTGTGAATTGAATGCAGACATCACAAAGAAGTTTCTGAGAATGCTGCTGTCTCCTTTTTATATGTAATCCCGTTTCCAACGAAATCCTCAAAGCTAGCCAAATATCCACTTGCAGATTCCATGAAAACAGTGTTTCAAAACTGCTCCTTCAAAACGATGGTTCAATCCTGTTAGTTGAGCAAACACATCACAAATAAGTTTCTGAGAATGCTTCCGTCTAGTTTTTATGGGAAGATATTTCCTTTTTCAACATAGGCCTGAAAGCGCTCCAAATGTCCACTTCCAGATACTACAAAAAGAGTGTTTCAAATCTGCTCTATGAATGGGAATGTTCTACTCTGTGACTTGAATGCAACATCCCAAAGAAGTTTCTGAGAATGCTTCTGTCTAGAGTTTATCTGAAGACATACCCGTTTCCAACGAAATCCTCAAAGCTATCCAAATATCCTCTTGCAGATTCTACAAAAAGAGTGTTTCAAAGCTGCTCTTTGCAAAGAAAGGTTCAACTCTGTCAGTAGAGGGCACACATCAGGAACAAGTTTCTGAGAATGCTTCTGTCTAGTTTTTATGGGAAGATATTTCCTTTTTCACGTTAGGCCTGAAAGCACGCCAAATGTTCACTTATAGACACTACAAAAAGAGTGTTTCAAACCTGCTCTGTGAAAGGGAATGTTCAACACTGTGACTTCAATTGAAACATCCCAAAGAAGTTTTCTGAGAATGCTTCTGTCTAGAGTTTATCTGAAGACATTCCCGTTTCCCAAGAAATCCTCAAAGCTATCCAAATATCCTCTTGCAGATTCTACAAAAAGAGTGTTTCAAAACTGCTCTTTGCAAAGAAAGGTTCAACTCTGTCAGTAGAGGGCACACATCAGAAACAAGTTTCTGAGAATGCTTCTGTCTAGTTTTTATGGGAAGATATTTCCTTTTTCACCTTAGGCCTGAAAGCAATCCAAATGTTCACTTACAGACACTACAAAAAGAGTGTTTCAAACCTGCTCTGTGAAAGGGAGTGTTCAATTCTGTGACTTGAATGCAAACATCACAAAGTAGTTTCTGACAATGCTGCTGTCTGCTTTTTATACGTATTCCCGTTTCCAACGAAATCCTCCAAGCTGGCCTAATACCCACTTGCATATTCCACAAAAAGAGTGTTTCAAAACTGCTCTCTCAAAAGAAAGGTTCAACTCTGTTTGCTGAGTAGATACATCATGAAAAAAGTTCTGACATTGCTTCTATCTAGTTTTTATTGGAAGATATCTCCTTTTTCACCGTAGACCTGAAAGCGCTCCAAATGTCCACTTCCAGATAGTACAAAAAGAGTGTTTCAAACCTGCTCTATGAAAGGGAATGTTCAACACTGGGACTTCAATTGAAACATCCCAAAGCAGTTTCTGAGAATGCTTCTGTCTAGAGTTTACATGAAGACATTCCCGTTTCCAACGAAATCCTCAAAGCTATCCAAATATCCTCTTGCAGATTTTACAAAAAGTGTGTTTCAGAACTGCTCTATCAAAACAAAGGTTCAACACTGTCAGTTGAGGGCACACATCACAAATAAGTTTCTGAGAATGCTTCTGTCTAGTTTTCATGGGAAGATATTTCCTTTTTCACCATAGGCCTGAAAGCGATCCAAATGTCCACATCCAGATACTACAAAAAGAGTGTTTCCAACCTGCTCTATGAAAGGGAATGCTCAACTCTGTGAATTGAATGCAAACATCACAAAGAAGTTTCTGAGAATGCTGCTGTCTCCTTTTTATATGTAATCCCGTTTCCAACGAAATCCTCAAAGCTAGCCAAATATCCACTTGCAGATTCCACGAAAACAGTGTTTCAAAACTGCTCCTTCAAAACGATGGTTCAATCCTGTTAGTTGAGCAAACACATCACAAATAAGTTTCTGAGAATGCTTCCGTCTAGTTTTTATGGGAAGATATTTCCTTTTTCAACATAGGCCTGAAAGCGCTCCAAATGTCCACTTCCAGATACTACAAAAAGAGTGTTTCAAATCTGCTCTATGAATGGGAATGTTCTACTCTGTGACTTGAATGCAACATCCCAATGAAGTTTCTGAGAATGCTTCTGTCTAGAGTTTATCTGAAGACATACCCGTTTCCAACGAAATCCTCCAAGCTATCCAAATATCCTCTTGCAGATTCTACAAAAAGAGTGTTTCAAAGCTGCTCTTTGCAAAGAAAGGTTCAACTCTGTCAGTAGAGGGCACACATCATGAACAAGTTTCTGAGAATGCTTCTGTCTAGTTTTTATGGGAAGTATATTTCCTTTTTCACCTTAGGCCTGAAAGCACGCCAAATGTTCACTTATAGACACTACAAAAAGAGTGTTTCAAACCTGCTCTGTGAAAGGGAATGTTCAACACTGTGACTTCAATTGAAACATCCCAAAGAAGTTTCTGAGAATGCTTCTGTCTAGAGTTTATCTGAAGACATTCCCGTTTCCCAAGAAATCTTCAAAGCTATCCAAATATCCTCTTGCAGATTCTACAAAAAGAGTGTTTCAAAACTGCTCTTTGCAAAGAAAGGTTCAACTCTGTCAGTAGAGGGCACACATCACAAACAAGTTTCTGAGAATGCTTCTGTCTAGTTTTTATGGGAAGATATTTCCTTTTTCACCTTAGGCCTGAAAGCAATCCATATGTTCACTTACAGACACTACAAAAAGAGTGTTTCAAACCTGCTCTGTGAAAGGGAGTGTTCAATTCTGTGACTTGAATGCAAACATCACAAAGTAGTTTCTGACAATGCTGCTGTCTGCTTTTTATACGTATTCCCGTTTCCAACGAAATCCTCCAAGCTGGCCTAATACCCACTTGCATATTCCACACAAAGAGTGTTTCAAAACTGCTCTCTCAAAAGAAAGGTTCAACTCTGTTAGCTGAGTAGATGCATCATGAAAAAAGTTCTGACATTGCTTCTATCTAGTTTTTATTGGAAGATATCTCCTTTTTCACCGTAGACCTGAAAGCGCTCCAAATGTCCACTTCCAGATAGTACAAAAAGAGTGTTTCAAACCTGCTCTATGAATGGGAATGTTCAACACTGGGACTTCAATTGAAACATCCCAAAGCAGTTTCTGAGAATGCTTCTGTGTAGAGTTTACATGAAGACATTCCCGTTTCCAACGAAATCCTCAAAGCTATCCAAATATCCTCTTGCAGATTTTACAAAAAGTGTGTTTCAGAACTGCTCTATCAAAACAAAGGTTCAACACTGTCAGTTGAGGGCACACATCACAAATAAGTTTCTGAGAATGCTTCTGTCTAGTTTTCATGGGAAGATATTTCCTTTTTCACCATAGGCCTGAAAGCGATCCAAATGTCCACATCCAGATACTACAAAAAGAGTGTTTCAAACCTGCTCTATGAAAGGGAATGTTCAACTCTGTGACTTGAATGCAAACATCACAAAGAAGTTTCTGAGAATGCTGCTGTCTGCTTTTTGTATGTAATCCCGTTTCCAACGAAATCCTCCCAGCTAGCCAAATATCCACTTGCAGATTCCGCAAAAAGAGTGTTTCAAAACTGCTCCTTCAAAACGATGGTTTAGTTCTGTTAGTTGAGTACATACATCACAGATAAGTTTCTGAGAATGCTTCTGTCTAGTTTTTATGGGAGGATATTTCCTTTTTCAACACAAGCCTGAATGCGCTCCGAATGGACACTTCCAGATATGACAAAAGGCGTGTTTCAAACCTGCTCTCTCAAAGGGAATGTTCAACTCTGTGACTTCAATGCAAACATCACAAAGAAGTTTCTGAGAATGCTGCTGTCTGCTTTTTACATGTATTCCCGTTTCCAACGAAATCCTCAAAGCTGCCCTAATATCCACTTGCATATTCCACAAAAAGAGTGTTGCAAAACTGCTCTCTCAAAAGAAAGGTTCAACTCTGTTAGCTGAGTAGATCCATCACATAAAAGTTTCTGACATTGCTTCTATCTAGATTTTCTTGGAAGATATTTCCATTTTCACCGTCGTCCTGAAAGCGCTCCAAATGTCCACTTCCAGGGAATGCAGAAAGAGTGTTTCCAACCTGCTCTATAAAAGGGAATGTTCAACACTGGGACTTCAATCAAAACATCCCAACGAAGTTTCTGAGAATGCTTCTGTCTAGAGTTTATATGAAGCCATTCCCGTTTGCAACGAAATCCTCAAAGCTATCCAAATATCCTCTTGCAGATTTTACAAAAAGAGTGTTTCAAAACTGCTCTATCAAAAGAAAGGTTCAACTCTGTTAGTTGAGGGCACACATCTCAAATAAACTTCTGAGAATGCTTCTGTCTAGTTTTTACGGGAAGATATTTCCTTTTTCACCATACGCCTGAAAGCGCTCCAAATGTCCTCATCCAGATACTACAAAAAGAGTGTTTCCAACCTGCTCTATGAAAGGGAATGCTCAACTCTGTGAATTGAATGCAGACATCACAAAGAAGTTTCTGAGAATGCTGCTGTCTCCTTTTTATATGTAATCCCGTTTCCAACGAAATCCTCAAAGCTAGCCAAATATCCACCTGCAGATTCCACGAAAACAGTGTTTCAAAACTGCTCCTTCAAAACGATGGTTCAATCCTGTTAGTTGAGCAAACACATCACAAATAAGTTTCTGAGAATGCTTCCGTCTAGTTTTTATGGGAAGATATTTCCTTTTTCAACATAGGCCTGAAAGCGCTCCAAATGTCCACTTCCAGATACTACAAAAAGAGTGTTTCAAATCTGCTCTATGAATGGGAATGTTCTACTCTGTGACTTGAATGCAACATCCCAAAGAAGTTTCTGAGAATGCTTCTGTCTAGAGTTTATCTGAAGACATACCCGTTTCCAACGAAATCCTCCAAGCTATCCAAATATCCTCTTGCAGATTCTACAAAAAGTGTGTTTCAAAGCTGCTCTTTGCAAAGAAAGGTTCAACTCTGTCAGTAGAGGGCACACATCACGAACAAGTTTCTGAGAATGCTTCCGTCTAGTTTTTATGGGAAGATATTTCCTTTTTCACGTTAGGCCTGAAAGCACGCCAAATGTTCACTTATAGACACTACAAAAAGAGTGTTCCAAACCTGCTCTGTGAAAGGGAATGTTCAACACTGTGACTTCAATTGAAACATCCCAAAGAAGTTTCTGAGAATGCTTCTGTCTAGAGTTTATCTGAAGACATTCCCGTTTCCCAAGAAATCCTCAAAGCTATCCAAATATCCTCTTGCAGATTCTACAAAAAGAGTGTTTCAAAACTGCTCTTTGCAAAGAAAGGTTCAACTCTGTCAGTAGAGGGCACACATCACAAACAAGTTTCTGAGAATGCTTCTGTCTAGTTTTTATGGGAAGATATTACCTTTTTCACCATAGGCCTGAAAGCAATCCAAATGTTCACTTACAGACACTACAAAAAGAGTGTTTCAAACCTGCTCTGTGAAAGGGAGTGTTCAATTCTGTGACTTGAATGCAAACATCACAAAGTAGTTTCTGACAATGCTGCTGTCTGCTTTTTATACGTATTCCCGTTTCCAACGAAATCCTCCAAGCTGGCCTAATACCCACTTGCATATTCCACAAAGACAGTGTCAAAACTGCTCTCTCAAAAGAAAGGTTCAACTCTGTTTGCTGAGTAGATACATCATGAAAAAAGTTCTGACATTGCTTCTATCTAGTTTTTATTGGAAGATATCTCCTTTTTCACCGTAGACCTGAAAGGGCTCCAAAAGTCCACTTCCAGATAGTACAAAAAGAGGGTTTCAAACCTGCTCTATGAAAGGGAATGTTCAACACTGGGACTTCAATTGAAACATCCCAAAGCAGTTTCTGAGAATGCTTCTGTGTAGAGTTTACATGAAGACATTCCCGTTTCCAACGAAATCCTCAAAGCTATCCAAATATCCTCTTGCAGATTTTACAAAAAGTGTGTTTCAGAACTGCTCTATCAAAACAAAGGTTCAACACTGTCAGTTGAGGGCACACATCACAAATAAGTTTCTGAGAATGCTTCTGTCTAGTTTTCATGGGAAGATATTTCCTTTTTCACCATAGGCCTGAAAGCGATCCAAATGTCCACATCCAGATACTACAAAAAGAGTGTTTCAAACCTGCTCTATGAAAGGGAATGTTCAACTCTGTGACTTGAATGCAAACATCACAAAGAAGTTTCTGAGAATGCTGCTGTCTGCTTTTTGTATGTAATCCCGTTTCCAACGAAATCCTCCCAGCTAGCCAAATATCCACTTGCAGATTCCGCAAAAAGAGTGTTTCAAAACTGCTCCTTCAAAACGATGGTTTAGTTCTGTTAGTTGAGTACATACATCACAGATAAGTTTCTGAGAATGCTTCTGTCTAGTTTTTATGGGAGGATATTTCCTTTTTCAACACAAGCCTGAATGCGCTCCGAATGGACACTTCCAGATATGACAAAAGGCGTGTTTCAAACCTGCTCTCTCAAAGGGAATGTTCAACTCTGTGACTTCAATGCAAACATCACAAAGAAGTTTCTGAGAATGCTGCTGTCTGCTTTTTACATGTATTCCCGTTTCCAACGAAATCCTCAAAGCTGCCCTAATATCCACTTGCATATTCCACAAAAAGTGTGTTGCAAAACTGCTCTCTCAAAAGAAAGGTTCAACTCTGTTAGCTGAGTAGATCCATCACATAAAAGTTTCTGACGTTGCTTCTATCTAGATTTTCTTGGAAGATATTTCCATTTTCACCGTCGTCCTGAAAGCGCTCCAAATGTCCACTTCCAGGGAATGCAGAAAGAGTGTTTCCAACCTGCTCTATAAAAGGGAATGTTCAACACTGGGACTTCAATCGAAACATCCCAACGAAGTTTCTGAGAATGCTTCTGTCTAGAGTTTATATGAAGCCATTCCCGTTTGCAACGAAATCCTCAAAGCTATCCAAATATCCTCTTGCAGATTTTACAAAAAGAGTGTTTCAAAACTGCTCTATCAAAAGAAAGGTTCAACTCTGTTAGTTGAGGGCACACATCACAAATAAATTTCTGAGAATGCTTCTGTCTAGTTTTCATGGGAAGATATTTCCTTTTTCACCATAGGCCTGAAAGCGATCCAAATGTCCACATCCAGATACTACAAAAAGAGTGTTTCCAACCTGCTCTATGAAAGGGAATGCTCAACTCTGTGAATTGAATGCAGACATCACAAAGAAGTTTCTCAGAATGCTGCTGTCTCCTTTTTATATGTAATCCCGTTTCCAACAAAATCCTCAAAGCTAGCCAAATATCCACTTGCAGATTCCACGAAAACAGTGTTTCAAAACTGCTCCTTCAAAACGATGGTTCAATCCTGTTAGTTGAGCAAACACATCACAAATAAGTTTCTGAGAATGCTTCCGTCTAGTTTTTATGGGAAGATATTTCCTTTTTCAACATAGGCCTGAAAGCGCTCCAAATGTCCACTTCCAGATACTACAAAAAGAGTGTTTCAAATCTGATTTATGAATGGGAATGTTCTACTCTGTGACTTGCATGCAACATCCCAAAGAAGTTTCTGAGAATGCTTCTGTCTAGAGTTTATCTGAAGACATACCCGTTTCCAACGAAATCCTCAAAGCTATCCAAATATCCTCTTGCAGATTCTACAAAAAGTGTGTTTCAAAGCTGCTCTTTGCAAAGAAAGGTTCAACTCTGTCAGTAGAGGGCACACATCACGAACAAGTTTCTGAGAATGCTTCTGTCTAGTTTTTATGGGAAGATATTTCCTTTTTCACGTTAGGCCTGAAAGCACGCCAAATGTTCACTTATAGACACTACAAAAAGAGTGTTTGAAACCTGCTCTGTGAAAGGGAATGTTCAACACTGTGACTTCAATTGAAACATCCCAAAGAAGTTTCTGAGAATGCTTCTGTCTAGAGTTTATCTGAAGACATTCCCGTTTCCCAAGAAATCCTCAAAGCTATCCAAATATCCTCTTGCAGATTCTACAAAAAGAGTGTTTCAAAACTGCTCTTTGCAAAGAAAGGTTCAACTCTGTCAGTAGAGGGCACACATCACAAACAAGTTTCTGAGAATGCTTCTGTCTAGTTTTTATGGGAAGATATTTCCTTTTTCACCTTAGGCCTGAAAGCAATCCAAATGTTCACTTACAGACACTACAAAAAGAGTGTTTCAAACCTGCTCTGTGAAAGGGAGTGTTCAGTTCTGTGACTTGAATGCAAACATCACAAAGTAGTTTCTGACAATGCTGCTGTCTGCTTTTTATACGTATTCCCGTTTCCAACGAAATCCTCCAAGCTGGCCTAATACCCACTTGCATATTCCACAAAAAGAGTGTTTCAAAACTGCTCTCTCAAAAGAAAGGTTCAACTCTGTTTGCTGAGTAGATACATCATGAAAAAAGTTCTGACATTGCTTCTATCTAGTTTTTATTGGAAGATATCTCCTTTTTCACCGTAGACCTGAAAGCGCTCCAAATGTCCACTTCCAGATAGTACAAAAAGAGTGCTTCAAACCTGCTCTATGAATGGGAATGTTCAACACTGGGACTTCAATTGAAACATCCCAAAGCAGTTTCTGAGAATGCTTCTGTGTAGAGTTTACATGAAGACATTCCCGTTTCCAACGAAATCCTCAAAGCTATCCAAATATCCTCTTGCAGATTTTACAAAAAGTGTGTTTCAGAACTGCTCTATCAAAACAAAGGTTCAACACTGTCAGTTGAGGGCACACATCACAAATAAGTTTCTGAGAATGCTTCTGTCTAGTTTTCATGGGAAGATATTTCCTTTTTCACCATAGGCCTGAAAGCGATCCAAATGTCCACATCCAGATACTACAAAAAGAGTGTTTCAAACCTGCTCTATGAAAGGGAATGTTCAACTCTGTGACTTGAATGCAAACATCACAAAGAAGTTTCTGAGAATGCTGCTGTCTGCTTTTTGTATGTAATCCCGTTTCCAACGAAATCCTCCCAGCTAGCCAAATATCCACTTGCAGATTCCGCAAAAAGAGTGTTTCAAAACTGCTCCTTCAAAACGATGGTTTAGTTCTGTTAGTTGAGTACATACATCACAGATAAGTTTCTGAGAATGCTTCTGTCTAGTTTTTATGGGAGGATATTTCCTTTTTCAACACAAGCCTGAATGCGCTCCGAATGGACACTTCCAGATATGACAAAAGGCGTGTTTCAAACCTGCTCTCTCAAAGGGAATGTTCAACTCTGTGACTTCAATGCAAACATCACAAAGAAGTTTCTGAGAATGCTGCTGTCTGCTTTTTACATGTATTCCCGTTTCCAACGAAATCCTCAAAGCTGCCCTAATATCCACTTGCATATTCCACAAAAAGAGTGTTGCAAAACTGCTCTCTCAAAAGAAAGGTTCAACTCTGTTAGCTGAGTAGATCCATCACAGAAAAGTTTCTGACGTTGCTTCTATCTAGATTTTCTTGGAAGATATTTCCATTTTCACCGTCGTCCTGAAAGCGCTCCAAATGTCCACTTCCAGGGAATGCAGAAAGAGTGTTTCCAACCTGCTCTATAAAAGGGAATGTTCAACACTGGGACTTCAATCGAAACATCCCAACGAAGTTTCTTGAGAATGCTTCTGTCTAGGAGTTTATATGAAGCCATTCCCGTTTGCAACGAAATCCTCAAAGCTATCCAAATATCCTCTTGCAGATTTTACAAAAAGAGTGTTTCAAAACTGCTCTATCAAAAGAAAGGTTCAACTCTGTTAGTTGAGGGCACACATCACAAATAAATTTCTGAGAATGCTTCTGTCTAGTTTTTACGGGAAGATATTTCCTTTTTCACCATACGCCTGAAAGCGCTCCAAATGTCCTCATCCAGATACTACAAAAAGAGTGTTTCCAACCTGCTCTATGAAAGGGAATGCTCAACTCTGTGACTTGAATGCAGACATCACAAAGAAGTTTCTGAGAATGCTGCTGTCTCCTTTTTATATGTAATCCCGTTTCCAACGAAATCCTCAAAGCTAGCCAAATATCCACTTGCAGATTCCACGAAAACAGTGTTTCAAAACTGCTCCTTCAAAACGATGGTTCAATTCTGTTAGTTGAGCAAACACATCACAAGTAAGTTTCTGAGAATGCTTCCGTCTAGTTTTTATGGGAAGATATTTCCTTTTTCAACATAGGCCTGAAAGCGCTCCAAATGTCCACTTCCAGATACTACAAAAAGAGTGTTTCAAATCTGCTCTATGAATGGGAATGTTCTACTCTGTGACTTGAATGCAACATCCCAAAGAAGTTTCTGAGAATGCTTCTGTCTAGAGTTTATCTGAAGACATACCCGTTTCCAACGAAATCCTCAAAGCTATCCAAATATCCTCTTGCAGATTCTACAAAAAGAGTGTTTCAAAGCTGCTCTTTGCAAAGAAAGGTTCAACTCTGTCAGTAGAGGGCACACATCATGAACAAGTTTCTGAGAATGCTTCTGTCTAGTTTTTATGGGAAGATATTTCCTTTTTCACGTTAGGCCTGAAAGCACGCCAAATGTTCACTTATAGACACTACAAAAAGAGTGTTTCAAACCTGCTCTGTGAAAGGGAATGTTCAACACTGTGACTTCAATTGAAACGTCCCAAAGAAGTTTCTGAGTATGCTTCTGTCTAGAGTTTATCTGAAGACATTCCCGTTTCCCAAGAAATCCTCAAAGCTATCCAAATATCCTCTTGCAGATTCTACAAAAAGAGTGTTTCAAAACTGCTCTTTGCAAAGAAAGGTTCAACTCTGTCAGTAGAGGGCACACATCACAAACAAGTTTCTGAGAATGCTTCTGTCTAGTTTTTATGGGAAGATATTTCCTTTTTCACCTTAGGCCTGAAAGCAATCCATATGTTCACTTACAGACACTACAAAAAGAGTGTTTCAAACCTGCTCTGTGAAAGGGAGTGTTCAATTCTGTGACTTGAATGCAAACATCACAAAGTAGTTTCTGACAATGCTGCTGTCTGCTTTTTATACGTATTCCCGTTTCCAACGAAATCCTCCAAGCTGGCCTAATACCCACTTGCATATTCCACACAAAGAGTGTTTCAAAACTGCTCTCTCAAAAGAAAGGTTCAACTACTGTTAGCTGAGTAGATACATCATGAAAAAAGTTCTGACATTGCTTCTATCTAGTTTTTATTGGAAGATATCTCCTTTTTCACCGTAGACCTGAAAGCGCTCCAAATGTCCACTTCCAGATAGTACAAAAAGTGTGTTTCAAACCTGCTCTATGAATGGGAATGTTCAACACTGGGACTTCAATTGAAACATCCCAAAGCAGTTTCTGAGAATGCTTCTGTGTAGAGTTTACATGAAGACATTCCCGTTTCCAACGAAATCCTCAAAGCTATCCAAATATCCTCTTGCAGATTTTACAAAAAGTGTGTTTCAGAACTGCTCTATCAAAACAAAGGTTCAACACTGTCAGTTGAGGGCACACATCACAAATAAGTTTCTGAGAATGCTTCTGTCTAGTTTTCATGGGAAGATATTTCCTTTTTCACCATAGGCCTGAAAGCGATCCAAATGTCCACATCCAGATACTACAAAAAGAGTGTTTCAAACCTGCTCTATGAAAGGGAATGTTCAACTCTGTGACTTGAATGCAAACATCACAAAGAAGTTTCTGAGAATGCTGCTGTCTGCTTTTTGTATGTAATCCCGTTTCCAACGAAATCCTCCCAGCTAGCCAAATATCCACTTGCAGATTCCGCAAAAAGAGTGTTTCAAAACTGCTCCTTCAAAACGATGGTTTAGTTCTGTTAGTTGAGTACATACATCGCAGATAAGTTTCTGAGAATGCTTCTGTCTAGTTTTTATGGGAGGATATTTCCTTTTTCAACACAAGCCTGAATGCGCTCCGAATGGACACTTCCAGATATGACAAAAGGCGTGTTTCAAACCTGCTCTCTCAAAGGGAATGTTCAACTCTGTGACTTCAATGCAAACATCACAAAGAAGTTTCTGAGAATGCTGCTGTCTGCTTTTTACATGTATTCCCGTTTCCAACGAAATCCTCAAAGCTGCCCTAATATCCACTTGCATATTCCACAAAAAGAGTGTTGCAAAACTGCTCTCTCAAAAGAAAGCTTCAACTCTGTTAGCTGAGTAGATCCATCACATAAAAGTTTCTGACATTGCTTCTATCTAGATTTTCTTGGAAGATATTTCCATTTTCACCGTCGTCCTGAAAGCGCTCCAAATGTCCACTTCCAGGGAATGCAGAAAGAGTGTTTCCAACCTGCTCTATAAAAGGGAATGTTCAACACTGGGACTTCAATCGAAACATCCCAACGAAGTTTCTGAGAATGCTTCTGTCTAGAGTTTATATGAAGCCATTCCCGTTTGCAACGAAATCCTCAAAGCTGTCCAAATATCCTCTTGCAGATTTTACAAAAAGAGTGTTTCAAAACTGCTCTATCAAAAGAAAGGTTCAACTCTGTTAGTTGAGGGCACACATCACAAATAAACTTCTGAGAATGCTTCTGTCTAGTTTTTACGGGAAGATATTTCCTTTTTCACCATAGGCCGGAAAGCGCTCCAAATGTCCTCATCCAGATACTACAAAAAGAGTGTTTCCAACCTGCTCTATGAAAGGGAATGCTCAACTCTGTGAATTGAATGCAGACATCACAAAGAAGTTTCTGGGAATGCTGCTGTCTCCTTTGTATATGTAATCCCGTTTCCAACGAAATCCTCAAAGCTAGCCAAATATCCACTTGCAGATTCCACGAAAACAGTGTTTCAAAACTGCTCCTTCAAAACGATGGTTCAATCCTGTTAGTTGAGCAAACACATCACAAATAAGTTTCTGAGAATGCTTCCGTCTAGTTTTTATGGGAAGATATTTCCTTTTTCAACATAGGCCTGAAAGCGCTCCAAATGTCCACTTCCAGATACTACAAAAAGAGTGTTTCAAATCTGCTCTATGAATGGGAATGTTCTACTCTGTGACTTGAATGCAACATCCCAAAGAAGTTTCTGAGAATGCTTCTGTCTAGAGTTTATCTGAAGACATACCCGTTTCCAACGAAATCCTCAAAGCTATCCAAATATCCTCTTGCAGATTCTACAAACAGAGTGTTTCAAAGCTGCTCTTTGCAAAGAAAGGTTCAACTCTGTCAGTAGAGGGCACACATCACGAACAAGTTTCTGAGAATGCTTCTGTCTAGTTTTTATGGGAAGATATTTCCTTTTTCACGTTACGCCTGAAAGCACGCCAAATGTTCACTTATAGACACTACAAAAAGAGTGTTTCAAACCTGCTCTGTGAAAGGGAATGTTCAACACTGACTTCAATTGAAACATCCCAAAGAAGTTTCTGAGAATGCTTCTGTCTAGAGTTTATCTGAAGACATTCCCGTTTCCCAAGAAATCCTCAAAGCTATCCAAATATCCTCTTGCAGATTCTACAAAAAGAGTGTTTCAAAACTGCTCTTTGCAAAGAAAGTTTCAACTCTGTCAGTAGAGGGCACACATCACAAACAAGTTTCTGAGAATGCTTCTGTCTAGTTTTTATGGGAAGATATTTCCTTTTTCACCTTAGGCCTGAAAGCACGCCAAATGTTCACTTATAGACACTACAAAAAGAGTGTTTCAAACCTGCTCTGTGAAAGGGAGTGTTCAATTCTGTGACTTGAATGCAAACATCACAAAGTAGTTTCTGACAATGCTGCTGTCTGCTTTTTATACGTATTCCCGTTTCCAACGAAATCCTCCAAGCTGGCCTAATACCCACTTGCATATTCCACAAAAAGAGTGTTTCAAAACTGCTCTCTCAAAAGAAAGGTTCAACTCTGTTTGCTGAGTAGATACATCATGAAAAAAGTTCTGACATTGCTTCTATCTAGTTTTTATTGGAAGATATCTCCTTTTTCACCGTAGACCTGAAAGCGCTCCAAATGTCCACTTCCAGATAGTACAAAAAGAGGGTTTCAAACCTGCTCTATGAAAGGGAATGTTCAACACTGGGACTTCAATTGAAACATCCCAAAGCAGTTTCTGAGAATGCTTCTGTCTAGAGTTTACATGAAGACATTCCCGTTTCCAACGAAATCCTCAAAGCTATCCAAATATCCTCTTGCAGATTTTACAAAAAGTGTGTTTCAGAACTGCTCTATCAAAACAAAGGTTCAACACTGTCAGTTGAGGGCACACATCACAAATAAGTTTCTGAGAATGCTTCTGTCTAGTTTTCATGGGAAGATATTTCCTTTTTCACCATAGGCCTGAAAGCGATCCAAATGTCCACATCCAGATACTACAAAAAGAGTGTTTCAAACCTGCTCTATGAAAGGGAATGTTCAACTCTGTGACTTGAATGCAAACATCACAAAGAAGTTTCTGAGAATGCTGCTGTCTGCTTTTTGTATGTAATCCCGTTTCCAACGAAATCCTCCCAGCTAGCCAAATATCCACTTGCAGATTCCGCAAAAAGAGTGTTTCAAAACTGCTCCTTCAAAACGATGGTTTAGTTCTGTTAGTTGAGTACATACATCACAGATAAGTTTCTGAGAATGCTTCTGTCTAGTTTTTATGGGAGGATATTTCCTTTTTCAACACAAGCCTGAATGCGCTCCGAATGGACACTTCCAGATATGACAAAAGGCGTGTTTCAAACCTGCTCTCTCAAAGAGAATGTTCAACTCTGTGACTTCAATGCAAACATCACAAAGAAGTTTCTGAGCATGCTGCTGTCTGCTTTTTACATGTATTCCCGTTTCCAACGAAATCCTCAAAGCTGCCCTAATATCCACTTGCATATTCCACAAAAAGAGTGTTGCAAAACTGCTCTCTCTAAAGAAAGGTTCAACTCTGTTAGCTGAGTAGATCCATCACATAAAAGTTTCTGACGTTGCTTCTATCTAGATTTTATTGGAAGATATTTCCATTTTCACCGTCGTCCTGAAAGCGCTCCAAATGTCCACTTCCAGGGAATGCAGAAAGAGTGTTTCCAACCTGCTCTATAAAAGGGAATGTTCAACACTGGGACTTCAATCGAAACATCCCAACGAAGTTTCTGAGAATGCTTCTGTCTAGAGTTTATATGAAGCCATTCCCGTTTGCAACGAAATCCTCAAAGCTATCCAAATATCCTCTTGCAGATTTTACAAAAAGAGTGTATCAAAACTGCTCTATCAAAAGAAAGGTTCAACTCTGTTAGTTGAGGGCACACATCACAAATAAATTTCTGAGAATGCTTCTGTCTAGTTTTTACGGGAAGATATTTCCTTTTTCACCATACGCCTGAAAGCGCTCCAAATGTCCTCATCCAGATACTACAAAAAGAGTGTTTCCAACCTGCTCTATGAAAGGGAATGCTCAACTCTGTGACTTGAATGCAGACATCACAAAGAAGTTTCTGAGAATGCTGCTGTCTCCTTTTTATATGTAATCCCGTTTCCAACGAAATCCTCAAAGCTAGCCAAATATCCACTTGCAGATTCCACGAAAACAGTGTTTCAAAACTGCTCCTTCAAAACGATGGTTCAATTCTGTTAGTTGAGCAAACACATCACAAGTAAGTTTCTGAGAATGCTTCCGTCTAGTTTTTATGGGAAGATATTTCCTTTTTCAACATAGGCCTGAAAGCGCTCCAAATATCCACTTCCAGATACTACAAAAAGAGTGTTTCAAATCTGCTCTATGAATGGGAATGTTCTACTCTGTGACTTGAATGCAACATCCCAAAGAAGTTTCTGAGAATGCTTCTGTCTAGAGTTTATCTGAAGACATCCCCGTTTCCAACGAAATCCTCAAAGCTATCCAAATATCCTCTTGCAGATTCTACAAAAAGAGTGTTTCAAAGCTGCTCTTTGCAAAGAAAGGTTCAACTCTGTCAGTTAGAGGGCACACATCAGGAACAAGTTTCTGAGAATGCTTCTGTCTAGTTTTTATGGGAAGATATTTCCTTTTTCACGTTAGGCCTGAAAGCACGCCAAATGTTCACTTATAGACACTACAAAAAGAGTGTTTCAAACCTGCTCTGTGAAAGGGAATGTTCAACACTGTGACTTCAATTGAAACATCCCAAAGAAGTTTCTGAGAATGCTTCTGTCTAGAGTTTATCTGAAGACATTCCCGTTTCCCAAGAAATCCTCAAAGCTATCCAAATATCCTCTTGCAGATTCTACAAAAAGAGTGTTTCAAAACTGCTCTTTGCAAAGAAAGGTTCAACTCTGTCAGTAGAGGGCACACATCACAAACAAGTTTCTGAGAATGCTTCTGTCTAGTTTTTATGGGAAGATATTTCCTTTTTCACCTTAGGCCTGAAAGCAATCCAAATGTTCACTTACAGACACTACAAAAAGAGTGTTTCAAACCTGCTCTGTGAAAGGGAGTGTTCAATTCTGTGACTTGAATGCAAACATCACAAAGTAGTTTCTGACAATGCTGCTGTCTGCTTTTTATACGTATTCCCGTTTCCAACGAAATCCTCCAAGCTGGCCTAATACCCACTTGCATATTCCACAAAAAGAGTGTTTCAAAACTGCTCTCTCAAAAGAAAGGTTCAACTCTGTTTGCTGAGTAGATACATCATGAAAAAAGTTCTGACATTGCTTCTATCTAGTTTTTATTGGAAGATATCTCCTTTTTCACCGTAGACCTGAAAGCGCTCCAAATGTCCACTTCCAGATATTACAAAAAGAGTGTTTCAAACCTGCTCTATGAATGGGAATGTTCAACACTGGGACTTCAATTGAAACATCCCAAAGCAGTTTCTGAGAATGCTTCTGTGTAGAGTTTACATGAAGACATTCCCGTTTCCAACGAAATCCTCAAAGCTATCCAAATATCCTCTTGCAGATTTTACAAAAAGTGTGTTTCAGAACTGCTCTATCAAAACAAAGGTTCAACACTGTCAGTTGAGGGCACACATCACAAATAAGTTTCTGAGAATGCTTCTGTCTAGTTTTCATGGGAAGATATTTCCTTTTTCACCATAGGCCTGAAAGCGATCCAAATGTCCACATCCAGATACTACAAAAAGAGTGTTTCAAACCTGCTCTATGAAAGGGAATGTTCAACTCTGTGACTTGAATGCAAACATCACAAAGAAGTTTCTGAGAATGCTGCTGTCTGCTTTTTGTATGTAATCCCGTTTCCAACGAAATCCTCCCAGCTAGCCAAATATCCACTTGCAGATTCCGCAAAAAGAGTGTTTCAAAACTGCTCCTTCAAAACGATGGTTTAGTTCTGTTAGTTGAGTACATACATCACAGATAAGTTTCTGAGAATGCTTCTGTCTAGTTTTTATGGGAGGATATTTCCTTTTTCAACACAAGCCTGAATGCGCTCCGAATGGACACTTCCAGATATGACAAAAGGCGTGTTTCAAACCTGCTCTCTCAAAGGGAATGTTCAACTCTGTGACTTCAATGCAAACATCACAAAGAAGTTTCTGAGAATGCTGCTGTCTGCTTTTTACATGTATTCCCGTTTCCAACGAAATCCTCAAAGCTGCCCTAATATCCACTTGCATATTCCACAAAAAGAGTGTTGCAAAACTGCTCTCTCAAAAGAAAGGTTCAACTCTGTTAGCTGAGTAGATCCATCACATAAAAGTTTCTGACATTGCTTCTATCCAGATTTTATTGGAAGATATTTCCATTTTCACCGTCGTCCTGAAAGCGCTCCAAATGTCCACTTCCAGGGAATGCAGAAAGACTGTTTCCAACCTGCTCTATAAAAGGGAATGTTCAACACTGGGACTTCAATCGAAACATCCCAACGAAGTTTCTGAGAATGCTTCTGTCTAGAGTTTATATGAAGCCATTCCCATTTGCAATGAAATCCTCAAAGCTATCCAAATATCCTCTTGCAGATTTTACAAAAAGAGTGTTTCAAAACTGCTCTATCAAAAGAAAGGTTCAACTCTGTTAGTTGAGGGCACACATCACAAATAAATTTCTGAGAATGCTTCTGTCTAGTTTTTACGGGAAGATATTTCCTTTTTCACCATACGCCTGAAAGCGCTCCAAATGTCCTCATCCAGATACTACAAAAAGAGTGTTTCCAACCTGCTCTATGAAAGGGAATGCTCAACTCTGTGAATTGAATGCAGACATCACAAAGAAGTTTCTGAGAATGCTGCTGTCTCCTTTTTATATGTAATCCCGTTTCCAACGAAATCCTCAAAGCTAGCCAAATATCCACTTGCAGATTCCACGAAAACAGTGTTTCAAAACTGCTCCTTCAAAACGATGGTTCAATTCTGTTAGTTGAGCAAACACATCACAAGTAAGTTTCTGAGAATGCTTCCGTCTAGTTTTTATGGGAAGATATTTCCTTTTTCAACATAGGCCTGAAAGCGCTCCAAATGTCCACTTCCAGATACTACAAAAAGAGTGTTTCAAATCTGCTCTATGAATGGGAATGTTCTACTCTGTGACTTGAATGCAACATCCCAAAGAAGTTTCTGAGAATGCTTCTGTCTAGAGTTTATCTGAAGACATACCCGTTTCCAACGAAATCCTCCAAGCTATCCAAATATCCTCTGGCAGATTCTACAAAAAGAGTGTTTCAAAGCTGCTCTTTGCAAAGAAAGGTTCAAGTCTGTCAGTAGAGGGCACACATCACGAACAAGTTTCTGAGAATGCTTCTGTCTAGTTTTTATGGGAAGATATTTCCTTTTTCACGTTGCGCCTGAAAGCACGCCAAATGTTCACTTATAGACACTACAAAAAGAGTGTTTCAAACCTGCTCTGTGAAAGGGAATGTTCAACACTGTGACTTCAATTGAAACATCCCAAAGAAGTTTCTGAGAATGCTTCTGTCTAGAGTTTATCTGAAGACATTCCCGTTTCCCAAGAAATCCTCAAAGCTATCCAAATATCCTCTTGCAGATTCTACAAAAAGAGTGTTTCAAAACTGCTCTTTGCAAAGAAAGGTTCAACTCTGTCAGTAGAGGGCACACATCACAAACAAGTTTCTGAGAATGCTTCTGTCTAGTTTTTATGGGAAGATATTTCCTTTTTCACCTTAGGCCTGAAAGCAATCCATATGTTCACTTACAGACACTACAAAAAGAGTGTTTCAAACCTGCTCTGTGAAAGGGAGTGTTCAATTCTGTGACTTGAATGCAAACATCACAAAGTAGTTTCTGACAATGCTGCTGTCTGCTTTTTATACGTATTCCCGTTTCCAACGAAATCCTCCAAGCTGGCCTAATACCCACTTGCATATTCCACAAAAAGAGTGTTTCAAAACTGCTCTCTCAAAAGAAAGGTTCAACTCTGTTAGCTGAGTAGATACATCATGAAAAAAGTTCTGACATTGCTTCTATCTAGTTTTTATTGGAAGATATCTCCTTTTTCACCGTAGACCTGAAAGCGCTCCAAATGTCCACTTCCAGATAGTACAAAAAGAGTGTTTCAAACCTGCTCTATGAATGGGAATGTTCAACACTGGGACTTCAATTGAAACATCCCAAAGCAGTTTCTGAGAATGCTTCTGTCTAGAGTTTACATGAAGACATTCCCGTTTCCAACGAAATCCTCAAAGCTATCCAAATATCCTCTTGCAGATTTTACAAAAAGTGTGTTTCAAAACTGCTCTATCAAAACAAAGGTTCAACACTGTCAGTTGAGGGCACACATCACAAATAAGTTTGCTGAGAATGCTTTCTGTCTAGTTTTCATGGGAAGATATTTCCTTTTTCACCATAGGCCTGAAAGCGATCCAAATGTCCACATCCAGATACTACAAAAAGAGTGTTTCAAACCTGCTCTATGAAAGGGAATGTTCAACTCTGTGACTTGAATGCAAACATCACAAAGAAGTTTCTGAGAATGCTGCTGTCTGCTTTTTGTATGTAATCCCGTTTCCAACGAAATCCTCCCAGCTAGCCAAATATCCACTTGCAGATTCCGCAAAAAGAGTGTTTCAAAACTGCTCCTTCAAAACGATGGTTTAGTTCTGTTAGTTGAGTACATACATCACAGATAAGTTTCTGAGAATGCTTCTGTCTAGTTTTTATGGGAGGATATTTCCTTTTTCAACACAAGCCTGAATGCGCTCCGAATGGACACTTCCAGATATGACAAAAGGCGTGTTTCAAACCTGCTCTTTCAAAGGGAATGTTCAACTCTGTGACTTCAATGCAAACATCACAAAGAAGTTTCTGAGAATGCTGCTGTCTGCTTTTTACATGTATTCCCGTTTCCAACGAAATCCTCAAAGCTGCCCTAATATCCACTTGCATATTCCACAAAAAGAGTGTTGCAAAACTGCTCTCTCAAAAGAAAGGTTCAACTCTGTTAGCTGAGTAGATCCATCACATAAAAGTTTCTGACGTTGCTTCTATCTAGATTTTCTTGGAAGATATTTCCATTTTCACCGTCGTCCTGAAAGCGCTCCAAATGTCCACTTCCAGGGAATGCAGAAAGAGTGTTTCCAACCTGCTCTATAAAAGGGAATGTTCAACACTGGGACTTCAATCGAAACATCCCAACGAAGTTTCTGAGAATGCTTCTGTCTAGAGTTTATATGAAGCCATTCCCGTTTGCAACGAAATCCTCAAAGCTATCCAAATATCCTCTTGCAGATTTTACAAAAAGAGTGTTTCAAAACTGCTCTATCAAAAGAAAGGTTCAACTCTGTTAGTTGAGGGCACACATCACAAATAAATTTCTGAGAATGCTTCTGTCTAGTTTTTACGGGAAGATATTTCCTTTTTCACCATACGCCTGAAAGCGCTCCAAATGTCCTCATCCAGATACTACAAAAAGAGTGTTTCCAACCTGCTCTATGAAAGGGAATGCTCAACTCTGTGACTTGAATGCAGACATCACAAAGAAGTTTCTGAGAATGCTGCTGTCTCCTTTTTATATGTAATCCCGTTTCCAACGAAATCCTCAAAGCTAGCCAAATATCCACTTGCAGATTCCACGAAAACAGTGTTTCAAAACTGCTCCTTCAAAACGATGGTTCAATTCTGTTAGTTGAGCAAACACATCACAAGTAAGTTTCTGAGAATGCTTCCGTCTAGTTTTTATGGGAAGATATATCCTTTTTCAACATAGGCCTGAAAGCGCTCCAAATGTCCACTTCCAGATACTACAAAAAGAGTGTTTCAAATCTGCTCTATGAATGGGAATGTTCTACTCTGTGACTTGAATGCAACATCCCAAAGAAGTTTCTGAGAATGCTTCTGTCTAGAGTTTATCTGAAGACATCCCCGTTTCCAACGAAATCCTCAAAGCTATCCAAATATCCTCTTGCAGATTCTACAAAAAGAGTGTTTCAAAGCTGCTCTTTGCAAAGAAAGGTTCAACTCTGTCAGTAGAGGGCACACATCACGAACAAGTTTCTGAGAATGCTTCTGTCTGGTTTTTATGGGAAGATATTTCCTTTTTCACGTTACGCCTGAAAGCACGCCAAATGTTCACTTATAGACACTACAAAAAGAGTGTTTCAAACCTGCTCTGTGAAAGGGAATGTTCAACACTGTGACTTCAATTGAAACATCCCAAAGAAGTTTCTGAGAATGCTTCTGTCTAGAGTTTATCTGAAGACATTCCCGTTTCCCAAGAAATCCTCAAAGCTATCCAAATATCCTCTTGCAGATTCTACAAAAGAGTGTTTCAAAACTGCTCTTTGCAAAGAAAGGTTCAACTCTGTCAGTAGAGGGCACACATCACAAACAAGTTTCTGAGAATGCTTCTGTCTAGTTTTTATGGGAAGATATTTCCTTTTTCACCTTAGGCCTGAAAGCAATCCAAATGTTCACTTACAGACACTACAAAAAGAGTGTTTCAAACCTGCTCTGTGAAAGGGAGTGTTCAATTCTGTGACTTGAATGCAAACATCACAAAGTAGTTTCTGACAATGCTGCTGTCTGCTTTTTATACGTATTCCCGTTTCCAACGAAATCCTCCAAGCTGGCCTAATACCCACTTGCATATTCCACAAAAAGAGTGTTTCAAAACTGCTCTCTCAAAAGAAAGGTTCAACTCTGTTTGCTGAGTAGATACATCATGAAAAAAGTTCTGACATTGCTTCTATCTAGTTTTTATTGGAAGATATCTCCTTTTACACCGTAGACCTGAAAGCGCTCCAAATGTCCACTTCCAGATAGTACAAAAAGAGTGTTTCAAACCTGCTCTATGAAAGGGAATGTTCAACACTGGGACTTCAATTGAAACATCCCAAAGCAGTTTCTGAGAATGCTTCTGTCTAGAGTTTACATGAAGACATTCCCGTTTCCAACGAAATCCTCAAAGCTATCCAAATATCCTCTTGCAGATTTTACAAAAGGTGTGTTTCAGAACTGCTCTATCAAAACAAAGGTTCAACACTGTCAGTTGAGGGCACACATCACAAATAAGTTTCTGAGAATGCTTCTGTCTAGTTTTCATGGGAAGATATTTCCTTTTTCACCATAGGCCTGAAAGCGATCCAAATGTCCACATCCAGATACTACAAAAAGAGTGTTTCAAACCTGCTCTATGAAAGGGAATGCTCAACTCTGTGAATTGAATGCAAACATCACAAGGAAGTTTCTGAGAATGCTGCTGTCTCCTTTTTATATGTAATCCCGTTTCCAACGAAATCCTCAAAGCTAGCCAAATATCCACTTGCAGATTCCACGAAAACAGTGTTTCAAAACTGCTCCTTCAAAACGATGGTTCAATCCTGTTAGTTGAGCAAACACATCACAAATAAGTTTCTGAGAATGCTTCCGTCTAGTTTTTATGGGAAGATATTTCCTTTTTCAACATAGGCCTGAAAGCGCTCCAAATGTCCACTTCCAGATACTACAAAAAGAGTGTTTCAAATCTGCTCTATGAATGGGAATGTTCTACTCTGTGACTTGAATGCAACATCCCAAAGAAGTTTCTGAGAATGCTTCTGTCTAGAGTTTATCTGAAGACATACCCGTTTCCAACGAAATCCTCAAAGCTATCCAAATATCCTCTTGCAGATTCTACAAAAAGTGTGTTTCAAAGCTGCTCTTTGCAAAGAAAGGTTCAACTCTGTCAGTAGAGGGCACACATCACGAACAAGTTTCTGAGAATGCTTCTGTCTAGTTTTTATGGGAAGATATTTCCTTTTTCACGTTAGGCCTGAAAGCACGCCAAATGTTCACTTATAGACACTACAAAAAGAGTGTTTCAAACCTGCTCTGTGAAAGGGAATGTTCAACACTGTGACTTCAATTGAAACATCCCAAAGAAGTTTCTGAGAATGCTTCTGTCTAGAGTTTATCTGAAGACATTCCCGTTTCCCAAGAAATCCTCAAAGCTATCCAAATATCCTCTTGCAGATTCTACAAAAAGAGTGTTTCAAAACTGCTCTTTGCAAAGAAAGGTTCAACCCTGTCAGTAGAGGGCACACATCACAAACAAGTTTCTGAGAATGCTTCTGTCTAGTTTTTATGGGAAGATATTTCCTTTTTCACCTTAGGCCTGAAAGCAATCCAAATGTTCACTTACAGACACTACAAAAAGAGTGTTTCAAACCTGCTCTGTGAAAGGGAGTGTTCAATTCTGTGACTTGAATGCAAACATCACAAAGTAGTTTCTGACAATGCTGCTGTCTGCTTTTTATACGTATTCCCGTTTCCAACGAAATCCTCCAAGCTGGCCTAATACCCACTTGCATATTCCACAAAAAGAGTGTTTCAAAACTGCTCTCTCAAAAGAAAGGTTCAACTCTGTTTGCTGAGTAGATACATCATGAAAAAAAGTTCTGACATTGCTTCTATCTAGTTTTTATTGGAAGATATCTCCTTTTTCACCGTAGACCTGAAAGCGCTCCAAATGTCCACTTCCACATACTACAAAAAGAGTGTTTCAAACCTGCTCTATGAAAGGGAATGTTCAACACTGGGACTTCAATTGAAACATCCCAAAGCAGTTTCTGAGAATGCTTCTGTCTAGAGTTTACATGAAGACATTCCCGTTTCCAACGAAATCCTCAAAGCTATCCAAATATCCTCTTGCAGATTTTACAAAAAGTGTGTTTCAGAACTGCTCTATCAAAACAAAGGTTCAACACTGTCAGTTGAGGGCACACATCACAAATAAGTTTCTGAGAATGCTGCTGTCTGCTTTTTGTATGTAATCCCGTTTCCAACGAAATCCTCCCAGCTAGCCAAATATCCACTTGCAGATTCCGCAAAAAGAGTGTTTCAAAACTGCTCCTTCAAAACGATGGTTTAGTTCTGTTACTTGAGTACATACATCACAAATAAGTTTCTGAGAATGCTTCTGTCTAGTTTTTATGGGAGGATATTTCCTTTTTCAACACAAGCCTGAATGCGCTCCGAATGGACACTTCCAGATATGACAAAAGGCGTGTTTCAAACCTGCTCTCTCAAAGGGAATGTTCAACTCTGTGACTTCAATGCAAACATCACAAAGAAGTTTCTGAGAATGCTGCTGTCTGCTTTTTACATGTATTCCCGTTTCCAACGAAATCCTCAAAGCTGCCCTAATATCCACTTGCATATTCCACAAAAAGAGTGTTGCAAAACTGCTCTCTCAAAAGAAAGGTTCAACTCTGTTAGCTGAGTAGATCCATCACAGAAAAGTTTCTGACGTTGCTTCTATCTAGATTTTCTTGGAAGATATTTCCATTTTCACCGTCGTCCTGAAAGCGCTCCAAATGTCCACTTCCAGGGAATGCAGAAAGAGTGTTTCCAACCTGCTCTATAAAAGGGAATGTTCAACACTGGGACTTCAATCGAAACATCCCAACGAAGTTTCTGAGAATGCTTCTGTCTAGAGTTTATATGAAGCCATTCCCGTTTGCAACGAAATCCTCAAAACTATCCAAATATCCTCTTGCAGATTTTACAAAAAGAGTGTTTCAAAACTGCTCTATCAAAAGAAAGGTTCAACTCTGTTAGTTGAGGGCACACATCACAAATAAACTTCTGAGAATGCTTCTGTCTAGTTTTTACGGGAAGATATTTCCTTTTTCACCATACGCCTGAAAGCGCTCCAAATGTCCTCATCCAGATACTACAAAAAGAGTGTTTCCAACCTGCTCTATGAAAGGGAATGCTCAACTCTGTGAATTGAATGCAGACATCACAAAGAAGTTTCTGAGAATGCTGCTGTCTCCTTTTTATATGTAATCCCGTTTCCAACGAAATCCTCAAAGCTAGCCAAATATCCACTTGCAGATTCCACGAAAACAGTGTTTCAAAACTGCTCCTTCAAAACGATGGTTCAATCCTGTTAGTTGAGCAAACACATCACAAATAAGTTTCTGAGAATGCTTCCGTCTAGTTTTTATGGGAAGATATTTCCTTTTTCAACATAGGCCTGAAAGCGCTCCAAATGTCCACTTCCAGATACTACAAAAAGAGTGTTTCAAATCTGCTCTATGAATGGGAATGTTCTACTCTGTGACTTGAATGCAACATCCCAAAGAAGTTTCTGAGAATGCTTCTGTCTAGAGTTTATCTGAAGACATACCCGTTTCCAACGAAATCCTCCAAGCTATCCAAATATCCTCTTGCAGATTCTACAAAAAGTGTGTTTCAAAGCTGCTCTTTGCAAAGAAAGGTTCAACTCTGTCAGTAGAGGGCACACATCACGAACAAGTTTCTGAGAATGCTTCTGTCTAGTTTTTATGGGAAGATATTTCCTTTTTCACGTTAGGCCTGAAAGCACGCCAAATGTTCACTTATAGACACTACAAAAAGAGTGTTTCAAACCTGCTCTGTGAAAGGGAATGTTCAACACTGTGACTTCAATTGAAACATCCCAAAGAAGTTTCTGAGAATGCTTCTGTCTAGAGTTTATCTGAAGACATTCCCGTTTCCCAAGAAATCCTCAAAGCTATCCAAATATCCTCTTGCAGATTCTACAAAAAGAGTGTTTCAAAACTGCTCTTTGCAAAGAAAGGTTCAACTCTGTCAGTAGAGGGCACACATCACAAACAAGTTTCTGAGAATGCTTCTGTCTAGTTTTTATGGGAAGATATTTCCTTTTTCACCTTAGGCCTGAAAGCAATCCAAATGTTCACTTACAGACACTACAAAAAGAGTGTTTCAAACCTGCTCTGTGAAAGGGAGTGTTCAATTCTGTGACTTGAATGCAAACATCACAAAGTAGTTTCTGACAATGCTGCTGTCTGCTTTTTATACGTATTCCCGTTTCCAACGAAATCCTCCAAGCTGGCCTAATACCCACTTGCATATTCCACAAAAAGAGTGTTTCAAAACTGCTCTCTCAAAAGAAAGGTTCAACTCTGTTTGCTGAGTAGATACATCATGAAAAAAGTTCTGACATTGCTTCTATCTAGTTTTTATTGGAAGATATCTCCTTTTTCACCGTAGACCTGAAAGCGCTCCAAATGTCCACTTCCAGATAGTACAAAAAGAGTGTTTCAAACCTGCTCTATGAAAGGGAATGTTCAACACTGGGACTTCAATTGAAACATCCCAAAGCAGTTTCTGAGAATGCTTCTGTCCAGAGTTTACATGAAGACATTCCCGTTTCCAACGAAATCCTCAAAGCTATCCAAATATCCTCTTGCAGATTTTACAAAAAGTGTGTTTCAGAACTGCTCTATCAAAACAAAGGTTCAACACTGTCAGTTGAGGGCACACATCACAAATAAGTTTCTGAGAATGCTTCTGTCTAGTTTTCATGGGAAGATATTTCCTTTTTCACCATAGGCCTGAAAGCGATCCAAATGTCCACATCCAGATACTACAAAAAGAGTGTTTCAAACCTGCTCTATGAAAGGGAATGTTCAACTCTGTGACTTGAATGCAAACATCACAAAGAAGTTTCTGAGAATGCTGCTGTCTCCTTTTTATATGTAATCCCGTTTCCAACGAAATCCTCCCAGCTAGCCAAATATCCACTTGCAGATTCCACGAAAACAGTGTTTCAAAACTGCTCCTTCAAAACGATGGTTCAATCCTGTTAGTTGAGCAAACACATCACAAATAAGTTTCTGAGAATGCTTCCGTCTAGTTTTTATGGGAAGATATTTCCTTTTTCAACATAGGCCTGAAAGCGCTCCAAATGTCCACTTCCAGATACTACAAAAAGAGTGTTTCAAATCTGCTCTATGAATGGGAATGTTCTACTCTGTGACTTGCATGCAACATCCCAAAGAAGTTTCTGAGAATGCTTCTGTCTAGAGTTTATCTGAAGACATACCCGTTTCCAACGAAATCCTCAAAGCTATCCAAATATCCTCTTGCAGATTCTACAAAAAGAGTGTTTCAAAGCTGCTCTTTGCAAAGAAAGGTTCAACTCTGTCAGTAGAGGGCACACATCACGAACAAGTTTCTGAGAATGCTTCTGTCTAGTTTTTATGGGAAGATATTTCCTTTTTCACGTTAGGCCTGAAAGCACGCCAAATGTTCACTTATAGACACTACAAAAAGAGTGTTTCAAACCTGCTCTGTGAAAGGGAATGTTCAACACTGTGACTTCAATTGAAACATCCCAAAGAAGTTTCTGAGAATGCTTCTGTCTAGAGTTTATCTGAAGACATTCCCGTTTCCCAAGAAATCCTCAAAGCTATCCAAATATCCTCTTGCAGATTCTACAAAAAGAGTGTTTCAAAACTGCTCTTTGCAAAGAAAGGTTCAACTCTGTCAGTAGAGGGCACACATCACAAACAAGTTTCTGAGAATGCTTCTGTCTAGTTTTTATGGGAAGATATTTCCTTTTTCACCTTAGGCCTGAAAGCAATCCAAATGTTCACTTACAGACACTACAAAAAGAGTGTTTCAAAACTGCTCTGTGAAAGGGAGTGTTCAATTCTGTGACTTGAATGCAAACATCACAAAGTAGTTTCTGACAATGCTGCTGTCTGCTTTTTATACGTATTCCCGTTTCCAACGAAATCCTCCAAGCTGGCCTAATACCCACTTGCATATTCCACAAAAAGAGTGTTTCAAAACTGCTCTCTCAAAAGAAAGGTTCAACTCTGTTTGCTGAGTAGATACATCATGAAAAAAGTTCTGACATTGCTTCTATCTAGTTTTTATTGGAAGATATCTCCTTTTTCACCGTAGACCTGAAAGCGCTCCAAATGTCCACTTCCAGATAGTACAAAAAGAGTGTTTCAAACCTGCTCTATGAAAGGGAATGTTCAACACTGGGACTTCAATTTAAACATCCCAAAGCAGTTTCTGAGAATGCTTCTGTGTAGAGTTTACATGAAGACATTCCCGTTTCCAACGAAATCCTCAAAGCTATCCAAATATCCTCTTGCAGATTTTATAAAAAGTGTGTTTCAGAACTGCTCTATCAAAACAAAGGTTCAACACTGTCAGTTGAGGGCACACATCACAAATAAGTTTCTGAGAATGCTGCTGTCTGCTTTTTGTATGTAATCCCGTTTCCAACGAAATCCTCCCAGCTAGCCAAATATCCACTTGCAGATTCCGCAAAAAGAGTGTTTCAAAACTGCTCCTTCAAAACGATGGTTTAGTTCTGTTAGTTGAGTACATACATCACAAATAAGTTTCTGAGAATGCTTCTGTCTAGTTTTTATGGGAGGATATTTCCTTTTTCAACACAAGCCTGAATGCGCTCCGAATGGACACTTCCAGATATGACAAAAGGCGTGTTTCAAACCTGCTCTCTCAAAGGGAATGTTCAACTCTGTGACTTCAATGCAAACATCACAAAGAAGTTTCTGAGAATGCTGCTGTCTGCTTTTTACATGTATTCCCGTTTCCAACGAAATCCTCAAAGCTGCCCTAATATCCACTTGCATATTCCACAAAAAGAGTGTTGCAAAACTGCTCTCTCAAAAGAAAGGTTCAACTCTGTTAGCTGAGTAGATCCATCACATAAAAGTTTCTGACATTGCTTCTATCTAGATTTTATTGGAAGATATTTCCATTTTCACCGTCGTCCTGAAAGCGCTCCAAATGTCCACTTCCAGGGAATGCAAAAAGAGTGTTTCCAACCTGCTCTATAAAAGGGAATGTTCAACACTGGGACTTCAATCGAAACATCCCAACGAAGTTTCTGAGAATGCTTCTGTCTAGAGTTTATATGAAGCCATTCCCGTTTGCAATGAAATCCTCAAAGCTATCCAAATATCCTCTTGCAGATTTTACAAAAAGAGTGTTTCAAAACTGCTCTATCAAAAGAAAGGTTCAACTCTGTTAGTTGAGGGCACACATCACAAATAAATTTCTGAGAATGCTTCTGTCTAGTTTTTACGGGAAGATATTTCCTTTTTCACCATAGGCCTGAAAGCGCTCCAAATGTCCTCATCCAGATACTACAAAAAGAGTGTTTCCAACCTGCTCTATGAAAGGGAATGCTCAACTCTGTGAATTGAATGCAGACATCACAAAGAAGTTTCTGAGAATGCTGCTGTCTCCTTTTTATATGTAATCCCGTTTCCAACGAAATCCTCAAAGCTAGCCAAATATCCACTTGCAGATTCCACGAAAACAGTGTTTCAAAACTGCTCCTTCAAAACGATGGTTCAATTCTGTTAGTTGAGCAAACACATCACAAGTAAGTTTCTGAGAATGCTTCCGTCTAGTTTTTATGGGAAGATATATCCTTTTTCAACATAGGCCTGAAAGCGCTCCAAATGTCCACTTCCAGATACTACAAAAAGAGTGTTTCAAATCTGCTCTATGAATGGGAATGTTCTACTCTGTGACTTGAATGCAACATCCCAAAGAAGTTTCTGAGAATGCTTCTGTCTAGAGTTTATCTGAAGACATCCCCGTTTCCAACGAAATCCTCAAAGCTATCCAAATATCCTCTTGCAGATTCTACAAAAAGAGTGTTTCAAAGCTGCTCTTTGCAAAGAAAGGTTCAACTCTGTCAGTAGAGGGCACACATCACGAACAAGTTTCTGAGAATGCTTCTGTCTAGTTTTTATGGGAAGATATTTCCTTTTTCACGTTAGGCCTGAAAGCACGCCAAATGTTCACTTATAGACACTACAAAAAGAGTGTTTCAAACCTGCTCTGTGAAAGGGAATGTTCAACACTGTGACTTCAATTGAAACATCCCAAAGAAGTTTCTGAGAATGCTTCTGTCTAGAGTTTATCTGAAGACATTCCCGTTTCCCAAGAAATCCTCAAAGCTATCCAAATATCCTCTTGCAGATTCTACAAAAAGAGTGTTTCAAAACTGCTCTTTGCAAAGAAAGGTTCAACTCTGTCAGTAGAGGGCACACATCACAAACAAGTTTCTGAGAATGCTTCTGTCTAGTTTTTATGGGAAGATATTTCCTTTTTCACCTTAGGCCTGAAAGCAATCCAAATGTTCACTTACAGACACTACAAAAAGAGTGTTTCAAACCTGCTCTGTGAAAGGGAGTGTTCAATTCTGTGACTTGAATGCAAACATCACAAAGTAGTTTCTGACAATGCTGCTGTCTGCTTTTTATACGTATTCCCGTTTCCAACGAAATCCTCCAAGCTGGCCTAATACCCACTTGCATATTCCACACAAAGAGTGTTTCAAAACTGCTCTCTCAAAAGAAAGGTTCAACTACTGTTAGCTGAGTAGATACATCATGAAAAAAGTTCTGACATTGCTTCTGTCTAGTTTTTATTGGAAGATATCTCCTTTTTCACCGTAGACCTGAAAGCGCTCCAAATGTCCACTTCCAGATACTACAAAAAGAGTGTTTCAAACCTGCTCTATGAAAAGGAATGTTCAACACTGGGACTTCAATTGAAGCATCACAAAGCAGTTTCTGAGAATGCTTCTGTCTAGAGTTTACATGAAGACATTCCCGTTTCCAACGAAATCCTCAAAGCTATCCAAATATCCTCTTGCAGATTTTACAAAAAGTGTGTTTCAGAACTGCTCTATCAAAACAAAGGTTCAACACTGTCAGTTGAGGGCACACATCACAAATAAGTTTCTGAGAATGCTTCTGTCTAGTTTTCATGGGAAGATATTTCCTTTTTCACCATAGGCCTGAAAGCGATCCAAATGTCCACATCCAGATACTACAAAAAGAGTGTTTCAAACCTGCTCTATGAAAGGGAATGTTCAACTCTGTGACTTGAATGCAAACATCACAAAGAAGTTTCTGAGAATGCTGCTGTCTGCTTTTTGTATGTAATCCCGTTTCCAACGAAATCCTCCCAGCTAGCCAAATATCCACTTGCAGATTCCGCAAAAAGAGTGTTTCAAAACTGCTCCTTCAAAACGATGGTTTAGTTCTGTTAGTTGAGTACATACATCACAGATAAGTTTCTGAGAATGCTTCTGTCTAGTTTTTATGGGAGGATATTTCCTTTTTCAACACAAGCCTGAATGCGCTCCGAATGGACACTTCCAGATATGACAAAAGGCGTGTTTCAAACCTGCTCTCTCAAAGGGAATGTTCAACTCTGTGACTTCAATGCAAACATCACAAAGAAGTTTCTGAGAATGCTGCTGTCTCCTTTTTACATGTATTCCCGTTTCCAACGAAATCCTCAAAGCTGCCCTAATATCCACTTGCATATTCCACAAAAAGAGTGTTGCAAAACTGCTCTCTCAAAAGAAAGGTTCAACTCTGTTAGCTGAGTAGATCCATCACATAAAAGTTTCTGACGTTGCTTCTATCTAGATTTTCTTGGAAGATATTTCCATTTTCATCGTCGTCCTGAAAGCGCTCCAAATGTCCACTTCCAGGGAATGCAGAAAGAGTGTTTCCAACCTGCTCTATAAAAGGGAATGTTCAACACTGGGACTTCAATCGAAACATCCCAACGAAGTTTCTGAGAATGCTTCTGCCTAGAGTTTATGTGAAGCCATTCTCGTTTGCAACGAAATCCTCAAAGCTATCCAAATATCCTCTTGCAGATTTTACAAAAAGAGTGTTTCAAAACTGCTCTATCAAAAGAAAGGTTCAACTCTGTTAGTTGAGGGCACACATCACAAATAAACTTCTGAGAATGCTTCTGTCTAGTTTTTACGGGAAGATATTTCCTTTTTCACCATAGGCCTGAAAGCGCTCCAAATGTCCTCATCCAGATACTACAAAAAGAGTGTTTCCAATCTGCTCTATGAAAGGGAATGCTCAACTCTGTGAATTGAATGCAGACATCACAAAGAAGTTTCTGAGAATGCTGCTGTCTCCTTTTTATATGTAATCCCGTTTCCAACGAAATCCTCAAAGCTAGCCAAATATCCACTTGCAGATTCCACGAAAACAGTGTTTCAAAACTGCTCCTTCAAAACGATGGTTCAATCCTGTTAGTTGAGCAAACACATCACAAATAAGTTTCTGAGAATGCTTCCGTCTAGTTTTTATGGGAAGATATTTCCTTTTTCAACATAGGCCTGAAAGCGCTCCAAATGTCCACTTCCAGATACTACAAAAAGAGTGTTTCAAATCTGCTCTATGAATGGGAATGTTCTACTCTGTGACTTGAATGCAACATCCCAAAGAAGTTTCTGAGAATGCTTCTGTCTAGAGTTTATCTGAAGACATACCCGTTTCCAACGAAATCCTCCAAGCTATCCAAATATCCTCTTGCAGATTCTACAAAAAGAGTGTTTCAAAGCTGCTCTTTGCAAAGAAAGGTTCAACTCTGTCAGTAGAGGGCACACATCATGAACAAGTTTCTGAGAATGCTTCTGTCTAGTTTTTATGGGAAGATATTTCCTTTTTCACGTTAGGCCTGAAAGCACGCCAAATGTTCACTTATAGACACTACAAAAAGAGTGTTTCAAACCTGCTCTGTGAAAGGGAATGTTCAACACTGTGACTTCAATTGAAACATCCCAAAGAAGTTTCTGAGAATGCTTCTGTCTAGAGTTTATCTGAAGACATACCCGTTTCCAACGAAATCCTCAAAGCTATCCACATATCCTCTTGCAGATTCTACAAAAAGAGTGTTTCAAAGCTGCTCTTTGCAAAGAAAGGTTCAACTCTGTCAGTAGAGGGCACACATCACGAACAAGTTTCTGAGAATGCTTTCTGTCTAGTTTTTATGGGAAGATATTTCCTTTTTCACGTTACGCCTGAAAGCACGCCAAATGTTTACTTATAGACACTACAAAAAGAGTGTTTCAAACCTGCTCTGTGAAAGGGAATGTTCAACACTGTGACTTCAATTGAAACATCCCAAAGAAGTTTCTGAGAATGCTTCTGTCTAGAGTTTATCTGAAGACATTCCCGTTTCCCAAGAAATCCTCAAAGCTATCCAAATATCCTCTTGCAGATTCTACAAAAAGAGTGTTTCAAAACTGCTCTTTGCAAAGAAAGGTTCAACTCTGTCAGTAGAGGGCACACATCACAAACAAGTTTCTGAGAATGCTTCTGTCTAGTTTTTATGGGAAGATATTTCCTTTTTCACCTTAGGCCTGAAAGCAATCCAAATGTTCACTTACAGACACTACAAAAAGAGTGTTTCAAACCTGCTCTGTGAAAGGGAGTGTTCAATTCTGTGACTTGAATGCAAACATCACAAAGTAGTTTCTGACAATGCTGCTGTCTGCTTTTTATACGTATTCCCGTTTCCAACGAAATCCTCCAAGCTGGCCTAATACCCACTTGCATATTCCACAAAAAGAGTGTTTCAAAACTGCTCTCTCAAAAGAAAGGTTCAACTCTGTTTGCTGAGTAGATACATCATGAAAAAAGTTCTGACATTGCTTCTATCTAGTTTTTATTGGAAGATATCTCCTTTTTCACCGTAGACCTGAAAGTTCTCCAAATGTCCACTTCCAGATAGTACAAAAAGAGTGTTTCAAACCTGCTCTATGAAAGGGAATGTTCAACACTGGGACTTCAATTGAAACATCCCAAAGCAGTTTCTGAGAATGCTTCTGTCTAGAGTTTACATGAAGACATTCCCGTTTCCAACGAAATCCTCAAAGCTATCCAAATATCCTCTTGCAGATTTTACAAAAAGTGTGTTTCAGAACTGCTCTATCAAAACAAAGGTTCAACACTGTCAGTTGAGGGCACACATCACAAATAAGTTTCTGAGAATGCTTCTGTCTAGTTTTCATGGGAAGATATTTCCTTTTTCACCATAGGCCTGAAAGCGATCCAAATGTCCACATCCAGATACTACAAAAAGAGTGTTTCAAACCTGCTCTATGAAAGGGAATGTTCAACTCTGTGACTTGAATGCAAACATCACAAAGAAGTTTCTGAGAATGCTGCTGTCTGCTTTTTGTATGTAATCCCGTTTCCAACGAAATCCTCCCAGCTAGCCAAATATCCACTTGCAGATTCCGCAAAAAGAGTGTTTCAAAACTGCTCCTTCAAAACGATGGTTTAGTTCTGTTAGTTGAGTACATACATCACAGATAAGTTTCTGAGAATGCTTCTGTCTAGTATTTCTGGGAGGATATTTCCTTTTTCAACACAAGCCTGAATGCGCTCCGAATGGACAATTCCAGATATGACAAAAGGCGTGTTTCAAACCTGCTCTCTCAAAGGGAATGTTCAACTCTGTGACTTCAATGCAAACATCACAAAGAAGTTTCTGAGAATGCTGCTGTCTGCTTTTTACATGTATTCCCGTTTCCAACGAAATCCTCAAAGCTGCCCTAATATCCACTTGCATATTCCACAAAAAGAGTGTTGCAAAACTGCTCTCTCAAAAGAAAGGTTCAACTCTGTTAGCTGAGTAGATCCATCACAGAAAAGTTTCTGACATTGCTTCTATCTAGATTTTATTGGAAGATATTTCCATTTTCACCGTCGTCCTGAAAGCGCTCCAAATGTCCACTTCCAGGGAATGCAGAAAGAGTGTTTCCAACCTGCTCTATAAAAGGGAATGTTCAACACTGGGACTTCAATCAAAACATCCCAACGAAGTTTCTGAGAATGCTTCTGTCTAGAGTTTATATGAAGCCATTCCCGTTTGCAACGAAATCCTCAAAGCTATCCAAATATCCTCTTGCAGATTTTACAAAAAGAGTGTTTCAAAACTGCTCTATCAAAAGAAAGGTTCAACTCTGTTAGTTGAGGGCACACATCACAAATAAATTTCTGAGAATGCTTCTGTCTAGTTTTTACGGGAAGATATTTCCTTTTTCACCATACGCCTGAAAGCGCTCCAAATGTCCTCATCCAGATACTACAAAAAGAGTGTTTCCAACGTGCTCTAGGAAAGGGAATGCTCAACTCTGTGAATTGAATGCAGACATCACAAAGAAGTTTCTGAGAATGCTGCTGTCTCCTTTTTATATGTAATCCCGTTTCCAACGAAATCCTCAAAGCTAGCCAAATATCCACTTGCAGATTCCACGAAAACAGTGTTTCAAAACTGCTCCTTCAAAACGATGGTTCAATCCTGTTAGTTGAGCAAACACATCACAAATAAGTTTCTGAGAATGCTTCCGTCTAGTTTTTATGGGAAGATATTTCCTTTTTCAACATAGGCCTGAAAGCGCTCCAAATGTCCACTTCCAGATACTACAAAAAGAGTGTTTCAAATCTGCTCTATGAATGGGAATGTTCTACTCTGTGACTTGAATGCAACATCCCAAAGAAGTTTCTGAGAATGCTTCTGTCTAGAGTTTATCTGAAGACATACCCGTTTCCAACGAAATCCTCAAAGCTATCCAAATATCCTCTTGCAGATTCTACAAAAAGAGTGTTTCAAAGCTGCTCTTTGCAAAGAAAGGTTCAACTCTGTCAGTAGAGGGCACACATCACGAACAAGTTTCTGAGAATGCTTCTGTCTAGTTTTTATGGGAAGATATTTCCTTTTTCACGTTACGCCTGAAAGCACGCCAAATGTTCACTTATAGACACTACAAAAAGAGTGTTTCAAACCTGCTCTGTGAAAGGGAATGTTCAACACTGTGACTTCAATTGAAACATCCCAAAGAAGTTTCTGAGAATGCTTCTGTCTAGAGTTTATCTGAAGACATTCCCGTTTCCCAAGAAATCCTCAAAGCTATCCAAATATCCTCTTGCAGATTCTACAAAAAGAGTGTTTCAAAACTGCTCTTTGCAAAGAAAGGTTCAACTCTGTCAGTAGAGGGCACACATCACAAACAAGTTTCTGAGAATGCTTCTGTCTAGTTTTTATGGGAAGATATTTCCTTTTTCACCTTAGGCCTGAAAGCAATCCAAATGTTCACTTACAGACACTACAAAAAGAGTGTTTCAAACCTGCTCTGTGAAAGGGAGTGTTCAATTCTGTGACTTGAATGCAAACATCACAAAGTAGTTTCTGACAATGCTGCTGTCTGCTTTTTATACGTATTCCCGTTTCCAACGAAATCCTCCAAGCTGGCCTAATACCCACTTGCATATTCCACAAAAAGAGTGTTTCAAAACTGCTCTCTCAAAAGAAAGGTTCAACTCTGTTTGCTGAGTAGATACATCATGAAAAAAGTTCTGACATTGCTTCTATCTAGTTTTTATTGGAAGATATCTCCTTTTTCACCGTAGACCTGAAAGCGCTCCAAATGTCCACTTCCAGATAGTACAAAAAGAGTGTTTCACACCTGCTCTATGAATGGGAATGTTCAACACTGGGACTTCAATTGAAACATCCCAAAGCAGTTTCTGAGAATGCTTCTGTGTAGAGTTTACATGAAGACATTCCCGTTTCCAACGAAATCCTCAAAGCTATCCAAATATCCTCTTGCAGATTTTACAAAAAGTGTGTTTCAGAACTGCTCTATCAAAACAAAGGTTCAACACTGTCAGTTGAGGGCACACATCACAAATAAGTTTCTGAGAATGCTTCTGTCTAGTTTTCATGGGAAGATATTTCCTTTTTCACCATAGGCCTGAAAGCGATCCAAATGTCCACATCCAGATACTACAAAAAGAGTGTTTCAAACCTGCTCTATGAAAGGGAATGTTCAACTCTGTGACTTGAATGCAAACATCACAAAGAAGTTTCTGAGAATGCTGCTGTCTGCTTTTTGTATGTAATCCCGTTTCCAACGAAATCCTCCCAGCTAGCCAAATATCCACTTGCAGATTCCGCAAAAAGAGTGTTTCAAAACTGCTCCTTCAAAACGATGGTTTAGTTCTGTTAGTTGAGTACATACATCACAGATAAGTTTCTGAGAATGCTTCTGTCTAGTTTTTATGGGAGGATATTTCCTTTTTCAACACAAGCCTGAATGCGCTCCGAATGGACACTTCCAGATATGACAAAAGGCGTGTTTCAAACCTGCTCTCTCAAAGGGAATGTTCAACTCTGTGACTTCAATGCAAACATCACAAAGAAGTTTCTGAGAATGCTGCTGTCTGCTTTTTACATGTATTCCCGTTTCCAACGAAATCCTCAAAGCTGCCCTAATATCCACTTGCATATTCCACAAAAAGAGTGTTGCAAAACTGCTCTCTCAAAAGAAAGGTTCAACTCTGTTAGCTGAGTAGATCCATCACAGAAAAGTTTCTGACGTTGCTTCTATCTAGATTTTCTTGGAAGATATTTCCATTTTCACCGTCGTCCTGAAAGCGCTCCAAATGTCCACTTCCAGGGAATGCAGAAAGAGTGTTTCCAACCTGCTCTATAAAAGGGAATGTTCAACACTGGGACTTCAATCGAAACATCCCAACGAAGTTTCTGAGAATGCTTCTGTCTAGAGTTTATATGAAGCCATTCCCGTTTGCAACGAAATCCTCAAAGCTATCCAAATATCCTCTTGCAGATTTTACAAAAAGAGTGTTTCAAAACTGCTCTATCAAAAGAAAGGTTCAACTCTGTTAGTTGAGGGCACACATCACAAATAAATTTCTGAGAATGCTTCTGTCTAGTTTTTACGGGAAGATATTTCCTTTTTCACCATACGCCTGAAAGCGCTCCAAATGTCCTCATCCAGATACTACAAAAAGAGTGTTTCCAACCTGCTCTATGAAAGGGAATGCTCAACTCTGTGACTTGAATGCAGACATCACAAAGAAGTTTCTGAGAATGCGGCTGTCTCCTTTTTATATGTAATCCCGTTTCCAACGAAATCCTCAAAGCTAGCCAAATATCCACTTGCAGATTCCACGAAAACAGTGTTTCAAAACTGCTCCTTCAAAACGATGGTTCAATTCTGTTAGTTGAGCAAACACATCACAAGTAAGTTTCTGAGAATGCTTCCGTCTAGTTTTTATGGGAAGATATTTCCTTTTTCAACATAGGCCTGAAAGCGCTCCAAATGTCCACTTCCAGATACTACAAAAAGAGTGTTTCAAATCTGCTGTATGAATGGGAATGTTCTACTCTGTGACTTGAATGCAACATCCCAAAGAAGTTTCTGAGAATGCTTCTGTCTAGAGTTTATCTGAAGACATACCCGTTTCCAACGAAATCCTCAAAGCTATCCAAATATCCTCTTGCAGATACTACAAAAAGAGTGTTTCAAAGCTGCTCTTTGCAAAGAAAGGTTCAACTCTGTCAGTAGAGGGCACACATCACGAACAAGTTTCTGAGAATGCTTCTGTCTAGTTTTTATGGGAAGATATTTCCTTTTTCACGTTAGGCCTGAAAGCACGCCAAATGTTCACTTATAGACACTACAAAAAGAGTGTTTCAAACCTGCTCTGTGAAAGGGAATGTTCAACACTGTGACTTCAATTGAAACATCCCAAAGAAGTTTCTGAGAATGCTTCTGTCTAGAGTTTATCTGAAGACATTCCCGTTTCCCAAGAAATCCTCAAAGCTATCCAAATATCCTCTTGCAGATTCTACAAAAAGAGTGTTTCAAAACTGCTCTTTGCAAAGAAAGGTTCAACTCTGTCAGTAGAGGGCACACATCACAAACAAGTTTCTGAGAATGCTTCTGTCTAGTTTTTATGGGAAGATATTTCCTTTTTCACCTTAGGTCTGAAAGCAATCCAAATGTTCACTTACAGACACTACAAAAAGAGTGTTTCAAACCTGCTCTGTGAAAGGGAGTGTTCAATTCTGTGACTTGAATGCAAACATCACAAAGTAGTTTCTGACAATGCTGCTGTCTGCTTTTAATACGTATTCCCGTTTCCAACGAAATCCTCCAAGCTGGCCTAATACCCACTTGCATATTCCACAAAAAGAGTGTTTCAAAACTGCTCTCTCAAAAGAAAGGTTCAACTCTGTTTGCTGAGTAGATACATCATGAAAAACTTCTGACATTGCTTCTATCTAGTTTTTATTGGAAGATATCTCCTTTTTCACCGTAGACCTGAAAGCGCTCCAAATGTCCACTTCCAGATAGTACAAAAAGAGTGTTTCAAACCTGCTCTATGAAAGGGAATGTTCAACACTGGGACTTCAATTGAAACATCCCAAAGCAGTTTCTGAGAATGCTTCTGTCTAGAGTTTACATGAAGACATTCCCGTTTCCAACGAAATCCTCAAAGCTATGCAAATATCCTCTTGCAGTTTTTACAAAAAGTGTGTTTCAGAACTGCTCTATCAAAACAAAGGTTCAACACTGTCAGTTGAGGGCACACATCACAAATAAGTTTCTGAGAATGCTTCTGTCTAGTTTTCATGGGAAGATATTTCCTTTTTCACCATAGGCCTGAAAGCGATCCAAATGTCCACATCCAGATACTACAAAAAGAGTGTTTCAAACCTGCTCTATGAAAGGGAATGTTCAACTCTGTGACTTGAATGCAAACATCACAAAGAAGTTTCTGAGAATGCTGCTCTCTGCTTTTTGTATGTAATCCCGTTTCCAACGAAATCCTCCCAGCTAGCCAAATATCCACTTGCAGATTCCGCAAAAAGAGTGTTTCAAAACTGCTCCTTCAAAACGATGGTTTAGTTCTGTTAGTTGAGTACATACATCACACATAAGTTTCTGACAATGCTTCTGTCTAGTTTTTATGGGAGGATATTTCCTTTTTCAACACAAGCCTGAATGCGCTCCGAATGGACACTTCCTGATATCACAAAAGGCGTGTTTCAAACCTGCTCTCTCAAAGGGAATGTTCAACTCTGTGACTTCAATGCAAACATCACAAAGAAGTTTCTGAGAATGCTGCTGTCTGCTTTTTACATGTATTCCCGTTTCCTACGAAATCCTCAAAGCTGCCCTAATATCCACTTGCATATTCCACAAAAAGAGTGTTGCAAAACTGCTCTCTCAAAAGAAAGGTTCAACTCTGTTAGCTGAGTAGATCCATCACATAAAAGTTTCTGACATTGCTTCTATCTAGATTTTCTTGGAAGATATTTCCATTTTCACCGTCGTCCTGAAAGCGCTCCAAATGTCCACTTCCAGGGAATGCAGAAAGAGTGTTTCCAACCTGCTCTATAAAAGGGAATGTTCAACACTGGGACTTCAATCGAAACATCCCAACGAAGTTTCTGAGAATGCTTCTGTCTAGAGTTTATATGAAGCCATTCCCGTTTGCAACGAAATCCTCAAAGCTATCCAAATATCCTCTTGCAGATTTTACAAAAAGAGTGTTTCAAAACTGCTCTATCAAAAGAAAGGTTCAACTCTGTTAGTTGAGGGCACACATCACAAATAAACTTCTGAGAATGCTTCTGTCTAGTTTTTACGGGAAGATATTTCCTTTTTCACCATAGGCCTGAAAGCGCTCCAAATGTCCTCATCCAGATACTACAAAAAGAGTGTTTCCAACCTGCTCTATGAAAGGGAATGCTCAACTCTGTGACTTGAATGCAGACATCACAAAGAAGTTTCTGAGAATGCTGCTGTCTCCTTTGTATATGTAATCCCGTTTCCAACGAAATCCTCAAAGCTAGCCAAATATCCACTTGCAGATTCCACGGAAACAGTGTTTCAAAACTGCTCCTTCAAAACGATGGTTCAATCCTGTTAGTTGAGCAAACACATCACAAATAAGTTTCTGAGAATGCTTCCGTCTAGTTTTTATGGGAAGATATTTCCTTTTTCAACATAGGCCTGAAAGCGCTCCAAATGTCCACTTCCAGATACTACAAAAAGAGTGTTTCAAATCTGCTCTATGAATGGGAATGTTCTACTCTGTGACTTGAATGCAACATCCCAAAGAAGTTTCTGAGAATGCTTCTGTCTAGAGTTTATCTGAAGACATACCCGTTTCCAACGAAATCCTCAAAGCTATCCAAATATCCTCTTGCAGATTCTACAAAAAGAGTGTTTCAAAGCTGCTCTTTGCAAAGAAAGGTTCAACTCTGTCAGTAGAGGGCACACATCACGAACAAGTTTCTGAGAATGCTTCTGTCTAGTTTTTATGGGAAGATATTTCCTTTTTCACGTTAGGCCTGAAAGCACGCCAAATGTTCAATTATAGACACTACAAAAAGAGTGTTTCAAACCTGCTCTGTGAAAGGGAATGTTCAACACTGTGACTTCAATTGAAACATCCCAAAGAAGTTTGCTGAGAATGCTTCTGTCTAGAGTTTATCTGAAGACATTCCCGTTTCCCAAGAAATCCTCAAAGCTATCCAAATATCCTCTTGCAGATTCTACAAAAAGAGTGTTTCAAAACTGCTCTTTGCAAAGAAAGGTTCAACTCTGTCAGTAGAGGGCACACATCACAAACAAGTTTCTGAGAATGCTTCTGTCTAGTTTTTATGGGAAGATATTTCCTTTTTCACCTTAGGCCTGAAAGCAATCCAAATGTTCACTTACAGACACTACAAAAAGAGTGTTTCTAACCTGCTCTGTGAAAGGGAGTGTTCAATTCTGTGACTTGAATGCAAACATCACAAAGTAGTTTCTGACAATGCTGCTGTCTGCTTTTTATACGTATTCCCGTTTCCAACGAAATCCTCCAAGCTGGCCTAATACCCACTTGCATATTCCACAAAAAGAGTGTTTCAAAACTGCTCTCTCAAAAGAAAGGTTCAACTCTGTTTGCTGAGTAGATACATCATGAAAAAAGTTCTGACATTGCTTCTATCTAGTTTTTATTGGAAGATATCTCCTTTTTCACCGTAGACCTGAAAGCGCTCCAAATGTCCACTTCCAGATAGTACAAAAAGAGTGTTTCAAACCTGCTCTATGAAAGGGAATGTTCAACACTGGGACTTCAATTGAAACATCCCAAAGCAGTTTCTGAGAATGCTTCTGTCTAGAGTTTACATGAAGACATTCCCGTTTCCAACGAAATCCTCAAAGCTATCCAAATATCCTCTTGCAGATTTTACAAAAAGTGTGTTTCAGAACTGCTCTATCAAAACAAAGGTTCAACACTGTCAGTTGAGGGCACACATCACAAATAAGTTTCTGAGAATGCTTCTGTCTAGTTTTCATGGGAAGATATTTCCTTTTTCACCATAGGCCTGAAAGCGATCCAAATGTCCACATCCAGATACTACAAAAAGAGTGTTTCAAACCTGCTCTATGAAAGGGAATGTTCAACTCTGTGACTTGAATGCAAACATCACAAAGAAGTTTCTGAGAATGCTGCTGTCTCCTTTTTATATGTAATCCCGTTTCCAACGAAATCCTCAAAGCTAGCCAAATATCCACTTGCAGATTCCACGAAAACAGTGTTTCAAAACTGCTCCTTCAAAACGATGGTTCAATCCTGTTAGTTGAGCAAACACATCACAAATAAGTTTCTGAGAATGCTTCCGTCTAGTTTTTATGGGAAGATATTTCCTTTTTCAACATAGGCCTGAAAGCGCTCCAAATGTCCACTTCCAGATACTACAAAAAGAGTGTTTCAAATCTGCTCTATGAATGGGAATGTTCTACTCTGTGACTTGAATGCAACATCCCAAAGAAGTTTCTGAGAATGCTTCTGTCTAGAGTTTATCTGAAGACATACCCGTTTCCAACGAAATCCTCCAAGCTATCCAAATATCCTCTTGCAGATTCTACAAAAAGAGTGTTTCAAAGCTGCTCTTTGCAAAGAAAGTTTCAACTCTGTCAGTAGAGGGGACACATCAAGAACAAGTTTCTGAGAATGCTTCTGTCTAGTTTTTATGGGAAGATATTTCCTTTTTCACGTTAGGCCTGAAAGCACGCCAAATGTTCACTTATAGACACTACAAAAAGAGTGTTTCAAACCTGCTCTGTGAAAGGGAATGTTCAACACTGTGACTTCAATTGAAACATCCCAAAGAAGTTTCTGAGAATGCTTCTGTCTAGAGTTTATCTGAAGACATACCCGTTTCCAACGAAATCCTCAAAGCTATCCACATATCCTCTTGCAGATTCTACAAAAAGAGTGTTTCAAAGCTGCTCTTTGCAAAGAAAGGTTCAACTCTGTCAGTAGAGGGCACTCATCACGAACAAGTTTCTGAGAATGCTTCTGCCTAGTTTTTATGGGCAGATATTTCCTTTTTCACGTTACGCCTGAAAGCACGCCAAATGTTCACTTATAGACACTACAAAAAGAGTGTTTCAAACCTGCTCTGTGAAAGGGAATGTTCAACACTGTGACTTCAATTGAAACATCCCAAAGAAGTTTCTGAGAATGCTTCTGTCTAGAGTTTATCTGAAGACATTCCCGTTTCCCAAGAAATCCTCAAAGCTATCCAAATATCCTCTTGCAGATTCTACAAAAAGAGTGTTTCAAAACTGCTCTTTGCAAAGAAAGGTTCAACTCTGTCAGTAGAGGGCACACATCACAAACAAGTTTCTGAGAATGCTTCTGTCTAGTTTTTATGGGAAGATATTTCCTTTTTCACCTTAGGCCTGAAAGCAATCCAAATGTTCACTTACAGACACTACAAAAAGAGTGTTTCAAACCTGCTCTGTGAAAGGGAGTGTTCAATTCTGTGACTTGAATGCAAACATCACAAAGTAGTTTCTGACAATGCTGCTGTCTGCTTTTTATACGTATTCCCGTTTCCAACGAAATCCTCCAAGCTGGCCTAATACCCACTTGCATATTCCACAAAAAGAGTGTTTCAAAACTGCTCTCTCAAAAGAAAGGTTCAACTCTGTTTGCTGAGTAGATACATCATGAAAAAAGTTCTGACATTGCTTCTATCTAGTTTTTATTGGAAGATATCTCCTTTTTCACCGTAGACCTGAAAGCGCTCCAAATGTCCACTTCCAGATAGTACAAAAAGAGTGTTTCAAACCTGCTCTATGAAAGGGAATGTTCAACACTGGGACTTCAATTGAAACATCCCAAAGCAGTTTCTGAGAATGCTTCTGTCTAGAGTTTACATGAAGACATTCCCGTTTCCAACGAAATCCTCAAAGCTATCCAAATATCCTCTTGCAGATTTTACAAAAAGTGTGTTTCAGAACTGCTCTATCAAAACAAAGGTTCAACACTGTCAGTTGAGGGCACACATCACAAATAAGTTTCTGAGAATGCTTCTGTCTAGTTTTCATGGGAAGATATTTCCTTTTTCACCATAGGCCTGAAAGCGATCCAAATGTCCACATCCAGATACTACAAAAAGAGTGTTTCAAACCTGCTCTATGAAAGGGAATGTTCAACTCTGTGACTTGAATGCAAACATCACAAAGAAGTTTCTGAGAATGCTGCTGTCTCCTTTTTATATGTAATCCCGTTTCCAACGAAATCCTCAAAGCTAGCCAAATATCCACTTGCAGATTCAACGAAAACAGTGTTTCAAAACTGCTCCTTCAAAACGATGGTTCAATTCTGTTAGTTGAGCAAACACATCACAAGTAAGTTTCTGAGAATGCTTCCGTCTAGTTTTTATGGGAAGATATTTCCTTTTTCAACATAGGCCTGAAAGCAGCTCCAAATGTCCACTTCCAGATACTACAAAAAGAGTGTTTCAAATCTGCTCTATGAATGGGAATGTTCTACTCTGTGACTTGAATGCAACATCCCAAAGAAGTTTCTGAGAATGCTTCTGTCTAGAGTTTATCTGAAGACATACCCGTTTCCAACGAAATCCTCCAAGCTATCCAAATATCCTCTTGCAGATTCTACAAAAAGAGTGTTTCAAAGCTGCTCTTTGCAAAGAAAGGTTCAACTCTGTCAGTAGAGGGCACACATCATGAACAAGTTTCTGAGAATGCTTCTGTCTAGTTTTTATGGGAAGATATTTCCTTTTTCACGTTAGGCCTGAAAGCACGCGAAATGTTCACTTATACACACTACAAAAAGAGTGTTTCAAACCTGCTCTGTGAAAGGGAATGTTCAACACTGTGACTTCAATTGAAACATCCCAAAGAAGTTTCTGAGAATGCTTCTGTCTAGAGTTTATCTGAAGACATTCCCGTTTCCCAAGAAATCTTCAAAGCTATCCAAATATCCTCTTGCAGATTCTACAAAAAGAGTGTTTCAAAACTGCTCTTTGCAAAGAAAGGTTCAACTCTGTCAGTAGAGGGCACACATCACAAACAAGTTTCTGAGAATGCTTCTGTCTAGTTTTTATGGGAAGATATTTCCTTTTTCACCTTAGGCCTGAAAGCAATCCATATGTTCACTTACAGACACTACAAAAAGAGTGTTTCAAACCTGCTCTGTGAAAGGGAGTGTTCAATTCTGTGACTTGAATGCAAACATCACAAAGTAGTTTCTGACAATGCTGCTGTCTGCTTTTTATACGTATTCCCGTTTCCAACGAAATCCTCCAAGCTGGCCTAATACCCACTTGCATATTCCACAAAAAGAGTGTTTCAAAACTGCTCTCTCAAAAGAAAGGTTCAACTCTGTGTGCTGAGTAGATACATCATGAAAAAAGTTCTGACATTGCTTCTATCTAGTTTTTATTGGAAGATATCTCCTTTTTCACCGTAGACCTGAAAGCGCTCCAAATGTCCACTTCCAGATAGTACAAAAAGAGTGTTTCAAACCTGCTCTATGAATGGGAATGTTCAACACTGGGACTTCAATTGAAACATCCCAAAGCAGTTTCTGAGAATGCTTCTGTCTAGAGTTTACATGAAGACATTCCCGTTTCCAACGAAATCCTCAAAGCTATCCAAATATCCTCTTGCAGATTTTACAAAAAGTGTCTTTCAGAACTGCTCTATCAAAACAAAGGTTCAACACTGTCAGTTGAGGGCACACATCACAAATAAACTTCTGAGAATGCTTCTGTCTAGTTTTCATGGGAAGATATTTCCTTTTTCACCATAGGCCTGAAAGCGATCCAAATGTCCACATCCAGATACTACAAAAAGAGTGTTTCAAACCTGCTCTATGAAAGGGAATGCTCAACTCTGTGAATTGAATGCAGACATCACAAAGAAGTTTCTCAGAATGCTGCTGTCTCCTTTTTATATGTAATCCCGTTTCCAACGAAATCCTCAAAGCTAGCCAAATATCCACTTGCAGATTCCACGAAAACAGTGTTTCAAAACTGCTCCTTCAAAACGATGGTTCAATCCTGTTAGTTGAGCAAACACATCACAAATAAGTTTCTGAGAATGCTTCCGTCTAGTTTTTATGGGAAGATATTTCCTTTTTCAACATAGGCCTGAAAGCGCTCCAAATGTCCACTTCCAGATACTACAAAAAGAGTGTTTCAAATCTGCTCTATGAATGGGAATGTTCTACTCTGTGACTTGCATGCAACATCCCAAAGAAGTTTCTGAGAATGCTTCTGTCTAGAGTTTATCTGAAGACATACCCGTTTCCAACGAAATCCTCAAAGCTATCCACATATCCTCTTGCAGATTCTACAAAAAGAGTGTTTCAAAGCTGCTCTTTGCAAAGAAAGGTTCAACTCTGTCAGTAGAGGGCACACATCACAAACAAGTTTCTGAGAATGCTTCTGTCTGGTTTTTATGGGAAGATATTTCCTTTTTCACGTTACGCCTGAAAGCACGCCAAATGTTCACTTATAGACACTACAAAAAGAGTGTTTCAAACCTGCTCTGTGAAAGGGAATGTTCAACACTGTGACTTCAATTGAAACATCCCAAAGAAGTTTCTGAGAATGCTTCTGTCTAGAGTTTATCTGAAGACATTCCCGTTTCCCAAGAAATCCTCAAAGCTATCCAAATATCCTCTTGCAGATTCTACAAAAAGAGTGTTTCAAAACTGCTCTTTGCAAAGAAAGGTTCAACTCTGTCAGTAGAGGAGACACATCAAGAACAAGTTTCTGAGAATGCTTCTGTCTAGTTTTTATGGGAAGATATTTCCTTTTTCACCTTAGGCCTGAAAGCAATCCAAATGTTCACTTACAGACACTACAAAAAGAGTGTTTCAAACCTGCTCTGTGAAAGGGAGTGTTCAATTCTGTGACTTGAATGCAAACATCACAAAGTAGTTTCTGACAATGCTGCTGTCTGCTTTTTATACGTATTCCCGTTTCCAACGAAATCCTCCAAGCTGGCCTAATACCCACTTGCATATTCCACAAAAAGAGTGTTTCAAAACTGCTCTCTCAAAAGAAAGGTTCAACTCTGTTTGCTGAGTAGATACATCATGAAAAAAGTTCTGACATTGCTTCTATCTAGTTTTTATTGGAAGATATCTCCTTTTTCACCGTAGACCTGAAAGCGCTCCAAATGTCCACTTCCAGATACTACAAAAAGAGTGTTTCAAACCTGCTCTATGAAAGGGAATGTTCAACACTGGGACTTCAATTGAAACATCCCAAAGCAGTTTCTGAGAATGCTTCTGTCTAGAGTTTACATGAAGACATTCCCGTTTCCAACGAAATCCTCAAAGCTATCCAAATATCCTCTTGCAGATTTTACAAAAAGTGTGTTTCAGAACTGCTCTATCAAAACAAAGGTTCAACACTGTCAGTTGAGGGCACACATCACAAATAAGTTTCTGAGAATGCTTCTGTCTAGTTTTCATGGGAAGATATTTCCTTTTTCACCATAGGCCTGAAAGCGATCCAAATGTCCACATCCAGATACTACAAAAAGAGTGTTTCAAACCTGCTCTATGAAAGGGAATGTTCAACTCTGTGACTTGAATGCAAACATCACAAAGAAGTTTCTGAGAATGCTGCTGTCTGCTTTTTGTATGTAATCCCGTTTCCAACGAAATCCTCCCAGCTAGCCAAATATCCACTTGCAGATTCCGCAAAAAGAGTGTTTCAAAACTGCTCCTTCAAAACGATGGTTTAGTTCTGTTACTTGAGTACATACATCACAAATAAGTTTCTGAGAATGCTTCTGTCTAGTTTTTCTGGGAGGATATTTCCTTTTTCAACACAAGCCTGAATGCGCTCCGAATGGACACTTCCAGATATGACAAAAGGCATGTTTCAAACCTGCTCTCTCAAAGGGAATGTTCAACTCTGTGACTTCAATGCAAACATCACAAAGAAGTTTCTGAGAATGCT